>NC_000011.10:73176908-73479938 GCF_000001405.40 Homo sapiens
CAGAGGCAGCACAGAGCCTCAGGCAGGACTACAGGAGGAGCAGGAAGAGGGGAGGATGAGTCAAGTCTACCTGGATTGGTTTGGGTGGAGTCCTTCCTGAGGCAGGGTGGTGTGGGGGATGGTTGTGTAGATATTTTTGAAGCCCCCCCGCCCCAGTGTCTGTGTCCCCTTAAACAAGTATTACAATCTTCCTTCCCTCCCATGAGCAGAAGAGGAAACTAAGGCTCTGCCAGGACTAGAGCCCAGGTGTCCCAGATGGATCACCTAGCCAGGGATCTTCAGCAAACCAGGCTGGTCCAACTGTCTGTCCCGAGCTCCCTGAGTTGGCTTGAGGAGAAGACTTGCTCCCTGCCCTCTTGGAACTCCTTTCTGGTTGGAGAGCTGGGTGTTGAGTTTTGTGTAAGGTTATTTAGGCAACAGTATTCCAGAAAGGCTGATGCTGGAGATTCAGACACTGGCACCAAGCCTGTGAGCATCACTCTGGAGCTGGACCATGAGCCCATCCTATGCTCCTGCCTCTAGACCTAGGTTGGGTTGTTCAGGAGCTGGGTCTGGAAGCAGATCAGAAAGCAGGGTCCACCCCAGCCCAGGGGCTGGGCCTGTGGGTGTGTCCAAGCTAAACCTCTACACAAGGATCCATTGTGGTTGCTCAGCCTGGCCCTGGGCTCTGCCAGCCCTTCCGGCTCCCGGAAAATGTTTCCCGTCTGGCAGCTCCCAGAGCAGCCTGTCCTTGGCCAAGATGCTGACTGGCCCCACACACAGGCCTCTCCTACCCAGTGAGGATCCTGGAGTCCTGGCAGCTCAGAGCTCTTGGGTCCAGCCCCCATTTAACAGTCAGGATCCCTTAGGCTCAGGGAAGTAGGCACAGGCCACAGCAGCACACGAGAACCAGAATCAGGACCAGAACCCGGCACTCTGGCCATTTTCTCAGCTCTCGCTACCAACATGAGGCAGAAGGATGCAGACTCGGAGAAGGGAAGGGGCTGTCCCATTACACAGTCCTTTGTGGCAGAGTCTGGAGGAAATGACTGGTGCTTAGCTGGCCGCTTGCCCACCTGGACCCCTCTCATCTGGGTTCTCTAGGTTCAGCTGTGTGGCCTCGTGAAGGTTGCTATTCCTGTCTGCATTTGGGGACTGAAGACTCCCCACTCTCAATCCATCCCTGACATCCTAAGCTTTAAAATCAGGCATAAGCGCACTGGATGGGGTGAGGAGAAGCAGCTCTGGAATTTGGGGCTTTGACAACTCCGCCCCATCTGTGTGTGCCAAGCTGTACCAGAGCCAGAGGCTTAGGGCCTGGGGCTCCCCAACCCTTACTTGGGCTGACAGTGCCACCTGGTGCCCAGTCGGTGTGACATGAGTCCCGCTAGAGATGCAACCACAAACCTTCGCTCTCTGTGGGACCTCTGAGCCACCCCATGCTAGGCGCTGGGGACATAGAAGAAATTGTGACCCCAGATGTGAGGGGAGAAGACCCACAGAGAGTGACCACTCAGGATGTGGAGGCTGTGACAGCAGAAAGCCCGGGGCCGAGGAGGGTCGCTGAGTACCACAGGGTCAAGAAAAAGAGGCATTGCCATCAATGTAACTCTCACTGTCTTCTAGGCCAGGTCCTATGCAGGCCTGGGGACCCTCAAGGAATCAATTGTAATCTAATAGAAAAAAGTAGGGTGGGGAAGGGAGCTCAGAGCCAGGGACTTGGAACTGGGTCTTGAAGAATGATAGTAATTCATCTTGTGAGCCGTGGGCATTCCAGGCTCAGGGAACAGACTATGCGAAGGCATGGAAGAGTGAGCTTGTGTGTATAAGCTTGAGGGTGACAGGTGTGGAGAGGAGGGGGACAGCAGAAGAAGTGCCAGAATACGAGGTCTGAAAAGTCACAACCCTGGGTACCTGTGGCCGACACAGCTTGTCTGAATTTCCTTGCCCCATACCTACCTCCTTTCTTGACCTTCAATGTCTGGGCAGGTACAGAGCCCCTGCCTCAAACTCCAACCCCATTCCCTCTGGGTCTGGTTACCTAGAGGAGGTCCTGATTCCTGAAAGCCTCCCCTCTTCCCCCAGGGCAGGAGCTAGGTCGGGCTGCCCACAGGCTGATCTGAGGGGACACAAACCTATGACTTCCCTGGCCTCCAAGAAGCCCAGGCCCAGCCCTTAGATTGGAGAAGGATCTTTAAGCAGTTATTTAACTCTAGACTCAGGTTCCTCAACTGATGGGGATAATAATGGTACCTGACTCATGGGATGTGGTGAGGATTAAATGAGAAAATGCATAGAAAGCCACTTATTTGCACCTTGCTGGCATGGGTTGAGGCCAGGTAAAGGGGCTCCTCCCCATTGCCAATCCCCCTGGCATATTTCCTTCTAGGGGGAAGCTTGAGGGCTCCAGATTTTGGCCCCACCTGGGCTGCCTACCCCCCAACTTCAGGCTTCTTTCTACATTTCCTGAACCCAGAGAAGCTCTGTTGTATACCCAGCAGGTGATTGCTTTTTCATGTTTCCCTCTGATTGTTTTTTTTTTGAGACAGGACCTCACCCAGTCACCCAGACTGAAGTGCAGTGGCATGATCTCGGCTCACCGCAATCTCCACCTCCCGGGCTCAAGCAATTCTCCTTCCTCAGCCTCCCAGGTAGCTGGGATTACAGGCACATGCCACCATGCCCAGCTAGTTTTTGTATTTTTGGTAGAGACGGTGTTTCACCATGTTGGCCAGGCTGGTCTCAAACTCCTGACCTCAAATGATCCACCTGCCTCAGCCTCTCAAATGCTGGGATTACAGGCGTGAGCCACTGTGCCCAGCCTCCCTCTGATTTTTTAAAAAATAAAATGTTCAAATACAAAGGAAAAAAGTATACAATAAGCAAATGAGCACCCATACGTTCTTCTAGACTCAACGATTAATGTTTTGCCTTATTTCATTCATTGCTTTGTCATTTTTTAAAATTTGAACTAGGGCCAGGTGCGGTGGTGGCTCATCCCTGTAATCCCAGCACTTTGGGAGGCTGAGACAGGCAGATTGCTTGAGCCCAGGTGTTCAAGACCAGCCTGGGCAACGTGGCAAATCTCTGTCTCTACTAAAAATACAAAAATTAGCTGCGCATGATGGTCCCAGCTACGCAGGAGGCTGAGGCAGGAGGATCACCTGAGCCTGGGAGGTCAAGGCTGCAGTGAACTGAGATCACGCCACTGCACTACAGCCAGAGTGACAGAGTGAGACACTGTCTCAAAAAAAAAAAAAATTGAACCCATTTGAAAGCAGTCACAGGTACCATGACACTGAATGACCCCCAACACCTTGGTGTGCAGCTCCAAAGATTTTTCATACATAACCACAATCATAATAGTAAGAAAAGCAATAATTCCATACTATCATCTAATATCCAGCCCATATTCCTATATCTCCCAACTTTCCCAAAATGGATTTTACAGCTATTTTGGGGAGTTTGGGGGAGTATGGAGGAGGAATTCAAGATCCAGTCAATGTTCTTTCATTGCATTTGGTTCTTGGTATCCTTGTTCTTTTTATTCTATTTATTTATTTATTTATTTTGAGACAGGGTTCTGCTCTGTCAGGCTGGAGGGCAGTGGCATGGTCACCACTCACTGCAGCCTTGACCTCCTGGGCTCAAGTGATCCATCTGCCTCGACCTTCCTAAGTGCTGGGATTACAGGTGTGAGCCACAGCCCCCAGCCTATAACCATGCTTTATATATTTTAGATACAAATTCCTTATCCAATACATAATATGCAAATATTTTCCCCCATTCTTGTTGTTGATTGTGCTTTTGGTGTTCTAAGAATACATTGCCAGGCCAGGTGTGGTAGCTCATGCCTATAATCCCAGCAATTTGGGAGGCCAAGGCGGGTGGATAACTTGAGATCAGGAGTTCGAGACCAGCCTGGCCAAAATGGTGAAACCCTGTCTCTGCTAAAAATACAAAAATTAGCTGGGTGTGGTGGTGCATGCCTGTAGTCCCAGCTACTTGGGAGGCTGAGACATGAGAATTGCTTGAACCTGTGAGGCGGAGGTTGCAGTGAACCGAGATTGCACCACTGCACTCCAGCCTGGGCAACAGGGCAAGACTCTGTCTCAAAGAAAAAATAATAATAATACATTGCCAAATCCAAGGTCATGAAGACTTATCCCTATGTTTTCTCCTAAGAGTTTTATAGTTTTGGCTTTTACATTTAGGTCTTTGATCCATTTTGAGTTAATTTTTGCATGTGGAATAAAGTAAGATTCCAACTTTGTTCTTTTGCAGGTGGCTAACAAATTTTTCCAGCAACACAGAGCTGAGAGGATTGGGATCTCAGAGAAGAAGGAGCCCTGCATTCTTGGCTTCATCTGCCTGGAGTGGAGTTTCCATCATGCTGAGCTGGAGGTGCACGGGGCCAGGGAATGAGCAAGTCGTAGCTCAAATGTCCCAGACTCTTACTATTCTTATTGAAATTTAGTAGGTTTTCTTGAATAAATGTTTCTTCATCTGCTGTATGCCCTTAGGACAATTCCCAGGAACATACATCTATATTGATATCAATATAAATATAAATAGATAATTATGTATGTATAACTTTAGCAGTTTTACTTGTTCTGCTGGAAAGAAGGTCTGGAAGGTTTGCAGAGCTGCTCATGCCACCATTCCAGAAGTTATCCACCAGTTCATTGCTTTTTGCACAGTAGTATTCCATTGCATGTCTATGCCACAATTTGTTTATCCATTCACCTGTTGATGGACATTTGAGCTGTTTCCTGTTTGAGGCTATTACAAATAAAGCTGCTTTACAAATAAAGCTGCTTTGAACATTTGTGTATAAGTCTTTGGACATATGCTTTGATTTATCTTGAGTAAATATCTAGAAGTGGAGTGGCTGGGTTATATGGTAGGTTTGTGTTTTAATTTTTAAGAAGCTGCTAAGATGTCTTCCAAAGTGATTCCCCCATTATGCACTCCTGCCAGCAGTGTGTGAGAGTTCCAGTTTCTCCAGATTCTCACCAACACCTGGTATGGTCAGTCTTTTTAATGTTAGCCATTCTAATAGATGTGTAGTGGTATCTCATTGTGGTTTTAATTTTCATTTTCCTAATAGGTAATGATGTGTTTGAGCATTTTTTCATGTGCCTATTTACTATCCATACACCTACTTGGTGAAATATCTGTTCAAATCTTTTGCCTCCTTTCTTTTTTCATAATTGGGTGGTTTGTTTTCTTATTATTGAGTTTTGAGAGTTCTTTCTATATTGCAGATACAAATTTTTCTTGGATATGTGTACTGCAATAGTTTCTCCCAGTTAGTAGCATGTCTTTTCATTCTCCTAACGGTTTCTTTCAAAAGGCAAATGTTCTTAATTTTGATGAAGTCCAATTTACAAATATTTTTCCTTTACAGATCATGTTTCTGGTATTATATTTATAAAATCTTTGCCTAACTCGAGGTCACGAAGATTTTGTTTTATTGTTTAGTGTTCTCTCCTTCCAATTTTTGGTTCCCATTGTGTGTATGGTTTTATATCTTGCTTTTTTTCCCAAAAAAACTTTAAAAAATTTAAATCCATGGAAAAATTGAAAGATTAGTATCATGAACAATGGCATACTTTTTGCCTACAAGCATCAATTGTTAATACCTTGCTACATTTGCTATATCTCCCTGGATACCTTTAAGTTGCAGGATTTTGTAACACTGACTTTTTGCAAGGTCTAGGAAACCCATCCTGAAAATGTTCTTTAAAAAACATCAACAGCAGCCTGTGCCATTTTCTGCGATAACAAAGGTCGTACTTGCCCAGTGTAGAGGACTGGGAAAAAACAGAGCAGCAAAAGAAGAAAATAAAACTGTTCCCTCCCCCTATTCCAACCCCATGATACCAGGAAAGCCACTTACCTGAGAGGTGGGTAGGAAGGACACACAGAGCTCAGATACCACCTGAAATTTGGGGTGCAAATCCCTGACTCCCATGGCAGCCCCCTATCCTGGGATCACTTTCTGCAGAAGAGCCCTCTGCTGGGAAGCTGAGGCCAGGATCTCCGCAGCCGACCTTGAGCCTGCTCCACCCTCTCTGGGCTTAGCTGGTAAAGTAGATAACAAGGTGGCTTGGCTTCTGTCCCAGGACACTATTTGTATCTTTACCGTGGTTACTTCTTATTGTGAACAGGCTGGGCACCCCTGTCTCCAGCACCCCACCTCCAAGCAGGCCTATCCCAGCTGCTTTTGCCTGGAATAGCTCCTCCTTTACCAGCCTCCATCCTTCAAAGCCCAGCTCAGGGTTGCTCCCCACCAAACCTCCCTTGACATCACCCCACCATTAGAGTTAGCTTGTCTCTCCCTGTATCCTTGCAGCAAATCACTCATCTGTTGTGGGAGAGGCCTGTGCTGGAACTGCTGTACACTCCTATCTCACTCAAGCCTCATAACAACCCTCAAGAGAGGTTATCAGGGCCATTTTGAAGGTAAGGAGACTCATCCTCAATGCATAGGGCTAGGTCAGTCACCTCAAGTTAGGGCAGAGCTAGGTTCACTCAGACCCCTGTCTCTGCCTTTAGAGACGTTGATGCCCTTGTTGCAACCCCAGTGGCTTGTGTGCACAGAGATCAGGGCTGCGTTTGATGTATCTGGGCCCTGGATGCCCCCGTCTCCTACCCATCTCTCCTCTTGTTTCAGATGCAGCCAGCTGTAGGGTTGCCTTTTCCAATGCAGCCTTCCCTCACTCCCACTGAGAGTAACTGCTCCTTTTCTGCACATCCTCATGCCCCAGAATCAATGGCCTGACTCTTCTGCTTCTCCAACCATACTCAGACATCCTCCTCCAAGTGCCCAGGCCGTGGTCCTGCACATGGATCCTTAATCAGCTTTGTTCAATGTATTTTAATATTTATTTTAATTTGCTTGCATTATCTTTCTTTCTATTAATATTCATTATTTTTCTTTACCTTCTTTTATAATGTTGGTTTTTTATCCCATTGATACATGTCCAAATTGTAAAAAATTTAGGAAAGAATAAAAATCACCCCAAATTGTTATAGATAATCATATTAACATTTTGGTAGATTATTATTTTTTGGGTCTGGTTTCTGTAGATGTATGCATTTTACAGAGTTGAGATTACATTGTATGAATAGTTCTAAAGACTGCTTTTAAAAATCTAACATTATACCATGGATATTTTCCCCATGTCATTAAAAAGTACATGTGCCACACCCACTGGGAAGGCTCTGATAAAGAAGACAGATAATAACAAAATGTGGCGAATCGGAACCTTCATACAATGCTGGTGGGAATGTAACATGGTACAGCCCCTTTGGAAAACAGTTTGGAGGTCCCTCAAATAGGTAAGCATAGGGTTACCATAAGACCCAGAAGTTTCACTGCTAGGTATATATTCAAGAGAAATAAAAACATGTGTCCACACACAAAACTTGTACAGAATGTTCATAGCAGCATTATTTATAATAGCTTAAAAAATTGAAACAACATAAATGTCCACCAATGAATGAATGGATCAATGAAATGTGATATATCCACACAATGGAATATGATTCAGTCACAAAAAGGAATGAAGTACTGATACATACTACAACATAGATGGACCTTAAAAACATTATGCTAAATCAAAGAAGCCAGACGCAGAAGATCACATATTGTATGACTCCACTCATACAAAATATCTAGAATAGACAAATCTATAGAGACAGAAAGTAAATGTATAGGCTGGGGGATGGGGAGGTCTGGGGAGAAATGAAGAGTGTCAGCTAATGGGCATGGAGTTTTGTTAGGGGGAGATGAAAATGTTATAAAATTGACTGTGCTGGTTCAAAACTTTGTGTATATACTGAAAGCCATTGAATTGTATACTTTAAATGGGTGAATTGTATGATATATAAATTACATATCAATAAAGCTGTCATAAATAATTAAAAACAAAAGACAGTAGCATTTTTAATGTCTGTAGACATTATTCCTTTGCACAGCTGCATCATAATTTATTTAGATTTATATTGCTAGACCTTTATGTTTTCTATTAATTCTTTCATTTCAAAATATTTCAAACACACATGAAAATGAATCGAACGGTGTAATGAACCCCTGTGCCCGTGACCCACTTCGACAATTACCAACACAGTTTCTGCTTTTACACACATTGATTCGATGAACATTTTGTTTGTCTTTGTCCACATTCCACACTGTTTCCTTTCATTTATGCTGAATTCAATTCCACTCAAACCACTTCCTCAAACCCTCACAATGCCCTCCCAGCATGCCTAGTGATATGATGGATCCGACCTTGCCCTACCCGGTCTGGTGGGGGCTACCGGTCTGGTGGGGGAGGTGGATACTGGATTGGAGTGATCGGTAGGGATGGAGGGTGTGTAAGTGGAGAGAGCCCTCACCCTATTACCCAGGAAGGGCACTTCACACTGGACTCACCCCACCCAGAGATGCCCATCCACCTCTGCCCAGCCCTGCCTTTCTCCCCTGCTGCCACACGGAGGCGACAGAGCAACCCTTCCACAGCTGCCTCTGGACGTTCTCCCATCAGCAACGTGGATGGGTG
This sequence comes from Homo sapiens, assembly GCF_000001405.40. Classification (NCBI taxonomy): domain Eukaryota; kingdom Metazoa; phylum Chordata; class Mammalia; order Primates; family Hominidae; genus Homo; species Homo sapiens. Next base: position 73,185,458 of record NC_000011.10, read on the forward strand.
GCTGAGGTGGGATCTGTGCCTTCTGCAGATGATCCCGGCCTGGTGATGGCCCTCTTTTGGGCTGAGACTCCTCACGCGGAAGATGATGGAGGTGGATGTTGTGAGTCCTCTGGTCCTCCAGCACTTCAATCCAGCCTCCCACGGCAAGCCAGTTCTCGGCAACTGTGTGCCTGGGGTTCCACTCCCAGCACCTGCTTCTGGATGGCCTGGGGGATCCACCTGGGTGCCCCTCCACTCCGGGTCCCAGGGGAGACTGACACCCACCCAGGCAACCACCTGCTTGTTACAGAGCCCTGCAGGAGGCAGCTCACCACCCACGAGGAGGGACTTAGGCAGCGGACTTGCTGAGGGGTAAGGGTCTGCCCCATGATGCCTCACAGCTCCACCTTCTGGGAGCCACCCACGTGTGGGCAGCCTCAGGGGACTCCAGCTCCAGGAGCAAGATCGGGTTGTGGATGGAGGAAGGGTAAGTGAGTCACTGGGCACTTCCGAAGGCCCAGCCTAAACGATGTCCGGCCCGGCCCAGAGGAGATCTGGTCTCCAGTGGGCATGGCCTGCAGGACCGTGAGGGCTGATGTGTCTGGCATAGCTGAGGGCTGAGTCAAGGGACAGGGTGTTTGCTTTCCTGAGAGGACTTCTCCGGAGTTGGGGCATCTCCAGCCTTGCAGCTTCTCCTGTCTCTGCCAAGGGAAAGGTGGTGGGCCAGTCTCTGAGCTCTGTTCAAATGTCCGTCCCTCCCTGGGTGCTCCCTCAGCTGCAACCCACTCCACGCTCCATGCCTTTTCACCACTTGTCCCCAGCCCTCCCCAGGATGCCTCCTTTAATCCAGTGAGCTGGCTGCTACCAGTCAGGGCACAAGTCACTCCCAAGCAGTTCAGTCCCTAGGGGAAGGAAGGGCCAGCTCACACATCTTGAGTGCCTGCTGTGTGCCAGGCAGGCCCGCGTGGCACACTTTGCGTTATTATTGCGTTTCTTTCTCACAGCAGAGCCTTGTGAGGCAAATATTATCACACTAATTTCACAAAGGAGGAAGTCAAAGCTGGCCCTGCAGTATGAAGACTCAAGCCCAGACTTGCTGGCTCCTGCCTGCATCTCCCTCCACCTGGGTCTCCTGTCTCCCTACCTGCGGAAAGCTCACACTCTGAATCATTGTGCATGGCTCTTACCCCGCCCACCCCATCCTTGCGGCTGCTCACCTCCTGCATCACCTGTGCCCACTCAACAGCACACATGCCCACAAGCTCACATGCACCAAGATGGGCGCACTGGGTGCACGGGTGCACATGCATATTCCAGTCCTTACTGCTGCTTATCAGCTGTGTGACCTTGAGCAAGTCACTTAACCTCTCTGAGCCTCGGTTTTCTCATCTCACAGGGGTTGTTATGAGAATTAAATAAGATACTGAGTGTAACATTTCTAGTACCTTCCCTGGGCATAGTGCTCAATAAAGATTATCTACTTTTTAAACTTTAGCTATTTTTATTTCATCATTATTGTATATGTGCATCTTTGTACACTTTTTACACATGTAACAAGAGACATGCAGTAGACACAGAGGCCCGGGGATTACCACACACACCTACTGCCCATGCAGGAACCCACAATAAACCAGCCAGCCACCTAGTATACTGGGTGCCCATATGCTCATGCCAGGCTCTACTGAAGATGGGAGTTGGGGTTACCTGTGGTAGGGATACCTGTGTATAGGAGAAGACGGGGCCCTGGCCTTGGGGTCCACCCAAGCTGCCCGGGAAATGAGTTTTGTGCTCAAAGTGTGATCTGCGGGCCAATCTGGGACCTTGTTAGAATCTTGAAGAATCTCATACCTGACCCCAGATCTTCTTCTGAATCATGATCTGTTTTGGTTTGTTTTTTTTTTTTTTTTTTTGAAACAGAGTCTTGCTCTGTCGCCCAGGCTGGAGTGAGTGCAGTGGCGCAATCTCAGCTCACTGCAAGTTCTGCCTCCCAGGTTCATGCCATTCTCCTGTCTCCTAGGACAATAGGCACCCACCACCACGCCTGGCTATTTTTTTTTTTTTTTAGTAGAGATGGGGTTTCACCGTGTTAGCCAGGATGGTCTTGATCTCCTGACCTCGTGATCCACCCACATCGGCTTCCCAAAGTGCTGGGATTACAGGTGTGAGCCACTGCGCCCCGCCCCGATTTTGTTTTGTTTTGTTTTTAGAGATGGGGTCTCGCTCTGTCAGCGACAGGCTCCAGTGCAGTAGTACAATCATACTCAATAGCACACTGCAGCCTTGAACTCCCAGGATCAAGCAATGCTTCTGCCTCAGCCTCCCAAGTAGCTGGGACTATAGGCACATGACGCCACATCCAGCTAATTTTTTAAAAAGTTTTTTGTAGAGATGGGGTGGGGTCTTGTTATGTTACCAGGACTGATCTCAAAGTCCTGGCCTCAAGTGATTCTCCCTCCTTGGCATCCCAAAGTGCTCGGATTATAGGCATGAGGTACCACACTCAGCCAGGATCTGCATTTTAAATAAGATTCTCAGAGCACTAAGGCAGAGCAGAGGAAAGTGGGTGGAGCTGCATGCCTGGGCAGGATGAGGCTGACTTTGGGCCTGTCCCAGGTGTCTCCAATCCACACCTCTATCAATCAGGCTAACACACCTCCTGGCTCCTCCTCTGCTCTTGGGAGTTGATGCTAAGGTGTGAGGTTATCCAGTTCAGCCTTGGAAGGACAGGCTGGCCCCCTCAATCCTGTTCTAGGAGAACAAAAATAGTGAAGTCTCTCCTTGGTTCCTCTCAGGGCTCTGAAGGGCTTGGGGCTGGGAGCCACATAGGATCCAAGAAACTAGCAGGGGGTGCCTCCTGCCCATCGATCCCCCTTCTGAACCATGTTCATCCTAGCTTGTGAATCTCCCCTCCCAGCCTCCGGGTAGGTCACTGCCAAAACTCTGGCTGACCTCTTCCATCTTGAGTGGGGTGTGGGCTCAGTCCCTTGGGGCCATGGGAGCCTGAAGCCTGGGCCAGATCCCCCCTCCCTATCCCTGTTGGGGCTAATTTTAGGGCTGCTTTGACAGCTGCCTCAGCTCAGCCTGGGTCAGTTCCCAGCCACTCACTGTTGGGGTCAGTTAGGGTCACCTAGGAGTGGGCCAGGCCAGCCCCACCTTTGGCTGCAAAAGATGAAACTAGAATCTTTGTCCCCTGTCCGCCCTCCCCACTGCCTGGAGAGTCCCACTGAGCTGACCTCCACGTCCCATGCCCTGTATGTGAAACCGCAGAGGAGCCCAGGATTTAGAACAGCCCATGGAGATCAAGACTGAGTATTGGTGCCTCCATGCCTGGAGGATGCAGACAGGTGAGGCCCCTTCTCAGCGGCCCTCTCTGATGCCAACCCAACACATATTTCTGAACTCAGTTACTGTGCAAGGCTGTCAGAGATTAGGAGCAGATGACACCTGGGATACTTTCTGTTTTTTGAGATGAGTCTCGCTTTGTCACCGAGGCTGGAGTGCAATGGCACAATTTCGGTTCACTGCAATCTCCGCCTTCCAGGTTCAAGCAATTCTCCCTGCCTCAGCCTCCCAAGTAGCTGGGATTACAGGCACCCACCATCACAACTGGCTAATTTTGTATTTTTATTAATTTTGTAATTTTGTATTTTTGGTAGAGATGGGTTTTCGCCATGTTGGCCAGGCTGGTCTGACCTCAGGTGATCTGCCCGCCTCAGCCTCCCAAAGTGCTGGGATTACAGGTGTGAGCCACCGTGCCCAGCCACACCTGGGATACTTTCTAGAGGGAGGATTTTAGCTTCTGAGAACAAAGGGATGGAGTCCTTCCTCTGTCACCAACGCTCTGGTCCTTGGTTTCCTCCCCTCGGAAAGGGTGTGGTGATACCTGCTCACAGACTAGCTGGGGGTACAGAGGAGGAGAAAAGGGCCGGAAAGCGTGCTGGGAACTCTGGAGTCTGCAGTGCCCACAGGGCCGCCACTCGGCTGGGGCCTAGGTTCTCTCCCATGAGAACCTAGAGGTTGAGCAGCTACCACAGTCTTCGCCCCAGCCTGCCCCCAGCCAGTAATGTTGCAGAAGAAAAGAGGAACAGATCTTGAAGCTGACGTGGGCGAAAGGGAAGGGAAATGCAAGCAGGGGCCACGGAGGGAAGCTATGGGTCTCCTTCCCCCACCTGCAGCCTTTGCTGCCTCTGTTACTACCTTCTGTCTTTCCAAATCCTCCCCTCATCTCCAGCTCCTGCTTCCTCCCTGACCCTAGGGGGCTAAATAAGATGGGACACTGAGCACCCTGTGGGGAGGTGAGCTGTCTGGTGGGCTTTGTTTAATTTTCCAGAGCCCCCTCTCTACATATAACCAAGGAACTTTCTAAAGACAGGGCTGGGCTTCAGTCCTCCAGGGGCAGCCCTGTGAACTGGGCTCAGAAAACCTCAGATTTGAACCCTCAACCCCATATCTGTCTGTGTTACCCTGAGCCAGGTGGGCCTCCCTCTGAATCCAGGTGCCTCATCCTCACACTGGCCCCATGAGGCCTTTGCAAGCTTCTGCCTGGTTCCTGGTTCTCATGGTGCCCCGGCCTTGTGTGTGAATGAGTGTGTGTGTGCACACTGGACTTTGCTGCACATGGTAGCCCACAATCAATATTGAATAGCCCACCTCAAATCCTTTTTGAAAGGCTGAGTACCTGAATAAATAGATAAATGTTGACTGAGTCTAAAAACACACATGCAGCCTGAGAAAAGCCTTGTTTATCCAGCCTCCCTAAATAAGGAGTCAATTCCCAGAGCGGACTCTCCAGATGATTCAGGATGGAGGAACCTAAAGATGTGGAAGAATAGAGGCCTCCTAGGTGGAGGGAACATCGTGAGCCACAGCTGAGAGCTGGAGGATACTTGGCTGCAAGTCGAACAGCCACATGAGATGAGCTGATAAGGCTGGCAGGGTCCAGAGCCTGGAGGGCCTCGAATGCCAGGCCAAGGAGCCAGACCTTATCCAGAGGGCAGTGGGAACCATGGAAGGGTTTTGAGCAGGGGAGTGACAAGGCTGGGTGTGTGGCCAGCAGGGTCCCTCTCTGGTTGCTGCATGAAGCATGGACTGAAGGCAGACAGCAGTGTCAAAGGGCCCTCTGCTTTTGAGGTTCAGGAGGAAAAGATGAAGGATGAAGTTGGGCAGTTCAGCGGAAGGTGAGAGGTGGACAGTCCCCAGGATAGCACAGAGGGGTGGCCAGGATTTAGTTAAGGATGGGAGGAGGGCAGGCAGAAAATGAGAGGAGGCTTGGTGGCTTCTGGGTTCCTGGCCCAGGTGACCGGCTGGTTGGTGATGCTCTTGCTGAGGTTGTGACAGGAAGAGCAGGTCTGGGGAAAGATAAAGAGTTCATCAGCTTTGGACATGTCAGGGGAGCAGGCGTCCCAAAGGAGGATTGATTAGAGGGCTGGAGCCAGGTAAATGTGGACAGATTTTCCCTGAATGACATTTTACTGGATGACTTTAAAGTATCCCAAGTATCCTGGGGACAGTCTTTGGCACCAACTGCCTATGGTCCCCAAGACAGATAGGACCAGGACTTGGGTCCCAGAGAAGGGTCAGCAAAGGGTCTGACTAGGGTGAAGGGGAGGGTCTAAGATCCTTGGCTCAGGAGTACCCCCAGGGTAATGCAGGAGTGGCTGGCACAGAGGTTTAGAGGTAGATAAGGGGTAGGAAAAAGCCATGGGTGGGCTGAGCTGGCAAGCCTCAGAGACCAGTCAGCCCAGAACCATCATTGTACAGACAGACAGAGCCAGGCCCGGCAAGGCCTAGGGATCTGGCAGGTCACAAGTCAAGGCAGACAGGTCATCAGCTTCTGGCTCAGTGCTGTACCCTCAGCCCGACTGGCTGGGAGGGGTCAGCTCCGTGTGGGCCTGGGATTGAGCTCCTGGGCCACGTCTAGGTGCTGTGGGCTTGTGTGGTTCGGGTGGAAGCACTGGGGCAGGCAGATGAGAGCCCCACCCTGAGCAGCACCCTAAACCCACTGTCTGTCAGTCTGCCCCAACCCTGTGCTTTTACTTTCTCAGTCCCAGGACCCAGGCTGGGCTGTAATCAGAGGAGGGAACTGGAACCTGGACCGGGGGAACACAAAGCTCTGCACACAGCCAGTCTCCTGGCAGATGCTGAGATGCTCATGGGTGGGTGGGGGACTGTGGCATCAGGGGCCATGTTCCACACAAGGTGAAATGCAGTAAGGGCAATTTCCACAAAGCTTGTTGAGCCAGGTACTGTTTTATGATCTTGAAACAGTGAACAGGATTTATGTTCTAACTAGACATTGACAATAAGCAAACTAATACATAACATAACAATGGAAAGATGAGAGGAAGAAACAGAGCCCAGAGGGATGGGCACCTTCAGTGGGGAGCGGGGAATGGCCACTTGACAGAAGACCCCTGCAGGCCTGATGGGCTGAGTGATTTTAATTAAATCTATGTCCCTACCCCCGACCCATGTACCCCCACCCCGCCTGCCACCAGGCACTCCACCTTCTCCTCAGCTCTAGCTGCACCACTGGGAGTTCCTATTTTTTTTTTTTTTTTTTTTTTTTTTGAGACAGAGTCTCACTCTGTCACCCAGGCTAAAGTGCAGTGGTGCGAACTTGGCTCACTGCAACCTCCACCTCCCGAGTTCAAGCAATTCTCCTGCCTCAGCCTCCCAAGTAGCTGGGATTACAGGCTCCCGTCACCACACCCAGATAACTTTTGTATTTTTAGTAGAGACGGGGTTTCACCATGTTGGCCAGGCTCGTCTTGAACTCCTGACCCCAAGTGATCTGCCCGCTTCTGCCTCCCAAGGTGCTGGGATTACAGGTGTGAGCCACTGCACCCAGCCGCACCATTGGGAGTTTCTGAGGGCTGCCCTTGACTGGACCATTACCAGGGCCTGAGGAGGACTGTGGGGAAATGAGCCTCTCACAAGGTCTAGTCCCTCCCACAAAGTCCTGCCCAAGAGCCACCCCAACCTGCCCACTTGGCTCCTCCAACCTGGGAGCCAGGTAAGAGCTGAGGAGCCCCAGGGCCTTGGCACTGAGTCAGATGTAGCCTGGGAGGTGGAGGTGACTCACTTGGGGGTGTCAAGATCCAGGAAACCACAGCCCAGGGTCAGGGCAGAAACCTGGAGACTCCCTGCCTTGCCTTGCCCCAGAATGATGAATAGGAGGGCCCTGGCCTTTCCTAAGAAGCCCCCAGCCAAGGGTCCTCCTGCTGTCATGAAGGCCCAAGTTCCAGTCAAGTTGTTGAGAGGTGCCCAAGGACCTGCCAGTGCCTGCTTCCTCTGGGCCTCGGCCTCCTAGTCCACTTATAGTGGGGAGCAATGGGGCTAGATAAGCTTCAGTGTTCCTAGCAGCTCTGAATTTCTGTTTCGTTGAGTATGTTGCAGGAGGCCCACAACCTCTGATGGTTCCTGGGGGCTCAGGGCAGGGGTGAATGACAGATGCTGAAAAGCGGGGGTCAAGGGAGGGTTTGCAAGGTTTAGCAAATGTCAATACAGGATATGTTGTTAAATTTGAATTTCAGATTAGCAATGAATAACTTTTTAGTATAAGCACATGTCCCAAATATCCGTTATGTTAAAGAATTTTTCACTGTTTATCAGAAATTCAAATTTGACTGGGCGTCTTGTACTTTCTCCGGCCATGCTAGGTGGGAAAGGTAATTGGAGCTGGGACTTCATCAGAGGAAGGTCTTAGACTCAGACAACTGGAGCTCTCACCACCTCCCTTGCTGCCCTCAGGGTCCCTTATCCATGAACTTCTTGATTTGTTGGAAGGTAGGGGGATGAGGGAGTGAGAACCCTGGGGTTAGGGGAAACTAAGAGCTATGTAGAGAGGCAGAGAGACCCCAAGACCCCAAGAGGCAGCACCGGAACTCTTCCTGGCCTGCACTCAGCTAACCTCGCCACCTCTCTTCCCCAGAACTCCTGCAAAGCTCAACCTCATTCCTACTGCCATACCCTTGCTTGTTCCAGCCCTGCCTCTTTCCATCCTATGCAAACTTTACCCACAGCCTCTGCCAGGAGCCCTTTCTTGGCTATCCTTTAGCGTTGTGACTTCCTCCTCTGGGTTCCCAGAGTGCTGTCAGTCACCCTCCTCCTCATGGAGCTGTTCAATCAATGGAGCACCCTCTCTGGAGGAGGCTTTGGAGCAGACTCTGGGCAGTGATTAGGACAGTGGAGCCGACAGTGATCGGGACAGGCACAGCCCCTGCTCCATGGAGCACACGGTCTGGTGGGGAGGCAGACACACAATCACAAAACAGGAGAGAATGAATCGCCCTTTCACTGGGACCAACTGGTCCATGTCACTGAGGCTTTATGCAGGCAGAGGACACGTTCTGTTGTACTCGGGCCCTACCACAGAGCAGGCTTCAGTGAATATTAGTGGCATAAGTGAGAGTGCAATGATGCAACTAAAGCTGGGGATGGTGGGGACGCTGACTAAGTCTGAGAGGTCACCATGCAAACAGCCTGAACTCGGCACCTCCGGCCGTGGCCTGGACCTGGTGAGGCTTGGCATCATGGCATGCCATTGCTCATGAGAATCTGGCCCTGCAAGAGTCTGCATTTCCAGGGGTCAGGGACTGGATCTTCCTCTCCTCTCATTCCCTCTTGCCCTGGCCAATAACCTGACACAGGAGATGAATTGATAGAGAGCTGATAGATGGGAAATACTGTGTGGCTGTCCCACTGAGGCTGGAAGGACTAGTCACACCACATTGTTCTTTCTCCTCTGCATAGAATGTTGCTTGGGGCAATTTTAGTAGGTAGTCACAATCTCTTTCCAGTATTAGAAGAGATGAGTGACTTTCTCCCTGTATGCAGGTCCCAGTGGCGTTTAGCATCTGCTTGTCCAGACCCCTTCACAGCTGTGGTCGGGGACCCCGCAATGACTGTGACAGGGCCATGCCTACCTACCCTTCACTAAGCCCTGGCTAAATGAGCCAGGCCCCCCTACAGACACCATCTCCAGTGCCCAGATTAAAGAAGAAACTGAGGCTTGGGAAGTGTAGGTGCTACAGTGGCTAAGCCAGGATTTTAACTCAGATTTGTCTAATGCTGAGGCTCAAGCTCCTTCTGTTGCACTGAGCTGCCTCTATTTTTTAAAGTAACCTCTGAGATGTTACTTATTTTTGGAACTCAGAAACTCACTCCAGCTTTATCCCACTTTGATCTTTATGACTTAGGTTGCAGATGCCATCAAAGCTGTTGCTTCTCTGTGAACTGCAGCAGACTTTGCCCGGAGCAGTAAACTGTGGACGGAGGAAGGGAAGCAGGAAGGCAGGTTTGAGACTGGTTCCCCATGGGTTCACTGGCACTATCCTGGGTCGTCCCACCCTTCCTTCAGCCTGCCGCCCTGTCCTGAGTCATGCAGTTCCCTAGCACTCCTGGGACAGCTGAGCCCTGTGCATGCATGCACGCAGCATTCCCCTGCAGCCTGCGCTCACACCACCCCCCACGCACCACCCTCCACCTGGTCCTGGACATACTTCGCTACCTCAAGGTATCCAATGGCCAAAATCCAAGGCTACCACTGGGGAAGATTCTTCACGGGTTTGCAGTGTGCCATGTCTCCCCTGCTAGACTGTGAATGCCTCTAGGGCAGGGACCTTTCACCCTCTCATTTGTGTGCCCAATAAGCACCTACTATGTGCCAGGCACAGTGCTGGATGCCAGGGTATAATTGGAGCTGATGTGCAGTCAGTACACAATGGCACAGCTGTAGCAGCCCTGAGACCTCCAAGTGCTCCAGCACCCTGGCTGCCCCTTGGTGTACTGCCTGGGCCTCCTCACAGTCCTTCAATGAAAGGGCTAATGTTTGGCACACTGGAGGGCTCCAGGAGCTCATGTCACATTGGCTCATGTCTTAGACCTCCTGGACCTCCCTGGCCTCTGTAGGTATGTGCCTGATTCCGGGCAGGTTTGCACTGGGATAGACATGGGGCGGTTTCAGTGATGAGTCACCTGATGACAGCCCTGTAAAATATAAAGGAGTGCTGGGTACAGGCATGCACAAGACCTTGAGTGCTCCTCTGTGACAGTCTCCTCACCAGTAACTGTCTGAGTCAAGTCTGGCCATAGGCAAATCCATTGTCATCCTTTCCTCTCCCCCTGCTGGCTTCAAGATCCAGCCAGTTCTCTCTTTCTTTGCTGGCTTCTGTATCACTAATGGACTTGTGGCTTTGGGAGCAGGTGCCATTTCCCTGCAGGCTGTGGACTTCTTATCAGCTCCATCCAAGAGTTTTGACAGGAGCCTGAAGCCCTGTTTAAAGTCCCTGTCTTCTAGTGGAGTTTCACTGATTTTCTGGTTATGCCAGCTTCTGGTTCCAAGGTCATTGCCAGCCCTTAGTTCATGGGCAGAGCTGAGACCTTTGGCATGCTTGGTGCCCAGCTCAGGTTCCCAGGTCTGTCCCCCTACCCCAGGGGCTCCCACACACCCTGGGATGGTCTTCTAGGGCCTGTCCATGTGCAGTGTTCACAGTGGCAAAAACACAGCAACAACAGCACATGCAAACGCTCCCAGCAAAAGGTAGGAGGGTTTTACACTCCTGGACCAGGGCTGGAACAGCGTTGTTTATTAAGAACACGGACTTTAGATAATTCTATTGAGATTATACATGGAAAGCCCTTGTTTCAGTATCTGACACATACTAGGTGTTCAATAAATTACAACTATCATTAAAGGCACTTTGAGGAGAGCAGAATTTGCTATGATGGTTGATGATGTGGTAAAGGTAGTGATTCTTGATAGTGATTATGGAGTCTCACCACTGACAATGGCAACGATAGTTTTCCTTACCCAGGGAATGATATATCTCTCTGGGGATATTTACAGTAGGTTTGTAGGTCACATTTGATAAAGAGAGTCAAGAAGAGAAGGAAATATGTCCTATGGGTAATTTCTAGTTTGATTATGGAGACAAGATTCAGAGACACAAAAGAATTATAAGAGTTCTCCCACTTGACCTGGGAGCCAAGGGCTCGGGAAAGGGAGGCTCAAGGTTCCTAGCACAAGGTAATCATTCAAATATGATTCCCCAAAATGGCATTGACAGCCTTCGTCCTCTTTCCACTGTTGGTCACTGTTAGAACAGAAGGGAGGCTGGTGAGCCAGTGAACCCCTGCTTCTTTCTCCTGCTTACTTTCTCCCCGCAACTTGCCAGAGGTTCACAAACCTTCAGGTAAATGACATGACAGGGAATGTCACTGACAGAGGGTTAGGGGTGAAAATGTCAGGATGGGCAAGTATCAGACCCTCCTGGCCTTCCCCCAGCTGCTCCAGAGGAGTTTTGAGCTGAATTGCACCCCTAGCCACAGCGGAGCCCACTACTGTGCTCACAGAACCACTGTCGGAGAGTTTCGAGGACTCAGAGAGAACACAAACACCAGGAGACTGGAAATTCAACTTTCTTTCTTTTTTTTTTTTTTTTGAGGCAGAGTCTCACTCTGTTGCCCAGGCTGCAATGCAGTGGCACAATCTCGGCTCACTGCAACCTCCACCTCCCGGGTTCAAGCAATTCTCCTGCCTCAGCCTCCCAAGTAGCTGGGATTACAGGTGTGCACCACCACGCCCAGCTAATTTTTGTATTTTTAGTAGAGACAGGGTTTCACGATGTTGGCCAGGCTGGTCTCGAACTCCTGATCTCAAGTGATCTGCCTACCTCGGCCTCCCAAAGTGTTGGGATTGCAGGCGTGAGACACTGCACTGGCCTGGAGATTCAACTTTCAAAAGGTAAACGATGGAAACCACAGAGGAGAGACTTTTAGACCCTCTGCCAGTGACATTCCGGATTACCAATACCTTCAATAGTCCAGAACCTTATTACCTGTATTTTACAGTTGTGGAAACTGAGGGTCATAGGGTTTAAATAAACGAATAAGTGATAGAATCAGGATTTGAATGTAGGGTTGTCTATTCCAAATCATTCCTCTTAACCACTATCCTGCCAGTCGAAGCCATGGTGATGCCCTTCTGAGCAAATTGATGGTGTCTGTGATGCCCTTATGTACCAACCTTCTCTACTCAGCAGAGGAGGAAATGGCCCCTGGCTAGTGGGCGGGAGCATCAGTGGATATTATGCTGGATTAAGATGTCATTCTACTGTTGACTTAGAACATAACCATGGGGCCATGAGGCCGCACCCCTGTGGGAAGGCAGTGAAATGGCTCATCTAAAGTTCTTCCTGGTGTAAGTGCCCTGGGGAAGATGTGTGATCCAGGGCCTGGGAAGCAGAACTGCTGTAGGATCTTATGGCTACAGAAGAGAGACCCGGACTCTTTTTTTTTTTTTGAGACAGAGTCTCACTCTGTCACCCAGGCTGGAGTGCAGTGGCAATTCTTGGCTCAATGCAACCTCTGCCTCCCAAGTTCCAGTGATTCTCCTGCCTCAGCCTCCTGGGTAGCTGGGATTATAGGCACACACCACCACATGCGGCTAATTTTTGTATTTTTAGTAGAGATGCGGTTTCATCATGTTGGCCAGGCTGGTGTCGAACTCCTGAATTCAGGTGATCCACTATCTCGGCCTCCCAAAGTGCTGGGATTACAGGCACGAGCCACCGTGCCCGGCCAGACCCTGACTCTCATAGTCTGCACTTTTGAAGATATTGAAGATATTGGTGTCTATAAGGATGTCCCCAAGTCAGGGGCCTATCAAAAAGAGGCAGGTCAGGAACTAGAAGGGGAGGGTGGAGATCAGGCAAGGCCCTATGTTTCACTCTGGAGTCAGTTAGCACCTGGAGAACAAATGATACCTTACACAACAAACTGTTTAGTAGGTCACACTCCACCCCATTCATGTCCCCATTGTCACCTCTATCTGAACAGCCTGTTACAGCCATTTTAAGGAAGCAATTTTTAAGGATAATAATTTAAAATAAAATTTTAGAACAAGTAGACAAACTTCTTAAAAGAATAGTTTTTGATGCACAGAAAAGTTGCAAAGATGGTACAGAGGATTCTCGTATATCCTCACCCACTTTCCTCTACTGCTAACGTCTTATATTGGCCACGGCAAATGAACCAGTATTAGTAAATTATTATTAACTAAAATCCATACTTTATTTACATTTCCTTCGTTTTTACCTAATGTCCTTTTTCTGTCCCAGGATTCCATCCAAGGTGCCACGTTACACTTAAACATCATGCCTCCATCCTTTCTTCCTGGTCTGAGAGAGTTGCTCAGACTCTCCTGGTTTTTGATGATCTTGAGAGTTTTGAGTATTCATCATCAGGTATTGTGCAGACTGTTAATTTGGGCTTTGCTGTTGGTTTTCTCATGATTAGACTTGGTTGAGTTCTTGCGAGGAAGGTCACAGAGGTGAAGTGCCACTCTCATTGCATTATATCAAGGGAACATTCCATCAGCATGACTCATCACCATTGATAACAGGCTTGATCACATGACAGAGGGAGTGATTGTCAGACTTCTCCATGGCGAAGTTACTCAAAGGATGCATTCCAATCACTGAGATGGAAGGGGCAGTACCCCCTGGCAGTCTGTATGGTGGGAACCCATGAGAGAACCCACCCGATAGGTAAATTTCAGAGGGCAATGTTCAAGTTCTGGGTTCAACTGCCCCATCTCAGCATCTAAGGCTATGGGCTCTACCAGCACTGGCAGGAACCAGGTCTGATTCATTTCCATGTTCTCAATACCCAGCACAAGGTTGTCGGTTGAATGTATAACTGAATTTATTTTCTTTTGCAAATCATTTTTTATTGAGGTGAAATTCACATAATATACAATTAACCATTTTAAAGTGTATGTCTCAGTGGCATTTAGTACATTCACAGTATTGTGCAACCACCACCTCTATCTAGTTCATATATATATATATATATATTTTTTTTTTTTTTTTTTTTTTTCTGAGACAGGGTCTGTCTCTGTTACCCAAGCTGGAGTGCAGTGGTGTGGTCTCAGCTCACTGCAACCTCCACCTCCCAGGTTCAGGTGATCCTCCCACCTCAGCCTCCTGACTAGCTGGGACTACAGGCATGTGCCACCATGCCCAGCTAGTTTTTGTATTTTTTTGTATTATTTTTCACCACGTTGCCCAGGCTGGTCTTGAACTCCTGGGCTCAAGCAATCTGCCAGCCTCAGCCTCACAAAGTGCTGGGATTACAGCTGTGAGCCACTATGCCCATCTAAAACATTTTCATCACCCCAAAAGAAAACCTGCTTAAGCAGTCACTCTGTTTCCCCTACCCCTCAGCCCCTGGCGACCGCCAATCTGCTTTTTGCCTCTATGGATTTATTTATTCTGAATATTTCACATAGATGGAATCATATAATATGTGACTTTTGTATCTGGCTTCTTTCACTCAGCACAATATTTTTTTGAGGTTTGTCCATTTTGTAGCAGTATCAGAACTTTACTGCTCTTACGGTTGAGTAATATTTCATTGTATGAATGCCACATTGTTTATCCATTTATCTGTTGATGGACATTTAGGTTATTTCTACCTTTTGGCTATTGTGAATAGTGCTACTATGAACAATTCATGTATAGGTATCTGATTTCAATTATTTTGGGTGAATATTAATGCATGATTGGATTTTTAAAGAAGGTGGTATTTCCTCACAGGCTTTTAGGAAGCTGATCAAACTTATGGCTCTGGTTATGGGCCAGGGCCTGTGAGAAGGGAGTTTCTGTCTTGGGCCAGGTTGAGGTAATTATTTCATCAACAGGTTGGATAAAGACACGGCGCACATGTATCAGGTTCACCCATGACAAAAAGTCAGGAAGGGTGCTAAAAATCAACGCAAATATTTAAAATGGGAAATATATCAAGGCTTGCGTGTGATTTCTTCAAAAGATTGCCCAAACACAGGCTATGGGAGAACTGGTTTACCAACAATGATACAAAAAGGAGCTCAGAGTCTGAGCTGACCACAAGCCCTACATGAGCTAAGGCAGAGGCTGCCAAACAAACAAATGCAAATGCAGGCTGCATTAACAGAGGCATAGCAACCAGAACAGAGAAGGGACTGCCCTACCCTGCTCCACACTCAGCCAGACCCAGCTGGAGCTCTAGGACCTTTCTGACACTTTGGGGTATGTGCTGAGTCAAGAGAGGGTGACCAGGCTATAGAGGCCTGAAAACCAGGCCATGTGACAAGTAGGCAGAGGACTGAGTGGGAGCAGGGTGGCTGGAGCAGAATCTTTGCTGCCTAGGGTCTGCAGGGCTATCCCCCACAGAGGAAGGCATTTTTCCTAGCAGGGAGTGAGATCTCTTCACTTTAGGGTTGGGTGTGCAAAGCGAGCAGGGGAAAGATTCAGAACCTCAGGTGAGTCCAGATGATCCTGGGAGTCAGGTGGCTGCCCTGGCATTCCCATACTGAGAAACATATTTAGCATGAGGGGAAGAAAGGGGCAGAAAGCATGAATCTCCTTGGTGTTGGTTTTATCTCCTCTTTTCTCCTCTCTCCTCCTTTTCCTCCAGGCTGGCACCCAGCACTGTGCTATCCTAGGAAGAAACAGCTAAATCCCAATGAAAGGTAAGGATTTTTGTCAGAAAGATTAGCTTAAATCAACAGGGTATAATTTAACTGGCTGGCTTGTAAAAACCCAGGAAAAGGTTTTGTGCCTTTATGGTGAATGAAAAAAAGGCAGGATACACAATTGTATTATACATTATGACCAGGTTAAAATGCCTAGAAAACCTTAGTATCAAACACAACAAAATCTTAATGTCAGTTACCTGTGTGAATCAGGACTGTCAGGATTTTTTATTTTCTGTTTTATATTTTTCTGTATTTTTCAAGTACTCTGCAATGAAGAGGTGTTATTTCTAGCGTCAGAAAAACAAAATCCTTTGTTTAGTACTTGAGAACTAATTGAACTGTGGGCCCCACCCCCTTCCCTACTCTGTGTTTCTTCTGGGCCCCTGGATCTCCCTGCCAGGGCCTTGTTCCCAGGAGGTGGTTGAGAAATTTCGGTAAACGCATGACGTCTTGCTTGAAGAGTCAGACAAATAAGTGATTCTAGGGCAGGAAGGAGAGCCCTAGCCCACTCTCAGGTGGAAAAGACCTGAAGGGTGGGGAGCCCACAAGATGGGCACAGCCAATGTGATCGGGCAATCCCCAGGGTGGAGTGGGCCGCTCCCCTCCTGGCGGAGGCTGCATTTGGCCATCAGCCTGGATGAACCCAGCCTGGGCAGGGAACATGGGCTGCCTAGAAGGGGACCTGGGGAGCCCATGTGGTGTGTGTGGCTGTGTGGCAACAGCGTCCGACACTGCCATGGGAAAGCATGGATTCCCTGAACACCTCCCTAGTATGCATTGGGCTGACCCTTTCTTTACACACAGTCATTTAATCCACACACTAACCTACCAGGCAGGCGTCATTATCCCATTTTACCAGCAAGAAAATCCACTTCAGAAGGATTAAGGGTCACGCAGCTAGTATCTAGCAGAGGTGCTCTTAACCACCATGGCATACTGCCTTGAAACAGTCTTCAGCTTCCTGCTTGGCAGAATGGCCTGTCTTTTGCCTTTCAGTGTCTCTTGCCTTTCAGTGGCCCCACTGATGGTTTAGTGATTGCAAGTGATGACACTTTAACTGTGGCCATGGAGAAAGGAGCTACTGCTCACTTGTTCATCTCTCAGGGATGGCAGGGGCCTCATCCCCACCCCTTCCCCTGGCTCTCCTGGACTGTTTTGGGCTGTGGGGGGAAGATAAGGCTCTGTGGCCTTGGAGATAGGGAGGAGACCCTTGGGGAAGTGACTGGTCTCAGGTCTCAGGTCTCGGGAAGAAGGCTGGTCTCAGGTCCCAGGTTAAGGTGAGTTCCCATTGCTGAGGGCATTATAATCAGGGCCTGAACAGGTCAGTTTGGATTCTTCAGAAGGGAGGAGCAAAGTGATTTTTTGAGCCAGCCTTTAGATCACAGCCTAGGCTGACAAGTGTATGGCTGCACAAGCCGAGAAGAGCCCCTTCTCTTCTTAGAAGCTCGGAGAAGTTGCAATCAGATAGGACTTGAATGTGAGACCGCCTGAGACTACCAGGTCCATCTGGGTTTTGCTGCCCCCATTCACCCCGAAACAGCTGTTTTCTCCTAGAGTGGGGGCTCAACCTCATGGAGACACCATGGGAACAAATGGCTCTGACATCTAGAGTCCAATGTACAGCTGTGTCCTCACATGAGACCAGAGGAACAAGGGTCAGTGGAGACTCAGGGTTTCGGAACCTGCTCTCAAGAAACGGTGTGGCGCTGCCTGTCACTTGAGTGTTTTATGGGTACAGACACAAGGAAAGGCAAAACTAGAAATATATATACACTCACAAATAAAAGATTTCTATTTTTAAGTATATAAGAAATATGTTATATATATAATTATATGCATCAATAGATAAATAAATAAAAATTAAAATCTAGATATTTATACATATAAATTTGTAGCACCGTCTGCCAATCTGGTGGCATTTCCCCATATATGTGAGAAGAAAAAGAAATGTACGTATGTGACCAGGCGCAGTGACTCACGCCTGTGATCCCAGCACTTTGGGAGGCCAAGGAGGGCGAATCATGAGGTTAGGAGTTCGAGACCAGCCTGACCAACATGGTGAAACCCGTCTCTACTAAAAATACAAAAATTAGCCAGGCGTGGTGGTGCGTGCCTATAATCCCAGCTACTCAGGAGGCTGAGGCAGGAAAATCACTTGAACCTGGGAGGTGGAGGTTGCAGTGAGCTGAGATCGTGCCACTGCACTCCAGTCTGGGTGACAGAGCAAGACTCCCATCTCAAGAAAAATAATAATAAAACATAAATAAAGAAATGTATATATGTATACACACACACATACACATAAAATATCCATTTATGTATACTTATACATTTCGCTATTATATATGTATATATATAACTATATAAAGTAATATATACTAATATAAACATCTATGGATAAAATAAACACAAGCTAAACATACACACACATACACACACACACACGCAAATGCACCTGCATTTATACCAGGGGCCATTAGGCCCTTTTGCAACCTACTAGCAGCGACAGGAGCCAAAGAAGCCACAGAAGTCTTTCCCTGCCAGTTCCATGTAATCCCATGCTGATGGCAAACACCTGGCCAGCGACTTTAGGGGCCAAGGGAAAACTTCCCCTTTGCCCTCTAAATATTTGCTGAAACATCAACTGACCAAAGGCAGATGAATAGGAGAAAAGGCAGACACATTCATTAATGTGCATGAGGGAGAACTATCGAGTGGCGATTCCAAGCCCCCGATGGGGTACAGAAGCTCATATATCCTTTTCATAGGGGAGGGAGAAGATAGGAATGCAGACAATTTTTTGAGGGGTGGTAAATAATTATTAAGGAGAATGAATGGACCAGAAAGACAGAAAAAAAAGGGCAGGTGGACAACAAGACCACAGAGGGCCTTTCTATCCTTTAGATTCAAAGATTCTCCCATTTCAGGACACTCAGATATGGACAGCGGACAGGGGTAGAGGCGGGGCAGTGGGTTGGTGCCTTCCCCACCCTGGGTCAGAGGCTGTCAGAGCCTAGGCCCACCCACTCATGGTGTAACCATGGGTATCCTGGCCACATGCCAACGACATGGTGTTTATGTGGCTCCCGATGAACCTTCCTTCTCCTGAGGGTGGGGGAGCCTGGCCCCTGGGCTTAGGGTACACCTCTCTCTGAACTAAAGAAACATTTCCTGGCAGGGCACAGAGGCTCATGCCTGTAATTTCAGGACTTAGGGATGCTGAGGGGGGGCAGATTGCTTGAACCCAGGAATCTGAGACTAGCCTGGCAAGATGGCAAAAACCCATCTCTACAAAAAAATAAATAGAAAAATTAGCTGGGCATGGTGGGGCACACCTGTAGTCCCAGCTACATGGGAGGCTGGGGTGGGAGGATCACTTGAGGCCAGGAGGTTAAGGCTTCAGTGAGGCATTATCACACCACTGTACTCCAGCTTGGATGACAGAGAGAGATCCTGTCTCAAAACAAACAAACAAAAAAAGTAAAATGAGAAAGAAGAGAAATTTTATATCATGTGCTGGGGGGAAGGGGTTGTCCAAGCTGGGCACTGGGCACACAGAAGATAATTATCAATTTCTGCTTTTGGATAGAGGCAAACAGACCCAGGCCCAGCCCAGGAGGCTTGGTGCTGAGGCAGGGGGACACTTCAAGAATGCAGGAGCCAGAGGAAGGGTCCCAACTCTAGGAACACATGCCCAGGGAATTTGGAGGGCTAATTCTTCCTTCCCTGCCAGTTCCAGGAAGGTCTCCAATAGCCTTTGGGGCCCACACTGGTGGCCTCAGAACAGCTAGGGGTATGCTGAGTCTGCCCGCTATCCAGGCCCCAGATACAGAGTCATGGGCAGCCCGGCTTGTCCTGCTGGACATCAGGAGCGTCACGGCTGCCTCATATGGCCCGTTGGGTAACTGGGAAGAGGCTGACAGTTTGTGGTTGTTGAGTAACCACTGGGCTTCCTGAAACTTCTAGTTTCTTTCAGGACCACTCCCCATCTTCCTCTTTCAGGGCCGGGCTGAGGGCTGGGGAGTATTCGCATGCCCACATTCATTTATCCATTCATTCAACAGTCTCTGCTCACCACCTCCCCTGCTCCTGCCCTGGCCTGGGCTTGGGGGGACCCAGAGAGACGTCCATAGGGTTCTGCCCTCCTGGATTCTCTGGCTCAGACGATGGCCCCATCATATACTCCTGCAGCCAAGGCAGAAATCCAGGCATCAGCCCGGACTCTTCCCTCACGCCCCCTCGTGTGCCCCCTTCTGTTTTCCTGCAGTGCCCTGATGTCCTCTGTTGCATTGTTTATCATCTTTTATTGTAAAGGCTCCAATTGTCCATTTCCCCATCTAGATGCAATGAAGGCAGAGGCTGTGTCTATCTTGTTCCCTGCTGTATTCTGGGCACCTGGCACAGTGCCTGGCACTTAACAGGTGCTAATTAAACACTGTTGATTGAATTACTTAGTCCCTTTGATTCCATTTGCTTGATACTCATTGAATCCATACCCTCCTGTCTCCCCCAGCCGCAGTCTTTGCTCAGATAATTCCACCTGGGCACTGGAGCAGTTTTCTGACTGGGCTGCTTATCTTACCTCCACCATTCAGTCTATTTTCCACATTATAGCTGGAGTGGTCATTCTAAAGTGCCCATCTATCCTACTCTGAATCCTTCCCTGGCTTCCCATTACTTACAGGAACAAGGACACTTTCCTGGGATGATAAAAAAAGGACAGCAGATATGACTGATGAGACTAATCTCCATATCCTGTGAAAATGCTCAAGAAGATATGCAGAAATCCAAAAGCTTGCAGTGATGCTTTAGAAACTAAAGATAAGAGAAGATCACAGGGTAAAGTGCAAGGGAGAAATTGCGCTAACCAGATGGTAGATGGGGCCAGATTGAGAAACACATTCTTAGACAACACACCACCTGCTACTCCCTTTGGAACAGAACAGCATGTGTCATCTGTGCCGTTAACTGACCATGTCTTATCCCCCACCTTTCAAGGCCTTTAAGGACAAAGACCATATCTAATTTATCTTGGTATCTCTGGCACCCGGCACAGGACTTGACACATAGTAGGCACTCAATACATATTTATTGAATGAATCAGAGGATTAAATGAATTAATGAATGAAGAACCGAAGGTTCCAAAGTAGATAAGAGAGACTAATCCCCACTGCCTACACCAGTCTCAGAGACTCAGGGGCAGCAGTGACCAGATGGATGTTTGGTCATGGCTTAACAACACAGAAATTATCTTCCAAGCCGGTCAGAATGATTGAGGGAATGGATTCTGGGATCAGATCATGTAGGTAGTTATGGTTCCACCAGATTTTAGCTGTGTGAGCTTGGACAAGTTATATAACCTCTCTGTGCCTCACCTTGGTCATCTGTAAAATGGAAACAGTAAAAGTACTATTTACAGGAATGTTGTACTGTTTACAGTACTGTTTACAGAAATGTTGTGAGAACTAAATTAATGTGTGTGCATAAATTTAGCACATATGTATTTAGTGTATATATATATACACAAATGCACACACATAATACATGAATTTACATACACAGAGTGCTGTTCAAGTGCCATGATATGATGATGAAAATTCCCCTAATCGACCCCGGTCAGCTTCTTTTTCTGTGTCTACACTGGCTGTCCAATGGTGGAACTGAGACTTCCACAATTATTGAGCTTTACTGCATAAGGTTGAAAGGATCAGGGGGCAGTCCTTAGCCTGGCTTTATTTCCGCCTGATCAAGAGAGAGTGAACAAAAACAATCAATATGGAATCTGTGAGAAGATCTCACAGCACCGGCAGGAAGAAAATTGTCCCGAAGGTTCAGATGAAGAGTTTATTATCTCAGAAATGATTTTCTGTAAGAAAGAATAAAACTCTAAAAGTCATCTGTTTGGTATTCTCAAAACAAACAAACAATCCAGGAAGCTTTGATTTAGTGGTTATTTGCTGAGTACCTCCCAAGTGGGCAAAAGATATGAATAGGCAGTTCATCTAAATGAAGATGCAAATGGCTTTCAAATATATGAAAAGATGGTTGGTCTCACTCATAAGAGAAATGCAAACCACAACTACAGTGAGCTATGATTTCTCACCTATCAGACTGGCAAAAATCCAAGAGTTCCATATGAAAGGTTATGAGGCCATAGGGATTTTACTTTGAGGAATTCGCCCCTCCTTCATTTTCAGCCCTGTTGTTTAGCCGAGATTTCCTCCACTCCAGCTCTGGGGTTGCCCTGCCTGGCTTAAGCTTGCTAATTTCTCATCATCCAGAGATCATTAAAAATTATTAGGCTGGGCACGGTGGCTCATGCCTGTAATCCCAGCACTTTGGGAAGCTGAGGTGGGCAGATCACCTGAGGTCAGAAGTTCGAGACTAGCCTGGCCAATATGGAGAAACGCCGTCTCTACTAAAAATACAAAAACTAGCCGGGCGTGGTGGTGTGTGCCTGTAATCCCAGCTGCTCGGTGGGCTGAGGCAGGACAATCACTTGAACCCAGGAGGTGGAGGTTGCAGTGACCCGAGATTGCGCCACTGCACTCCAGCCTGGGCAACAGAGCAAGACTCCGTCTCAAAAAAAAAAAAATTATTGGGCGACCTTGGGCAAACTACTTAAACATGCTGAGCTTTAGTTTCCTCATCTGTACAATGCAGACAAAAGTAGAGATCCATTAAACACAGCCAGTACAGTGTAAAAAACAGCACCTTCTACTGACTTTGGTAATTTGATAAATATACATTTAAGTATATGTGGTTGACTAATCTAAAGATTTAAAAAGGCCAGGTGCAGTGGCTCACGTCTGTAGTCCCAGGACCTTAGGAGGCTGAGGCAGGTGGATAACTTGAGGCCAGGAGTTCGAGACCAGCCTGGCTAACATGGTGAAATCCCATCTCTACTAAAAATACAAAAATCAGCTGTGTGTGGCAGCGTGTGCTGGTAATCCCAGCTACTCGGGTGGCTGAGGCATGAGAATTACTTGAACCTGGGAGGTGGAGGCTGTAGTGAGCTGAGATCCCACCATTGCACTCCAGCCTGGGTGACAGAGCGAGATCCTGTCTCAAAAGAAAAAAAGGTTTAAAGAATTACAAACTTGATCTTCACCTTCAAAATCATTATAGAAGCTAAAAGCAAGAAAAGCCTAAAAAGTATAGCAAAGAACAAAAAATAAAGCAATAAGGAAGCACAAAAATGAAGCAAAATGAGGCCACATTATTATGAAATATATATAAACAAATTAAGCTAAGTTATTGAAGGCAAATATTTTTATATTCTCATGTTTAAAAACAAAAGTCAACTACATAATATGCTGCTTACAAGAAATACTTAAAATAATACAGAATATCCAAATACATGTATTAAAGATAAACGTGAAAAAAGAGAAAAACAAGTATTAAAAGAATATATGGGGAAGAAATGTTGGAGTAGAAAAACCTTTCTAATTATGACTCAAACTCCAGAAGCCATAAAAGAAGAGATTGGCCAGGTGCCATGGCTCACATCTGTAATCCCAGCACTTTGGGAGGCTGAGGTAGGAGGATCACTTGAGTACAGGAGTTTGAGACCAGCTTGGGCAACATAGTGAGACCTTGTCTCTACAAAAAACAAAACAAAATTAGCTAGGTGTGGTGGTGCACGCCTGTAGTCCCAGGTACTTATGAGGCTGAGGAGAGAGGATTGCTTGAGCCTGGGAGGTCAAGGCTGCAGTGAGCTGAGAAAATGCCACTGCACTCCAGCCTGGGGGACAAAATGAGACCCTGAATAAAAAAAAAATAAAAATAAAAATAAAAGATTGATAAATTAAATCACAGAAAAATTAAAACTTCTATGTTAAAAAAAAGTTACAAACCTAAGTGCTATGATTTGAACATGTCCTCCAAATTTCATGTGTTAGTGACTTAATCCCTAAATTCATTGTTGATTGGAAGTGGGGCCTTCAGGAGGCACTTAGGATTAGACAAAGTCATCAAGGTGGGGCCCACATGATGGGACTGGTAGCTTTATAAGGAGAGGAAGAGAAACCTAAGCTAGCATGCTTGCTCCGTATTGCCATGCGATACCTCTCACCATGTCATGCTACAGCAGGAAGGCCCTCACTAGATGCCTGAACCATGCTCTTGAACTTCCCAGCCTCCAGAATCATGAGCTAAATAAATCTCTATTCTTTATTAATTACCCTGTCTATGGTATTCAGTCATAGCAACAGAAAATGGACTAAGACACTAAGTAAAACCTAAAGACAAATGACAAACTAGGAAAAAATATTTTCAATTCAGGTCACAGACAGAGGGATGAATAATCTTCCTAAAATACAATAAGCTAATGCAAATCAGTAAGACCAACAACTTAATAGAAAAATGGCTAAAGGATATACAGTCATGCACCGCATAGTGATGTTTTGATCAATGATGAACTGCATATACAACAGTGGTCCCATAGGATTATAATACTGTGTTTTTACTGTACCTTTTCTATGTGTAGATATGTCTAGATATACGAATACTTACCATTGTATTACAATTGCCTCTAGTATTCAGTACAGGTACAAGTTTGTGGCCTAGGAGCAATAGGCTATACCATATAGCCTAGGTGTGTAGTAGGCTATACCATCTGGGTTTGTGTTCACGTTCACACAATGATGAAATCGCAAAGTGACACGTTTCTTAGAAAGCATCCCAGTCTTTAAGCAACTCATGACTGTAATGGAAAAGGAAATGGAAATGGATCATAAATTATACTTTTGTTATGAAGATATGCACTCAAAACAAAAAAAAAAACCTGACAAATTAAAACTACACTGAGACATGACTTTTCACCTATCAGACTGGCAAAAATCCAAAAGTTTGATATCACAGTGTTGATGAGGCTATGGAGATACAGGCACTCCCATACACTGCTGGTGGAAGGGTAAATGAATACAATCTCGGTGGCTGACAATTTGACAACAGTTATCACATCTTCAAATGCACAATCCTTTTGATCGAGTAATAAGTTTCTGTGAAATTTTCCTACATATATTTACACCCAAGCAAAAAAATATGTACAAGGCTATTCATTGCAGCATTGTTTGTACTAGCAAAAAATTGGCAACAACCCAAATGTCCACCAACAGAGGACTGGTTAAATACATTATGGTATGACTATACAATGGGATACTATGCGGCCCTTATAAAGAATGAAGAAGCTTCCAATGTACTGACTTGGAAAGATCTCCAAGATACACTGTTAAGTGATAACATGCAAGGGTCAGTGTGTATCTTTATGATACTCTTTTGTGTTTTTTCAAAAAGGAAAATGAGGGAAGCTGAGGCAGATGGATCACTTGAGGTCAGGAGTTTGAAACCAGCCTGGCCAACATGGTGAAACCCTGTCTCTACTGAAAAAAATATATACAAAAAATTAGCCAGGCATGGTGGTGCAAGCCTGTAGTCCCAGCTACTTGAGAGGCTGAGGCACAAGAATCGCTTGAACCTGGAGGGTGGAGGCTGCAGGGAGCCAAGATCACGCCACTGCACTCCAGCCTGGGTGAGAGAGCGAGACTCCATGTTAAAAAAAATTAAAAATAAATAAAAATTAAAAAGGAAAATAAGTGGAAATGTTTGTATTCACACAAAGGAACTCAAGGATACGCAATAAACTAACAAAAACACTTTCCAGGTTAAGAGTGAAGGGAGCAGTGGAAATCAGGCAACTGAATGATGGGGGATGGAGGGAGACATTTCTCTGAATATCTTTTTTTCCTATACTATAACATTTTTGAACCATATATTACTCATTCCAAATTTTAAATAGAAAAGTTAAATGACACAACAAGTTTACATTTGGAAGCACAGACAAAGCTATGCTGGCTAAATGCAAATGAAATAAAGCAGGGGATGGTAGTAGTGATGTAAGAAATATTTTAAAATATGGCTAAAAGCATTAGATGGGACAAAAAGGGGACACTTTTATCTATAAAAATATGTAAGCCATAGTGAGGATGTACTTTTATATATTGAATAACAGAGGATCAAAATAGATGAAATAGCAATAGAAGGAGAGGTTGATATAAACAAAAAAGTAGTGGGAGACACATCATTTTCAGCCTGCTGGGTTATATAAGTGAAAAAGAAATACTGAGGCTGGACGCAGTGACTCATGCCTATAATCCCAGCACTTTAGGAGGCTGAGGCAAGCAGATTGCTTAAGCCTAGGAGTTCAAGACCAGCCTGGGCAATATGGTGAAACCCCATCTCTACTAAAAATATAAAAAATCAGCTGAGTGTGGTGGCACCAGCCTGTAGTCCCAGCTGGGAGGCTGAGCTGGGAGGATCACCTGAGCCTGGGAAGCCGAGGTTGCAATGAGCTGGGCTGGGCAACAGAGCAAGACCCTGTCTCAAAAAAGAGGAGAGAAAGAAAGAAAAAGAAAGAAAGAAAGAAAAAGAAAGAAAGAAAGGAAGGAAGGAAGGAAGGAAGGAAGAAAAAGAAAGAAAGGAAGAAAGGAAGAAAAGAAAGAAGGAAGGAAGGCAGGCAGGCAGAAAGAAAGAAAGAGAGAAGAAAACAAAAGAAAAGAAAAAAAGGAAGGAAGGAAGGAAACGAAAGAATGAAAGAAAGGAAGGAAGGAAGGGAGGAAGAAGAAATAAAGAGAAAATTATTTTTCAATATTATATATGTGTGTTACTTACGTATATAGTACAACTAGGCAAATAAAATATCAAGAGGTGAATCTATAAAAAGAAAACACACATCTCCCTTAAAAATATCCATGGAATGCATAAAAAGTAAATTATAAAAAATAAAATATTCACCAACTACAGACTTTACCCTTTCTTTACAGACTTTAATTTAACCTTTCTTCCTCCACATACCTGCAACAAAACTAGAAACTCATAACATGTTTAAGCAATAAACAGAACTCCAAAACCTAAATATTCCCCTAAAAAGACTTTTGGTTGTGTCAAAGAGTAATTACAAATTCAATTACTACTATATTATAGTATTATAATATATAATATTTTATATATATTATATATATTATTGTTATAATAATTTATAACAATTATAACTATTGTTATAAAACAATGATAAAGAAAGCTTTACATATCAAAATGTATGTAACATAGACGAAGCTGAATTCAGAGGGAAATGATAGCCTTAAAAATGCTTACATTATTGAAAAAGAATGACAACAAAATAGGTATTCACATTTATTTATTTATTTATTTATTTATTTTGAGACAGAGTCTTGCTCTGTCACTCAGGCTGGAGTACAGCGGCATGATCTTGGCTCACTGCAACCTCCAACTCCTGGGTTCAAGTGATTTTCACGCCTCAGCCTCCCGAGTAGCTGGAATTACAAGCGTGTGCCACCATGACCGGCTAATTTTTGTATTTTTAGTAGGGACGGGGTTTCATCATGTTGGCCAGGCCAGTCAAACTCCTGGCCTCAAGTGATCCACCCACCTCGGCCTCCCAAAGTGCTAGGATTACAGGCATGAGCCACCGCACCCAGCCTAAGTATTCACTTTAATAAGCTTGTAGAAAAAGAACAGAAAAGCTACCCAAGGTAATTAAGAGGGAGAAAATAGTAAAGATAAAAGCCAGAACTTAATTACTTAGTAAACTATAGAGCTGAGAAATAAATTCAAATGTGTTTTAAACAAGCAAGCAAAAAAATTCCTTAGTATGGCATTATAAAACCCTTCGTGGCTTGGCCCTGGTGAACCTCTTAACTTTATCCCTTGACAGTGTCCCTGCACACTCAACTCCTGCCATTCTGAACTATAGACTCCTTGCTATTTGAACTCAGCAACCTGGCTGATGCAGATAAAATTTTGGAGATAGGGCTGATATCCCTGATTCTTTGAGCTCCTGTCACTTCTTACCACTGACATTCACTAGTGAAGTCCACCTGTCCTGTAAGGCTCAGCTCAAAGGTCCCCTCTTCCAGGTAGGCTTTGTGGATTGGAACAACTACAACACAAGCCAGCGTGGGAGGAGCACCGCTAGAGTGGGTGAACCCAACATGTGTAGATTAACAGGTTAATGAGCGAAGCTAAACCCAACTGTGGGCATGGAGGAAAGCTGGCTACTGGAGGTGGCATTTGAGCTGGTTCATGGAGGAGAAATGGGATTTCAGTCTACTGGAGCAGGGGAAACAGCCCCCCAGGAAGAAGGAAAAGCATGAGCCAACATGGGGGTGTGTGTATGAAAGGACAGAGTGTTTGGAGAATGGTGGGACGTTCCATGTGACTGCAGCGTAGAAGGCTGAGGAGGAGTGGGGACAGGTGAGTGAAGAAAGGTCAGCAGGGCAGGTCACACAGGGCCCTGAAGGACACTGCGCCGAGGGCATATGCTTCATCCTGCCACTGGTGATGGGGAAGGGTCAGAAGTATTGTGAGGCTGGGACTGCCAGACAGTGAGTTGCCTGAGCCTCACCCTCACTGAGAAGGAGGAATGTGGGGCGGTGGATGGTTTGTGGGAGATTCCATAAGCTGGCAGGCTGCCCAGGAGGAGCTAGGGGGAGATGGGGTCAGAGGCCTGGGGAGTGGGGAAGGGGCCCATCTCTGAGTTTGTTTCTCCTCCCTGACCCATTTCCTGGTTCCTGCACACCAACACCCTCCCCAACCCTCATCACAACCAGGTAGGGTCTAGGAGGCAGCTCCTGGCAGCTACCCCAGTCACCACAGATAGAGTCACAGGGCTCCATCCATTTGTCTGTCCCAGCCCCCAGAGGGGCCTCTGTGGTCAGGTCTTTGTGTCTGCACAGTGGCCCTCTTTGTCCTGAGCAGCCTGTCCCCATCCCACCTCCCTCCTGCGCTTCTCTCTCTCCTGCCTGGGTCACAAAAAGCACCAGCTTCGAAGAGAGCCAGGCCAGAACTCTGATCTTGGCTTCCCCCACTGAGTCTCTGTGTGACCCTGAGCAAGTTACTTTGCTTCATGGATTTTTAGTTTTTTGGTTCTGTGAAAAAGAGCTGTTGTAAGCAATCAAACTCCTGGCAAGGAGTTTGGCCTGCCACCCGGTGCTGAGACCCAGATAACAAATCATGAACTTGGAGACTCTTACCTCATCCTCATGCTGTTCACTGGACCTCTTACCACCAGCTCCCACCTCATTCTCACCCTCACCCTTTTGGCCAGTGGCTACCATTCTCCCACTTGACAGACAAGGAAACCAAGGCCTGACGACAGGGCTGACTTTGTGGGCATGTGACCTGGACAGTAAGGGTCATGATTTGAAGTGTTAAATACTCTGCTATCACCATCTTGAAATTCTTAATTTTTTCTTATTTTTTCATTCTTTTGTTGGAAATTTTAAATTTTTGAATGAGGGGCCCACATTTTCATTCTGCTCTGGGTCCCGCAGATTAAGTAGCTGGTCCTGCTTGAGGGGAGATGGAACAGAGGCATGCCCAGGCCTGGACTAAGCTTCCTGCATCCCAGGCGGCCTCACTTGGGTGCCCGCATCCTGGCATGCTGAGAGCTAGAGTTTCCAGGCTGCGTTTGGCATCAGAGCCCTGGACCCTGCCCAGGAAACCTGAGGAGCACAGTTCTCGGCTGGCAAGGGAAGGGAGGATGGTGCAGGTCAATGCAGCAGTTCAGGGAGCAAGTAAGACAAGGCTGCTAGAGCCAGCCCAGCCCTGTGTAACTGGAGCTGCCAGTGTGGGTCCCAATGCCATGACCCAGCCATAACTCTGGGAACTCAGCAGGGCCTTCCTTCCCATCAGGCTGCAATTCTGGGGCCAGGAGACCCACCGCAGATTCACTGCTTTGGACTTTCGCTTCCCCTTTCTGAACCTGTTTCTCTACATGTCACATGAGAATAAAATAATGCCTATCTCACAGGGTTCTGGAGAATATTAAGCGAGATACCTTAAACTTAATGACTAGCACAAAGAAGGTGACCACTAAAATAGAGTTCTTACTCATTCACTCATAATATATTGTGACAAATGTTCAGGGACAGGGGTCAGGTACGGTGGCTCACGCCTGTAATCCCAGGACTTTGGGAGGCCAAGGCGGGTGGATCGCTTTAGGCCAGGAGTTCAAGAACAGCCTGGCCAACATGGTGAAACCCTGTCTCTACTAAAAATACAAAAATCAGCAGGGTGTGATGGTGCACACTTGTAATCCCAGCTACTTGGGAGGCTGAGGCAGGAGAATCACTTGAACCCAGGAGGCGGAGGTTGCAGTGAGCTGAGATCACGCCACTGCACTCCAGCATGGATGACAGAGCAGGACTCCATCTCAAAGAAAAAAAAAGAAAAATTATTCAGGGACAGTGCTAGGTGTTGGCCATTTAATTGTGAACAGAATGGAACCTGGCTCTGCTCTCAGAGAGATCCCTGTTAGAGGGGGAGACAGGCAGTGATAGCAATAACAGCATGGTAAGTGGTGGGGCACCTGGCCTGGGTCTTCGAGGACCCATGGTGGGGAGCCAGAAGCAGGGGGCACTGTGGGCAGAGGGAGCAGCAAGAGGCAACAGGAGGCTGGTCAGAGGTGAGAGGTGAGGCAGAGAGGCAGGGAGGCTGGAGTGGCAGGCTAGAGAGCTAGGCTTTATCCAGAGGATGGTGGAGCCACCAGAGAGTGTAAGGCAGGGTATGGCATCAAGGGGCAACAGAGACACCACTGTACCCTGGGAAGGGGGGATTGGAGCCTGGGCCAGGGCAGAGGCTTCATCCCCAGCATGCATTTTCAGAGCAAGTTTTCCCAGGGGCAATGAGAGAAGTTGAGAGAAGGAGGATGAAAAGGCCTGAATGAGCCAAATACCTCCTCAGGGCTGGAGAGACAGGAAGCCTCCTAATACATGGGAGAAGCTGAGGCTGGAACTTTGCCCTTCCCCTCCTGATCTGCTACTGCTAATGGAACCCTCCTCCCGCCCCCATGGTTCCATTACCCACCTCCAGGGGACCATTACTGTGCCTGGGCCTTCACCATTAGCCTGCCTTGGCTGCTTGGTTCCAGGGAGACTCCCTCGATGCTATTCCAGCCTTTCAGATGGCCTGTTGTGTGACGCTGGCTGTGTCTCAATTTCCGGTTTGATCAATGGTTTTACATTACTTCAGCCACAAAATCTTTCATGTGCTTGCAACAAATTCTTACCAGGAAATGTAAATAAATAAAAATACAAAGGCAAAGGTGCTCAAGTTGAAGTGGGATGGGAGTTCCCCAGGCAGCCCCAGGTAAGGGGGACTCTGTTGGGGGATTTGAAGCCTGCTGGGCTTGATGGCCTCTGAAACCCAGCGATGGGACTGCCTGGGGAGGATGTCAGGAGACGAAACTTCTAGGCCCTCATTGCATGGGATACTAACGCCTTGAGCCCAGACAGCTTGGGATGATGAATAAAACCATGAAAAAAGAATTTAAGGATAGGGTGCAGGGGCTCATGCCTGGAATCCCAGCACTTTGGGAGGCCGAGGCAGGAGGACTGCTTGGACTCAGCAGTTTGAGACCAGCCTGGTCAACACAGGGAGATCCCATCTCTACAAAAAATTTACAAATTAGCCCGGCATGGTGGCATGTGCCTGTATTCCCAGCTACTTGGGAGGCTGAGATGGGAGGATCCCTTGGCCCTGGGACATAGAGACTGTAGTGTGCTGTGATCATGCCACTGCACTACGGCCTGGGTGACAGAGTGAGGCCCTTTCTCAAAAAATTTAAGACAGGCCAGCAAGTGAGAGATTAGTATTACTCCCTTTTGCAAAAGAGGAAACTCAGGCTCAGAGAGGAGTCATAGGACAGGTGAGGTAAGACTGGAATCTAAACCCAAGGCTATGGGGTTCAAGGACTAGGCCCCTTCCTCTGCTCCTCAAGCCTCACTAAGTCACCTGTGTGGTAGCTGAAACGCTGTATGTCTCAGGAATGCAGTTTCCTCAGCTGTAAAGTAAGGGAATTGGGCCAGAGCAGGGGCAGAGCCCTGGGCAGGCCACCAACCAGATTTGCCCGCTGAAGGCTAAGGTCGAGCCTGGGTCCTCAACTTGGCGTCAAAGAAACTTGTTTCTCCTGGGCTAAATGGCAGTGACAGTATAAGGTTTGAAGTTTTGGAAGAGGGGAGAGAAAGAGAGGGTTGGCTGGAGTTCCAGTGCCCAAAGGGTCTTCCCCACACTGGAACCTGAAGGCCTAGGCCCTATAACTCGGGCTATGAGGATACTTAGGTCCCTGGAAGGTGCGTGGCCCAGCTTAGACAATAGGCGCAGGAGGCTAGACAAGGGGCCTTTGTGTCTCCCAAGCAAAGGCCCCAGCAGGACTGCAGAGGCGGCTCAGCCACTATGGGCTGTGTGTCCACTCTGCTACTGCTCCTGGTGGGGCTGCAGCCAGCACCCTTCCTGGCAGCCAGGCCCAGTCAGCTGATATGGAGCCCAAGAGGGCCCAAGGCCCCGAAGGCCCGGGGCAAGTTCCTTGGCTACAGGAAGAGGCCTCCTCTGCACTTGTCCAGCCAGCGGAGCGATTGGCTCCATTTCACAGGAAAGAAGACCCTGCCAGGGAATGGAACTGGGTCAAGGTCTCCCAGAGTCAGTGCTGAAGCCAGACAGGAACCTACACTCCTGATTCCTAGACCAGAAATGAGAGAGAGGCGGGGTGCTCATTCATTCATCCATTCACACCTTCAAGGATTGAGCACCTCCCAGGACCTCTAGGACAGCAGCAGGAAGAAGGCAGACCTGGTTCCTGCCCTCGGGAGCTCACAGTCTCCGAACGGGTCAGACATGCAGCCGGTAGCCCGACCAGGGAAGGCCATTAGAGTGGGGTTGACGACAGAGAAGAGAGGTAAAGCAGCTCAAGATAAGGGGCCAGAGTGGGGAGTTCAGGGAGCTGCTGATAAGATTAAGGCAGGGAAAGTGGGGAGCACGGGAGAGGCGGGATCCTGAGTACCCTGCTTTCCTAACCACGGTAATGGAGAGAGGCACCCCCTTCCCCCACTTTCAAGCAAGGGAGGTACGTCCTTAGCCTGGGGTTCCGAGCAGGTATCTCCCAGTAGGTCCCTTCCTGGCCAGCCGGGCTGGGGCAGGGGCGGGACAGGGGTAGGGTGGCGCGGTGGCTGGGCGCAAAGGTCCCGCAGTGGGCCACGCAGGCACCGGGCTGACCTGGCAAAACTTTGGCGTCTCTGAAAACCTCTGGTAACCAGCTCCCTTCTAGCGTGAGGGAGCCGGGAGGCCTCCTTCTGGCCCGGCAGTGAGAGCGTCGCCGCCCGACCCTCCCGTTGCAGCACCGGTACAGACACGCTGACCCCGCGGCCTTGTCGCTGGGCGGCGTCCCGGAGCGGGTGGCGCGGTGTCTACCCGGGCGGGTTGAGGGCGGTGCCAGGGTCAGTCAAAAGTCCGCCCCGCCCCCTGCCTGGCCCGGCTTCGGGGTTGGGGAACAGCGCAGGGAGGTGGGTAGCCGGGCTCCCAGGCACGTGGGTCTCTGCGGCTGCGGCGGGACCCGGGCACTGGCACCCGGGAGCGGCGGCGACGGCACCCTGAGAGGAGAAGCGCAGCGCAGTGGCGAGAGGTGGGGTGGGGCGTCTGGAGGGAACAAGGCGCTGGGAGAGGCCCGGGGAAGCGGCGGGCCAGACTGGCGCAGGTGCGGACTGGGCGCGGGGCAGGGGAGGGCGCTGTGGAGCGGCTGTCGCCCCGGGGCACAGTTGCGAGCCGGCGTGTAGCGCATAACTGGACGGCTTGAACGCGCCTGTGGGTCCGTGGTTGAACTTTGTCTCCACGGGAGCGTCGGTCTCGGTGAGTGTGGACGGGCGCCCCAGTAGTGAGGCTGTGCGCGTCAGCGTACTGGGGAGGTCTGCGTGTTAGCGGGTGAGTGTGTGCGCCCCTCGGGGCGACTGGCCAAGCCTGCGGAACTTGTCTGTGTGTGCTCCGATGTGAGCGTCCCCGTGGCGTGAGGCGGTGGCCGGTGCCCAGAGACGCGAACCCCTGGAGACCCCCTACCACTGTCCTAACCCCAGGGTCACTCTGGGTGGCCACCTACCATTGGTAATGTTGAGGGGGCAGTTGCAGGGAGTGGGCGGGGGAGGAGGGAGTGGCCAGAAAGGACAGTTAAGCCTCTGTCCCCGGGCTTTTAATCTGGCAAATGGTGCGGTAGAAAGGGTCAGTCAGGAGAAAGGCGATACCCCACCCCCCAACCCGAAGGCTGCCAGTGGCCCTCTTGGGGTCCTCCAGGAGCGCAGCCCAAGGGTTGGGGACTGCTGGAGACCAGAATTGCCAGCTCGGGATTTGTGGGGTCCATGGCTGCTGTTCCTCTCAGCATGGCATCCCCAGCTTCCCAGGACCACAGCCTGATCTGCCTGGTTTGTTTTGGATCTAAGCTGAAATAATTATGAGTTTTGAGGATCTGGGTGGAGACCCAGGCAAGTTTATTACCTGTGGGTGGAAGTGGAAGGAAGAAGATTCTCTGAGCAGACAGGTCCACAAGAGAGCTCTGGAGACTCAGAGATCTATGTTCCAATCCTGTCTTGGCCACTGTGTGGCCTGGGCAAGCCGTCCTTTCTCTGAGCCTCAGTGGCCTCGTCTGTAAGAAGGGACTAATGATAAGGAATTTGAGGGCTGTTGAGGAGCTGATGAGTGTGTCATGTTCAGCACCAGTGTCCCCCCATGGGCAGGCTCACAGCTTGGGGATGGGAAGTCAGTCCCTGGAAGGAGCCTCCCAGAACCAGAATCCCAACTGTGCCCCTCCCTAGGGCACAAGCCTTCCACAGGACCAAGCCTGAACCCTGTAGCCTGGGACTTAAGGTATTTGATAACTGGGGCCTGCCAGCCTTTCCAGCCACCTCTCCCGCCTGACTCTTTACCTTGCAGCAGCTGCCTGGAGTCTCTCATTTCTTGCCCCTGGCCTGTTGCATATTCTACACTCCCTCTCTGATAAGCCCTCCTACTCTCACCTTCCTCAACTGGAGAACTACCCAGACTTGGGACCCAGCTCAGATGTCCTCTCCTCTGGAAAGCCTTCCTTGATCCCTACAGCTGGGTTGGAGCCTCTTCTAGGCCCCTACAGGCCTGGGGCTGACAGCCCTGGTCCCACCTGAACCGTCATGATCTATGTCTGTCTCCTCCTTTCCTCTTCCCAGGTCTAGGGGCTCCTGGAGGGCAGAAACTGGGTCTTATTATTTCTGTGTTGCCAGCACCCTGCACAGGGCTGAGCTGAACTGAGAGAGCAGCAGTGGCGCCCATCCCCTGTCTCTGGCACCAGCTTCTCCAGTAAAGGCCCGGCTGCAGGGGAGCTCCATGTCACTACAAAGAAGGGCAAACCAGAATCTGGTTATCAAAGTGGGTGGCACAGTTTGCCAGAACAGTGTGATCTGGGACACTGTAGGACCTAGAGTGCCCAGGCTAAAGACCTAGAGATTTTATCCTGAAGGCAATAGGGAGCCATGGAAATTTATGAGCAGAGGTGTTTCATGGTCAGAGCGGCATTTCAGAAAGCGCTCTCTGGCTGCAGGATGGAGAATGGATCAAGTATTGCCAAGTGCAGGGAGGTCAGGGCATTTGTGATGTCAACACTAGAACTGTCCCAGGAGTTGTTTGAACCCTAATTGAGCCCTTGCCCCTTGGCCAAACACTTTTCCCTGAGCCTTCAGATGCTCCTGCTGAGGAATTTGGGGACCTGCAATTGATCTCATCCCAGCTCTGTTCCCAGCTGGTTGAATGACCAGTTCCTGCCCTGCCAGGCTCTAAAAGGAGGCCAGAACAAGTAAGATCCTGCATGGGAGAGTATGTGTGTGGGGAGGCTCTGGCACAAAAGGCTTGTCGCTCTTTCTCCTCTTCTCCCTGCCTTGGGCTGTCTTGGAGTCTGGTCAGAGGGGTTGGGGATCCCAGTGGGCAACCCTCAGAAATGACTACCAAGCTTGGGCTGTGGAGTGAGGCTGTGACTCCTCTGTTTCTGTCTCCCTCCTGCCCTGGATGCATGGGGCTCTAAGGCTGTGGATCCCCCAAGGACCAGCTAAGAAGGTGTGAGGGTATCACCAGGGCCTCATGAGTGACCCCATGAGAGCTTTGACTTAATGGCTATAGTCTTTAGAGAGGCCATTGTCCCTCTCTAGGTGTCAGTTCTGCCATTTGTAAATTGAGAATGGTGATCCTTGCTTCTTTGAGAGCAGAGTTGCTACGAGGATTAAGATAGTGACCAGGGAAGAGCTTTATAAGCCTTAAACTGCAGTGCTCAGAGGAGGAATGTGACACTTGTAGACTTAAATCCATTTTGAAGACTATAAGAGAACATGGGTGCAATAGCAAGGGATTGTGCTTGTTATTGAAATTTGATTACTGAATGCCTTCCTCCCCCACCCCCTCTGCAGAGATGGCTTCACTAGTAACGATTTACAACAATCCATTTTGTCTTCCTATAGCCCTGTGAGGGAGGAATTGTATCTCCATTTTGCAGATCAGGAAATAGAGGCATGGATTGTATCCTGCCCAGGGTCACCAAGCTGAGGTGAAACCTGGGGCTCCAGTCCACCTGCCAGCTTAGCCCTCCCCATCTGAGACAGAGCCCTGTTAGGGTTAGGCCTGGTCCTCTGGCTTCCAGGCTGAGGGGAGTTTGAATTCTGCCCTGGGAACCTGTGTTTGGGGCTTTCTTGTGGCCAGATTACCCAACTGCTGATAAGGTAACGCCTGCCCAGACCTGCCCACGGGACCAGAGATGCCTTGTTGATCTGGTGAGGGGAGTGGGGGTTGCCCCTCATGCCTTCCACCCAAACCGCCTCTCCCCAAACTGCTTTCTGTAGGCCTGCTTGCTATACCCTCTGGGCCACACCTCCTCTTGGTTGTCCTTGGGTCCTGAGGCCTGGCCTTCCCTTATTACTGGGCCCTGATAGGAGGAGGCTGGCTGTGTGGGCCACTCTGACCTCTGTACTCATCCAGCGGCCAGTTGCAGGACTAGGCTAGGCCATACCTGCTTTCTCTCTCTGTCCCCATCAGCCACCACAGGTTGGGCTCAGAGCAGCTGCCAGTGGGTCTTTGGGAAATGAGTGGCCAGGCGGGAGTAGGCATGGAGTAGAAGGGGAGGCTTTGCTCCACGGAGTGCCATAGTTGGTTCTGGAGCAGAGGAGTTCCTCCACCCCATCACCCCATCTCCTAGGCCTGAGTCTTTCCTGGTCCAAGATGAGTAGCGGGAGTTTCTGGTAGGAGGGTGAGCAGCCTGGGCCCCGTGGAACAACTCCTTGACCCTCTGCCCTGGTACCTTGTCACTGTCATTGTAGCTCCTGAATGAGAGGCCTGGGTGCTGGAGTGAGGGAAAGGGACCTCCCTCAGACTTCTGGGGCTTTATGTGGCCTCTCCCTCCCCAGGTCTGAGGAGAGCCTCTGGGTGTCGACCTGGCTTCCTGGTGAGTGCCCAGCCACCCAGCCCTGGCTTGTAGGAGGGGGACTCTTGCCATGGCTGGGCTGTTGCAGGAAATCCAGGGCCAAGGGACCTGCTCCTCTCATGGCACCACCGTATGTGTCGTCTCCTCCTTGGTCTCCCTCCCTCCAGACTCCCTGTCCCATCTACCTTCCATGTGGCACCATCTTTGTAAAGGTTGACTCTGACCATGTCCTTCCCCTCTTAAGCCTTCCATGGCTCCTCAGTGTCCTTAGAATAGAGGCCAAGCTTTTCAGCCTGGCATTTGAGCCTTTTCAAGTGAATTCCTCAGGCTCCCACACATTCCATGCCACCTCACCCTCCACAGTAGCCGTATAAGACCTCCCAGCCTTTTTCCAGCAGGTCACACTTTCATCCACCAAGTCTTTGCTCATGCCTCTCCTGCCTTCAGAGCCCTCCTCCCTCTTTGCCCACCTGACAAACTCCTAATCATCTACCAGTTTCCAGCTCAGATGACCCCTCCTCTGCAGAAGCACTCCCTGACCACCTCCCCCAGGCCAGGTAGGAGTTGCTGTGTGCTCCATAACCCCTGGGCTTGCCTTGGTTATGGTTTATTCACCCAAGTGGATTTGGTCCATGTCTGTGTCTTTTTCCTCAGCCTGACTGGGTACTCCTCAAGGGCCCAGCAGAGTGCAATCTGAGTCTGAGTTCACAAGGTCCATCTGAGGCCAGGTGCACCAGAGCATTGGCAAGTGTTTGCTGGGACTTTGTGGTTCCTGGGAATGTGATTTAAGATTTCATTACTCTGAATCCAGACCCCTGTGGCTCTGAGAATCTCAAAACCAAAGGCTATCAGGAGCAACGAGTAATAGAATTGAAGAAACACAGCCTTCACACCCGGAACCAGAGCCTCTTGGAATTAGACTGCGAGAACCAGGGAACTCAGAATCCTGGAGGTACCTGGAGGGGCCATCTCAGAATCAGAGGCTCATGTGGTTCCTGGTTGATGCTTTCATCCCCCTTTCCACCTTGGATTCTCCATCCACCTTCTTTCCTCCCAAGCTGGACCCTTCCTGCTCCTCCTCAAATCTTATCACAGTTCCCCTTCCAGGGACCTTGCCTGACTGCTCTGACCATGACCTCTGTCCCTCTGCTGGGGAACACCTGGGAGGGCCTCCCTACCAAGCAGTGTCATGGGCTCCTGAATTTCAGTGTCTCCCTGTTGTGACAGGCAGACACAGCCTCCACATTAGGACAGTTCATGATTTGCTAGCGCCAAGGTGCACCCACCTGCCCCCTTGTCTTATTCCTCATGAGCTGTCCCATGCAGCAGTGATTCTCCCCATCTGACCACTGAAGAACCCGAGGCTCTGAGAAGGGGGGCTGACTTCACCAAGACTGCACAGCACAGGTGGCTCCAAGTTAGAG
The DNA here is from genome assembly GCF_000001405.40 of Homo sapiens. Classification (NCBI taxonomy): domain Eukaryota; kingdom Metazoa; phylum Chordata; class Mammalia; order Primates; family Hominidae; genus Homo; species Homo sapiens. Next base: position 73,223,655 of record NC_000011.10, read on the forward strand.
CCTGAACTCACGGTTCTTGCCTCTTGAAGCTGGAGGCATTTGGCTGTGATAGGTTGGGGTGGTGTCCAGGACGTTGTGGTTCTGAGCCTGTTTAATTTAGTAGCATGTCTCTGTAGCCCTGTTCTGGGCTATGCTGGGTTCCAGGTGAGATGGGTGGTTTGGGGTCCTGCTCTATGTTGGGGGTGAGGTGGTCAAACCCACACTGACAATAATTGGAACACTAGACCTTGAGTAAGGCCCTTCCTCTTTAGAGGTCTTGGCTTTCTGATCTGTAAGCCTGGTTGATCTGAGACTTACCCACTCTGATGCTGCTCTGAGCTCAGCCTTGGTGAGTGGCCTCCACAGCCAGGATCCTAGGGGGGTCCCAAAGAGGGAGAGAACATCTGGGAGGGGGTAGAGAGCCCAAGGGCCTCCTGAAGGGGGTGCCTAACACCACAACAGCACCGGCTGATAGCATCTGAGGTTACCCCTTAGCCATTTCCTCAGACCGGCCCTGGTGCTCCCGGTGCAGAAGCATGTCAGGCAAGGCAGGGGGCCTGCTGGCTTTCAGCCCCTTGAAGGACATTGGGGAGGAGCCAGCGTGACTTCTAAGCTCCTCAGCCTGTGCACTCTAGCCTTGCCCTCTCCACTCCCCTCAAGCCACCAGGATGATGAGCAGTTCCTCAAACGTGTCATGTCATCTCTTGTTCATCCTCACTCTGCTCCTCTTCTCTCTCCAACCACCTGACTCCTCGTCTTCCAAAATGCAGGTCAGGCGCTCTCTCCTCCAGGAAGCCTTCCCTCATCACCCCTCCAATCCTGTTAGGGGCCTCCTTGGCTTCCTCCAGGCCTGATCACCCTGTGTTATCATCGCCTGTTTCTGAGTGTGCCTCCCCTGACGTTGACAGTGAATTCCTTGAGATCTGACCTACCTCAGAGTCCCCAGGTGCCCTGCCCAGCAGTGGGCATAGATGTGGCAACCTTTGTGAAGGGTGAGCGAGTGAAAGAGTATGGTGGCTATCTGGCTTCTGCTGGGGAATCCCTGGACTGCCTTCCCCCTGAGGATGGCCTTCAGTGTGGGAGACCTGATCTGTGGTTTTTCTGGTTGTGACCTTCCTGTATCCCCTTCCCATAATTCCTGCGAAGCTTCCTGCCCTTCTTGTCTTCCTGAGATAACCCCACCCTCCATGCCTTCTTTACCTGCTGAAATATTCTCTCTTACTATTTCATAAAATAAGCCTAAATCATCTAACTAGCTCAACAACCTTCTGAGGCAGGTACTGTTCTGATATTGAGAGGAAATTGAGATCTGGGTTTTGGAGTTAAGAGACTTGTCTTACCACTGGAAAGAGGAGAACTCGGATTTCCCACCTGCCTAGTGCCTCTCTTGCCCCCTCAATGAGGTTCTGGCACTAGGTCCTCTGTTTTCCCTCACAGCACCCAACTCCTGGCAGAGATAGGCAGCAGGGGTCTCCACAGTGGTGACAGCACATTCTCCCCTACCAGGCTAGACAGGGTCTGCCACCAGCCAGGGAGGCACATTCCAGAGCCACTCTAGTGGAGGGGCTGGAATGTCATCCAACCACCCTGGAAATTCTGCAGTGGCCTGGGAGCTGCCCAGCTCCTCCTCCTGACTTTGGCCTCACTAGCCTAGAACCACAAAGAGAAAGGCCCAGACTGGGGTAGGGGCAGAGCCAGGTCAGGGGGTTACAGGTCTGCATGCTAGGCTTGGCTCTGCCCTTGGCTCACTGGTGACCTTGGGTGAGACCTTGAGCTACCCCTTTCTGGCCTTAGTTTTTCTACCTGTGAGATGGGTGCAATAACCACCCATCTGAAAAGAGTAAATCCTGAGCCCTGCCAATTGGCATTCCTCTGGCAGAGAACTGAGCAGACAGGCAGAGAGCTGTGGGGCCAAAAAGGGATGGTCAGGCAGCTTCCTGGGAGAGGGCCGGGGCCTTGCAGGGCAGGAGGTAGTGGTCAGGGGCACAGCCTCTGAAATCAGACAGCCCAGAGTGGCTATGCCGTTTGCTAATTCAGGATTCAACGAGAGGAGGTATATGAAGCCACCTAACACAGAACTTGGCACAGGGACAGCACTAAACTCTTGTTGTGATATAGGTGTTAGATGATAAGGGAGGCCGTCTCTGAGCAATGATATGACCATGGGACTGCTTTTGTTGTGCCTGAGACAGGAAGATGAGGGCAGGGACAGAGAGGATGGGCTTTCTGGAGGGATGGTGGGTACCAGATCAGCCAGGGCCTGAGTGCCAGGCTGAGGAGCTGGGACAGTTGCCTGAGGGCACTAGGGAGCCACAAACATGGCTCAACAATGTATGGTAGGATTCGTGTTTCAGGAAACTACATGACTGCAGTGTGAAAGGTGGACAGACGGGGCAGGGGTGGAGGCACGGAGGCCAGTGAGGAGGCTGCTGCTGTGGACTGTGGAAGCACAGGCCTCGGGCTGCAGTGTGGGGACCGCGTAGTGCATGTCCGAGGAATTTCACTGGTTGGACTAACAGGGCTTGGTGAGTGGTGGGCTTCCAGCAGGGTGGGGAAGAGGGAGGTTGTCCAGGCTGTATCAGAGGTTTGAAACCTGGAAGGATGGTGGGGGCCCTTCTCAGAAATGAGAACCACTTGTGGAAAGTGATATTCTCCATTTTAGCCTGTTGAGTCAAGGCATTTTCTAAGGAGGAGGAGACAGGGTGTGCACCTGGGTGCAGCAGGGTGAAAAGGCTGACCATCCCTCACCTTGTCATAGTCTCTAGAGTAGATCAGTGGGGAGCTACCAGCCCACCGGCCTTGTCAATCTGAGACCACCAGGCAAGGTGCACTCAGTAAGCAGTGGCCCAGAGGCATTTCCCGTGTGCACCCACGCCCCCCGTACCCAAGCTATTCCTGCAGTGCCCCCATCTCCTCTCCCACATCCCCCCAGCCTTGTACTGCACTTCCAGCTTGGGAACCTGGGCTCAGCTGTCGCAGGCCCACTCCTCCATCCTAGGCAAATGAAGATGGAAAAAGAAAAACTCAGGAGGTGCATGTTCTATTTCTCCTGTGAGGTACCTGAGGTGCTGGTGGAGGGTGGGACCTGCCCACACAGAAGGTCCCCTCCACCAGGCAACTGTCCCCTCCCTGAAACCCTGTGCTTGGTGTGCACAAGGGGCTCCAAGGTGAGACAAAAACCACGGCCAGAATTCGGGAGGGCTGGGCTCTAGTCTTGGCTCTGTCCCTGACTTACTGTGAGGCTTGGGCCTCAGTTTCCTCCTCTGTGAAACAGGGTTTGACACAGGAGATTTCTTTTTTTTCTATATATATATACTTTAAGTTCTGGGTTACATGTTCAGAACGTACAGTTTTGTTACACAGGTATACACATGCCCTGGTGGTTTGCTGCACCCATCAACCCATCACCTACATTAGGTATTTCTCCTAATGTTATCCCTCCCCTAGCCCCACAACCCCAACAGGCCCTGGTGTATGATGTTCCCCTCCCTGTGTCCATGTGTTCTCATTGTTCAACTCCCACTTATAAGTGAGAACATGCGGTGTTTAGTTTTCTTATCTTGTGATAGTTTGCTGAGAATGATGGTTTCCAGCTTCATCCATGTCCCTGCAAAGGGCAGGAACTCATCCTTTTTTATGACTGCAAGTATTCCACGTTGTATATGTGGCACAGGAGATTTCTAAATGCCATTTTAGGCCCTGATGGTCTAGACTGTGTGTGTGTGTGTGTGTGCATCCGTTTGCGTCCACTGCATGTACACCTTAGTGTGACTCTGCATGCCTCTGTGTATCCGTGTGTCTTGGTGTGTCTGTGCCAGTGTGTGTTCAGGTGTGGCATATGTGTGTTTATAACACCTAACGAGGAATGCTTAGAGGTAGGAGTGGGGAGGAGGGGGTCTCTAGATAGAAACCTAGCTTGGGCAAAATTGTATTGGCAGAAGGGCAAAAGTGTGTTGGCAGAAGGACAATAGAATGCACACTGGGCAAAGAGGGTATTGACTTTTCCTGCTATGGGGCCAAAGCACAGAACCAGGACCGAGGGAAGGGACACTGGAGGCTTGGAGGCTTGGCTCAGCTGTACAGGACATGGGGGAGACCTTCCTCCAGGCAGGGCCACCCCTCTGTGAAAGGCGGCCTGGGGAAGGGGGTTGTGGATAACCCATTCCTGGAATGCATGAGCTGGGGTTTGGGTGTACAGAAGGCACTCAGACCAGGACAAACACCAGGCCACCTCTCTGCCTCCTTCTGGTTAAGGTTACCACAAAGGAGGTGGCCCTGGGGGGGATTGACCTGGGTAGGTTTCCATGACCCTGAGACCGCACTTTCTCTACCTCCCTCTGTCTGCAGGAGCCCCTTGTGGCAGCAGCACTACCTGCCCAGAAAAATGCTGGAGGCTGGGCGTGGCCCCAGGCCTGGGGACCTGTTTTTCCTGTTTCCCGCAGAGTTCCCTGCAGCCCGGTCCAGGTCCAGGCGTGTGCATTCATGAGTGAGGAACCCGTGCAGGCGCTGAGCATCCTGACCTGGAGAGCAGGGGCTGGTCAGGTACGTGGGGTGGGGGTGGGGGGGAGCGGGTACGCTGGCCGGGAGGTGAGGGCGGGTGTGCTGTCTTGCCTGTGTCTGCCCTGAACTGGCTTAGATCAAGCGGATCTGAAGGCAGGTGCCCTGCCCTGCTCCCCCATCCCAGGCTGTGATGAATTCAGGCTTTGAAGCCAGATAGCTCTGGGTGTCAAGCCTAATTTTTCCAATGCCCGGCAGTGTGACCTTGTACAAATAGCTTAACCTCTATGGCAATATCTACCAAGGGATGGAGGTGGGGGATGAAGATGCTGTGTGAAAGCTGCTCAGCCCAGGTCTGGCCCTTACAAAGCAGGGTGGGTAGAGAATCCTGATCAGACCTATTGAGGTCCTGAGCCAGGCCTCAGACAGCCAATCCATCTCCAGAGCGCCCATGTCCAATCCCCTCCCACTGGCACTTCCCTGACCTGTCCAGAGAAAGGCAGAGTCTCCTGGGCTCCTGTGGCAGTTGAAGGAGAGACAGTCTAGAGACATAAGCAGGTTCCAGGTGGACCAGAACCCCTAGAGGGGCTGGGTTGTCCCCTGGTTACTTAGGGTCAGCAGCTAAGAAACCTTTAAGCATTTTTGTCCTTGAGAGGCCCTCAGAGGAGCAAGTAATTTGTAAGTAACTTGATCAAGGTTACACCACGGGGGATGGGCTGCAATTCCTATTCAGGTCCATCCCACAGTGGAAGTGGCTGCAGGAGGTAGGTAGTGAACTCCCTGTTTATGGGAGTGTGCAGAGGCTGCAGAGGGCTTGTGCCTGTGTGTGCCTCCTCTGGGCCCCCATAGCCTCTTGTGCTTGCTTCATTCATTCATTCATTCATTCATTCATTCTCTCATTCCTGTAATACCTCCTGTGGTCAGGCCTCCTGCTGGATGATAGGGACAGAGAAAAGCATCAGATGGACCCAGCCCTCAAGGAGCACCTGAAATGTGTTGGGGTAGAGGATGGAAGGACAAATTACCAACTGGCTGAGAAACGTCCTGAGGGGTGATGGAAGGGAGAACTTCAGAGATTAGAAGATCCTTTGGGACCTACAATGGGGTGCAGTGTGGGTGGGTTCGGGGAAGGCTTTCCAGTGAGAAAGAACAGCATGAACACAGGCAGGGGAGCCTGGAAGGGTCTTACAAGGCTCACATCTCCCCTCCAGACTGGGAGCTCCTTGGGGCAGGGCCAGCCAGACCAGGGCGCAGCGGGGCTGGTGAGCGTTGGATAGTCAGGTGGAGCCGTCTCTAGTCCCAGGGGCATCAGGGTCAGGAGAGGCAGAAGGGAGACTTAAGGGAGGGGGCTGGGGACTTGGCTGTCCCTCTAAGGCAGGGGCTGTCCCTCTAAGGCAGGGCTAGGAAAGATATACTCACAGGTTGGTGAGCCAGCCTGTAGAATGAGAGGGCGGGAGGGGTGAGTCTGGCCCAGGGCCACGGCGATGGAGTCCCCAGCTGGCCTGGGAGGGTGGGGGCCAGGGTGTCTTAAAACAGGCGGAAGGGGCAGCTCTCTTAATTCAAGGGAGACAGGGAAGTCTCCACCCCTCATCTCAGTGTCAGAGATTCCACTGTTAGGGATTAGCAGGAAACTCTTCATGCAGGGTGATGAGATGTTTATGTTGACTGTGAAGGGAAGTCAGGCCTCGGCACGGGGGCAGAAACAGAGCAGTGGCGTGAAGGGGAGACTGGGTGTGTGTGTCTGCATCATGGAGGAAGCCCCCTCCCTGTCCAAGTGGGGCAGAGGACCTCCCGGGGATATTTTGGGGCTGCAGTTCTCAAGGCTGTGGGATTTGACTAGTGTCTGAGACTTGGGAGGGAAGGAAATGCTTGATGTCACCTGGCGTTTTGTGGCAGAGCTAGACTCGAACCTCGGCTTACTGATACCCAGGGGAGGCTCTGTCCTGGGAAGGAATGTGGCCTCTCCGTAGCTCCTTAGTCTCGCAAGGGGGCCTCTCCTTGCTCCTCCTGCAGCTTCTGTGAGCCAGCGACTCTCAGCTGGCCTTCCAAAGCTCCAGACCTGAGGGACCCAGCCTGTGCCCATCCCCATACTTGCCATGGCTGACACTGCATTCCTCCTCCCCACCGTTCCTCCATCAGGGAACAGTCTCCAGAGCCTCCCTCCCAAACATCTCTCCCCTCACAGGGCCCAAGGCCTTCCCCTGCTTGGCTCTCAGTGTCACTCCCCTGGCTCACCACAATCACCTCCACAGCCTCCAGTCCCACCTCCACTGTGGCCAAAGGTTTCTGGAAAAGGCCACCGCTAGCTGAACCTTGGCACTCATAACACCACCGTGGGCCTACTGTGTGCCAGGCTCTACTCCAGACATTTTATGCAAATGACTCGACCCTCACAGCAGTCCCATGGTGGAGATTCTAGTAATTGTCCCATTTTACAGCTGAGGAAACAGAAGCAGTCTGGCTCCAGCGCCCAGGTTCTTAATCACTGGGTTCTCTGCACTGAGGGATAAAGAGCCGTGAGTTTAACAGGTGGAGACGAGGGCTATGAATGAACTCCAGGTAGAAGAAGCAGCAGCAACTAAGGCTGGGAGGGGAGAGTCTTGGGCACATTCAAGAAACTGCAGGTCACAGGGGTTGGGGCGGGTGAGGTTGGCAGAGGCTCAGTTATGAAAACCTCAGGCACCAGACTTGAGGGCTGGGCTTTCTCCTGAAACAGGGTAGGAGCGGCAGGAGGATTTCAAGTAGGGGGATGCTTTCTTTGAGAAAGGCCACTCTGGATTTTTGTGGGTGGGTGGGTGGGGGTGGCGCTGGAGGAGGGAAGCCAGTGCAGTGGTTCCAGCAACAAGAGGTAGAGCCTGGAACGAAGTTGGCAGCAGGAACTGTCCTGACCCTGGGTAAGACGGGTCTCAGCCACTTGACCTGCCAGAGCCCCAGCATCTACCTGTCTCTTCTTAACTTGGCACCACATAAGCATCTCCCGGCCTCCTCGCCCTGGTTTTGCCCTGGCTCCTGGGGAGCCATCTGTGTCCATGGCAGGGGGAACAAGGGTGCAGGCCCCCTTCCTTCTGAGTAAACATTTGCTGACAATAGGAGAAAGAGAAGATCTGGGAGTCTTGGTGAAAGAAGGGAAACTGGCCAGGCGCCATGGCCCACACCTGTAATCCCAGCACTTTAGGAGGCCGAGGTGGGTGGATTGCTTGAGGTCAGGAATTCGAGACCAATGTGGGCGACATGGCAAAACCCCATCTCTACTAAAAAATACAAAAAAAAAAAAAAAAAAGCTAGGTGAGGTGGCACACACCCGTAATCCCAGCTACTTGGGAGGCTGAGACATGAGAATTGCTTGAACCCAGGAGACAGAGGTTGCAGGAAGCTGAGATCACGCCACTGCATTCCAGTCTGGGTGATGGAGTGAGAATCTGTCTCAAAAAGAAAAAAAAAAAAGAAAGAAAAAAAGAAGGGAAATTGAAGGATCTCTACACCCCCCAGCACCCCTAATCTCAGCCTCTTGGGCCTTGAACTGCCTCCGGGAAGCCAGGGCTGGAAAAGCAGCTCAGGGTCTATGGGAGTAGAGGTTGCAGGCCCTGCAGAGTCCCCCAGTCCCTTAGAACTCCAGGATCTAAAATAAAGGGAATTATTCCAGGCATGATGGCTCACACCTGTAATCCCAGCACTTTGAGAGACTAAGGCGGGCAGATCACTTGAGGTCAGGAGTTCGAGACCAGCCTGGCCAACATGGTGAAACCCCATCTCTACTAAAAATATAAAAATTAGCCAGGTGTGGTAGCATGTGCCTGTAATCCCAACTACTCAGGAGGCTGAGACAGGAGAATCGCTTGAACCTGGGAGGCAGAGGTTGCAGTGAGCCGAGATCAGGCCATTGTACTCCAGCCTTGGCAACAGAGGTGGACTCCGTCTAAAAATTAAAAATTAAAAATAAACAAATAAAATAAAATAAAGGGAATTATACGGCCCCAGATTCTCAGGATGAGGAGGACTCACTCTTCATCTGCCCTTTCCACCCTCCCAGACACACCCCCACACAGGCACAAGCCCTTCTGCAGCCTCTGCTAGAGAGCCACTTGCATACTCCCATAAACAGGGAGTTCACTACCACCCTCCTACAGCCACTTCCAGGGGCTGGACCTGGACAGATATTGCAGCCCATCCCCAGTGGCATGACCTTGACCAAATAACTTACATGATCTGTATCTTAGCCTCTTGATTGGAGAACTGGGGATGGTGACTTGGCCCCCAGAACACATCATATGGATAAAGTGTAGTAACTTTTTTTTTTCTGAGACAGAGTCTTGCTGTGTCACCCAGGCTGGAGTACAGTGGCATGATTTTAGCTCACTGCAACCTCCACCTCCTGGGCCCAGGTGATCCTCCCACCTCAGACTTCCGAGTAGCTGGGACTACCACCACACCAGGCTAATTTTGTGTGTGTGTATTTTTAGTAGAGACAGGGTTTCTCCATGTTGGCCAGGTTGGTCTTGAACTCCTGGCCTCAAGTGATCCACCCGCCTCAGCCTCCCAAAGTGGTGGGATTACAGGTGTGAGCCACCGCGCCCGGCCTAAGTGAATAACTTTTAGAAAGCATGCTTAGTAGTAGGGTTTGAAAAATGTTAGCTCCTCCTGCCCCTTCACACTGCTAGAAAGTGCTTTTTTGTGTTTTTCTCAAACTTGCCCACCCAGGACTTCTGCTATGATTTCCAACCTGCCTCCTGGGACGTTAGGCACGTCTTTGTCTTCCAGGCCGGGATGTCTGTCCTCTACCTCCCAGCTGCGAGAGAGCTCTTAATTGGTCACCTGGGTAGGGGTAAGGAGGAGAGGGAGGGGACAAGCTGCTCCCTGGGCACTCACTGTCTGTTGGATGGTCAGTCCCCATGGGTGTGTTATATGCTCAGTGGGGACAAGGTTGGGGGGGACACCATGATACTGACGATATGCAGAGAGAAACTGGATAGGCATGGAAGAAGCTGCATTTACCACACAAAAGAAGATCCCTTGGCCCCCTATCCCTATCTCCAACCCAGATTTCCCTGGACTCTTCACGGGGGTTACTTCAGGGGGATTCCCTGGTAGCCTCACAGGCTCAGGGGCAGGACTGCTGTTGATAGATATAGAAAGTGCCAGAATAGAGGAAGATGTAAAAAGTGAAGGAATAACTGAAGAAGGAGACCCTTGGAAATACTTCCTCAAATACCAGAACACTAGGCATGGGCCCAGAGCCTCCCAGAGAGTGGGAAAATGAGCTGGAGAGAACTCTGTAATGCCTGCAGGGGGCTGTTGGATGCCCACTGGCCAGAAATGCCTCTGCAGGCAGTAGGCATTGGGTGTGAAGCAGGGCCAGCCAGCCTCAAAGGCCCCTTCCCATGAACTCAAAATTACCTGCTCTGGCACCCCCAGGTCCTCAGATTCTAGAGCTCAGAATCCTAGATCTAAAACTCTGATCCTGAGGTTCTAGAGAGGGGTAAGAAAACTTCAAGTAGCTGGGACTACGGGTGTGTGCCAGCATGCCTGGCTAATTTTTAAAAGAATTTTGTAGAGATGGGGTCTCACTTTGTTGCCTAGGCTGGGCTTAAACACCTGGTTTCTGCCTTGGCCTCCTGAGTGGCTAGGATTATAGGCATGAGCCACCGTAGCCAGCTTGAGCTAACTTTTTTTAAAGGTCAGATAGTGAATATTTTAGACTTCACAGGCCATATGGTCTTTATCACAACTACTCAACTCTTTGTAAACAGATGGGCACCGTTGTGTTCCAACAAAGCTGAATTTACAAAAGCAGACTGGATCTGGCCTTTGGACTATAGTTTGTCTACCCCTGTTCTCAAGTTTGACAATTGTGTGATCCTGATATTTATTCATTGATCTCATGCATTCTCAAGGTTCCAGAGCTTGGAGGTTCCAGGTCCAGATCCAAGTCAGATGGCAATGAAAGCCCTGGTCAGGTGGCTGTGTCAGGTCCCCTAGGGGCGCTCCGGCCACAACCCTGATGGCCCCACCCCTCCCTTCCCTGCAGGGCGATGGCAGCAGACCTGGGCCCCTGGAATGACACCATCAATGGCACCTGGGATGGGGATGAGCTGGGCTACAGGTGCCGCTTCAACGAGGACTTCAAGTACGTGCTGCTGCCTGTGTCCTACGGCGTGGTGTGCGTGCCTGGGCTGTGTCTGAACGCCGTGGCGCTCTACATCTTCTTGTGCCGCCTCAAGACCTGGAATGCGTCCACCACATATATGTTCCACCTGGCTGTGTCTGATGCACTGTATGCGGCCTCCCTGCCGCTGCTGGTCTATTACTACGCCCGCGGCGACCACTGGCCCTTCAGCACGGTGCTCTGCAAGCTGGTGCGCTTCCTCTTCTACACCAACCTTTACTGCAGCATCCTCTTCCTCACCTGCATCAGCGTGCACCGGTGTCTGGGCGTCTTACGACCTCTGCGCTCCCTGCGCTGGGGCCGGGCCCGCTACGCTCGCCGGGTGGCCGGGGCCGTGTGGGTGTTGGTGCTGGCCTGCCAGGCCCCCGTGCTCTACTTTGTCACCACCAGCGCGCGCGGGGGCCGCGTAACCTGCCACGACACCTCGGCACCCGAGCTCTTCAGCCGCTTCGTGGCCTACAGCTCAGTCATGCTGGGCCTGCTCTTCGCGGTGCCCTTTGCCGTCATCCTTGTCTGTTACGTGCTCATGGCTCGGCGACTGCTAAAGCCAGCCTACGGGACCTCGGGCGGCCTGCCTAGGGCCAAGCGCAAGTCCGTGCGCACCATCGCCGTGGTGCTGGCTGTCTTCGCCCTCTGCTTCCTGCCATTCCACGTCACCCGCACCCTCTACTACTCCTTCCGCTCGCTGGACCTCAGCTGCCACACCCTCAACGCCATCAACATGGCCTACAAGGTTACCCGGCCGCTGGCCAGTGCTAACAGTTGCCTTGACCCCGTGCTCTACTTCCTGGCTGGGCAGAGGCTCGTACGCTTTGCCCGAGATGCCAAGCCACCCACTGGCCCCAGCCCTGCCACCCCGGCTCGCCGCAGGCTGGGCCTGCGCAGATCCGACAGAACTGACATGCAGAGGATAGAAGATGTGTTGGGCAGCAGTGAGGACTCTAGGCGGACAGAGTCCACGCCGGCTGGTAGCGAGAACACTAAGGACATTCGGCTGTAGGAGCAGAACACTTCAGCCTGTGCAGGTTTATATTGGGAAGCTGTAGAGGACCAGGACTTGTGCAGACGCCACAGTCTCCCCAGATATGGACCATCAGTGACTCATGCTGGATGACCCCATGCTCCGTCATTTGACAGGGGCTCAGGATATTCACTCTGTGGTCCAGAGTCAACTGTTCCCATAACCCCTAGTCATCGTTTGTGTGTATAAGTTGGGGGAATTAAGTTTCAAGAAAGGCAAGAGCTCAAGGTCAATGACACCCCTGGCCTGACTCCCATGCAAGTAGCTGGCTGTACTGCCAAGGTACCTAGGTTGGAGTCCAGCCTAATCAAGTCAAATGGAGAAACAGGCCCAGAGAGGAAGGTGGCTTACCAAGATCACATACCAGAGTCTGGAGCTGAGCTACCTGGGGTGGGGGCCAAGTCACAGGTTGGCCAGAAAACCCTGGTAAGTAATGAGGGCTGAGTTTGCACAGTGGTCTGGAATGGACTGGGTGCCACGGTGGACTTAGCTCTGAGGAGTACCCCCAGCCCAAGAGATGAACATCTGGGGACTAATATCATAGACCCATCTGGAGGCTCCCATGGGCTAGGAGCCAGTGTGAGGCTGTAACTTATACTAAAGGTTGTGTTGCCTGCTGAGCTGTGCCCTATTGTGTGGTCGGGGGATGAGGATATGGCAGGGAAGCTTTCACCAGCCACACAAGGGTCCTTTCTCCAATCCGTTCCCTTCTGCCACCTGCCTTCTCACTAGCTGTCTCAGGAGTAGTCTCATATCAGGGATCCTCTCTCCAGGCCCCAGGTCATCCCCCACTGTAAAGCCAGTTGGCTTCTGTGCCTGACTCTGTGCTGAGCACAGAGAAAAGTCAGGTGCAGTCCCAGTCCTTGAGATTTCCCAGTTTAGGTGATGGCCAGTCATGTGCTGGTAAATGTTAAGCCATTTAACTGGAGCTCCGATTTAACTGGGAACCCCTTCTTTGTAGAACTGCCCATTTCCATGGTGCAAAAACTCTTATGGCCAAATTCAAACTATAAACATGATGTCAACTTCCTTGTAAAATTCCTGAAAATTTAACAATTGGTTCTTGCAAGCAGGTACAAGTCACTCTAGCACACCACTGGATAATGCCGAGTGGCTGGGGCTGTGAGCCAGGGGGTCAGGGAAGGGTTCCTGGAGTGGGAGACTCCTGAGCTGTAGCTTCTGAGAAAAGCAGCTCACCGGAAGAACATCCACACACAGGATGCATCCCAGGCAAAGACATGGGGCAAGAGGGCAGGGTGTGCATGAGCCATAAGCAGGCTGGACAGCTGACTCCAGGCTCAAGGCAGGGTTGGGGCTGGGTCACAAGGAGGCCAAGTTAGGGCTCCCTCCTTGCCCTGACCCTGAGGCTTCCTTTGCACTGGGGGTAAATATGAAAGAGATTCACTCCTCCTCCTGTCCATCGTCTGCCTTCTGGGAAAATCCCAGAATGGCAGGGTGGTGCTCAGGCTGGGTCAGGACTTAGTATGGGGGAGATGGGTCTCACCTATGATAGGTTCTGAGTCTAGCCAGGACCACTCTGGGCTGACGTGTGGCGCTCAGCTGGACAGGGCCCCGCCCTAGCCTTTGGAAAGGGACAGGGCAAAGCTGACAGGCCTCACTCTTGATCTCAAGGACAGGGACTCCCTCCTCTCCCTCTGGGAGAGCCCTCGCCCTGTGGCCCACTCTGCCTGCCCCCTCTGACCTCTCCACCCTTCCCACTCTGCCTTGTGAAAGGCAGGACATCCCCAAAGCTTGCTGTATTTGGAGCCTGACTCCACAGCGCCCTCATGTGACAGAGACCCATCACAGACCATGACCCAAATGATTACTCTGTACTGTGCCAGGTGGGTGACCTGCCCAGAATAGTGTGAGCTATTCACCTCTCACCTTCTAGGTTCTATACTTCTGTTAATGTAGCCGATGTCCTTCTGAGTTTTTTTTTTCTTTTTGAGACGAAGTCTTGTTCTGTCACCCAGGCTGGAAGTGCAGTGCTGCGGTCTTGGCTCACTGCAACTCTCTGCCTCCCGGGTTCAAGCAATTCTCCTGCCTCAGTTTCCCAAGTAGCTGGGATTACAGGTATGCGCCACCACACCTGGCTAATTTTTGTATTTTTAATAGAGACAGGGTTTCGCCATGTTGGCCAGGCTGGTCTCAAACTCCTGACCTCAAGTGATCCACCTGCCTCAGCCTCCCAAAGTGCTGGGATTACAGGTATGAGCCACCGCACCCGGCCCCTCTTGAGCTTTCTTAATGATTGCCTGTTACAAACCACCCTTGAGCCTTTCCCACAGGCCCGAGCCACTCCACAAGGACACAGGAGGGGCTCGTTCACCATCTAATCCTGTGGCAGGCACAGGTGGGGGTGGATACTGGAGACCCTGGGTGAACCAGGGGCACCTCTGGAACCCAGTTGGACTGCCTGGCCCCTTGGTATGCACGTCCCACCTTGCTGCTCAGTGCCCAGGCCACTTGCCTTGTGGGTGAAGTTCCTGCCCTGATGCCTCATGCTATTTTCAGCCCAAGTAAGACCATAATTTTCCACTCCTGGCCCCAGACCATTGTCCAGCAGTGACGTGAGGGGATCTGCCTGCCCTCAAAATATCTCCTATTACCCTCCAATATTCCCTGCCCCCTTCACACCTCCCTAACCTGACATCACTTCCTGGGCTGTTGACTCATGAAGGCCACTGTGAAAGGGCACGTGAGTTGCCCATCCACTGAGCAGACCCCAGGGATTATCCAGCCCAGCTGCAGACTCAAGGCCAGAGATGGGCAGGGCTGAGCCCAAGGTCATTCAGCAGGTCAGCGTGGCGCCTGGATGTAAGCAAGTGCCTTGGTGACGATCCTGCTGTCACTCACACTGCCCAGCTCTTCCTGCCCAGGGTGACTGGGATGGAGCCATAGACCTGAGGCCAGGGACAGGACAGGGATGGGAGGAAAGGGAGGGTAGAGAGTTGAGTGTCAGGGAGTAAATGTCTGCTGATGTGCCTGCAGCAGCTGTTCTCAATGAACTGCATGACATCAGGGCAGGGTCCCTGGCACACAGGGGTCTCTGCCCTGGGTGGCAGGTGTCCCAGGGTCCAGGAGGGATGGAGGAACCCCAGGGTACATTCCCACTTTCACCCCCTGAGGTTAGAAGAGGCCCTAAGCAACATGTTATCCACACATGGTTGCTCCAGGTCAAGTCACCAAAGCTACCTCTCTGTCACCCTTGTCATGGCAGATTTGGGCTGCTCTGTTTAGAATCAGGCACATGAGGGAGGGAAGTCGTGTATTGACCCATGTCCCACGCACCCTCTCATCTATGTTATATGGTGGATGCTTCACAGAAGCCCTGGGAAGTAGATGCTATGATCCTATTTAGCAGATGAGGAAACAGGAGAAGGGCGTGAGAAGTGAGGACTTGTTCCAGGTTATCCAGGCTGTCAGGGTGAGTCAGAGTGAGTCCAGGTTCACCTGATGGCCAGAATCATGCCCTTTATAGTGCCCCACGACACTCACAGCCCTGCAGGGCAGAAGGGTCTATAAGTGGCCCCTCGCATGATTCAAGATGACAGAGGCAGTGTAGCAAGGATGTGAGAACACAGATGCTCCACCCAGACCACCTCAGTGTCAATATTGTCCCCACTTTCCTGGCTGGGGTCTCTTGGGCAAGTTACCTAATCTTGCAGCACCTCAGTTTTCCCATTTCTAAAGTGTGCTGCTACCTTCCATGCAGGGCGTTGAGGGGCTTCCCTACGTTATTACGCACAAAGTCCTCCTCACAGTGCCTGGTGTGTGGTCAGCATTTATATGCCTGGCACCAGGCCGGGGGCTATGGAGGCAAATCAGCTGGGCCCTGCCCTCACAGAGTTGACATCACTTAGTACGTAACCACATTGGGATACATGTTTTGAAGGAGAGGACAGTGTGTCTGGCCAGTGAGCAACAGTGGGCCATACGTCTCCAGGGAACCCCCGTGGGGTGTGGGAGGAGGGAAGCAGGTCTGTCCTGGGGGAATGTGTGGGACCACCTC
Organism: Homo sapiens; assembly: GCF_000001405.40. Taxonomy (NCBI): domain Eukaryota; kingdom Metazoa; phylum Chordata; class Mammalia; order Primates; family Hominidae; genus Homo; species Homo sapiens. The sequence goes on from NC_000011.10 coordinate 73,239,330, forward strand.
TGCCCTGCTTGGCAGTAGGTGGATTTCAGGACCATGGGCCTGTGCTGTTTACAGAACCTTGTCCAGGTGCCCAGCTGTGGGAGGGCAGCATGGAGAGGAGGAAGAGGGGGCCCCTAGTAGCAAGCTTCAGAAACTTGCCACTTCAGGCTAGAGAGCTCGCACCCTCCCACGGCAGCAGGGTAGCCATTTCTCCCTGACTGGGGTGTCCACCATGGTGCTCTGCAGCCACCTCTCACTTCATTAAGAGTCCACAGATCTAGGAGCAGAGGACTGGTCTGGAGCTGGGCAAGGGCAGGCAGCAAATGGGGAGTTTTTGCTGTGTGACCTGAGGTCACTTGCCTGCCTTCTCTGGACTGCACTGTAGGGCCTGGAGACCTGTTCCCCTGTTCCAATTTCCCCACCTCAGTGAAGGCACAACCAACAGCTGCTCCCCGGGCATTTCCAAGACCCTCCAGGCCCCCAGCTCTGAGGACTAGGGTGGAGGCAGTGTTTCTCCCCAGCATCAAGTGACCAGAGAAGTGAAGTGACCCCACTGCCGCCACACAGAGCCACACAGTGCGATGTCTGGAGCTCCTGCCTCCTGCAAGGTGGAGGGTGGGGCTTGGCCAGGAGTGACCAGACTACAGAGTGAGGGGTGTGCTTGTGGGGGTGAAGGGTTGGGGTGAGAACTGAGCCCGAGTCGAACTCATCCTCCTCTGCCCTGATGCACTGTGCAACTTGGGGGAGTCACTGTCCCTCTCTGGGCCTCGCTTTCCCCATCTTCGATAGGACTTGGCTCTGCCTGGCCACTCCTCCTCCAATGGGGGAATTCCTGGGCTTGCCTCTGTCTTGGCTCCAGCTCAGGTGTCAGTCTCAGCCCTGTCCCAGCCAGGAACAATGGGCCAGGCAGGGCCAGTCACCCCCTGTCCCTGGGGGCTCCACCCACGGCCCTGGACTATTTTCAGCCCTTGCAGATGGAGTCAGAAGAGGATTTTCCACTCCCAGTACAATGACTGCCCTGGACCATTGTCCAGCAGTGACGCGGGGGACCTGCCTGCCCCAAAATATCTCCTGCCCCTAGTTTCCAAGCCTCTTTGCCCTGCTCCTCACCTCCTGGCCCTGCTCCTTACCTCCCCACCCTGATGTCATTTCCTGGGGCTCTTAACTCCTGAAGGCCATTGTGAAACATCACGTGAGACTCCTGGGAGACACAACCAGTTGGAATGAGTTTTCCCTCCTGGCAGGGACCCCAGGGATTGTTTGGCTGCTTAGTGGGACTGGTGGCCCAGAGAGGGCTGTGCCTTACCCAGTCACACAGCAGTCAGTGTGAAGCTTAGGTGTAAGCCCAGGGCTCTTTGGCTGCTCCCACTGCCTCAGCCAACTTCATTAGCTCCAGTCTGTGGCTCCTGGACTGGAGCTACAGTGGTGAGAGCTCACCACTGAGCTTCCTGGGATGGGCACCTGGGATAGCAGCCCAAGTGGTGTGGGTGGAGAGGTGCAGCTCATGCTCTGACCTTGGAGTGAGCCCAGTGCAGGGGCCTGACCTTAAACCCTTTCTCCCCACTGAGTCCCATTTTTACCAAATGTGGCTGTTAGGAACTGAATGTTTGTGTCCCCCGCCCCACAAATCCATATGTCAAAATCCCAACTGCCAAGGTGATGGTATTAGAAGGTGGGGCCTTTGGGAAGTAACCAGGTCCTAAGGGTGCAGCCCTCATGAATGGGTTTAGTGCCCTTACAGAATGGACCCCAGAGAGCTCCTCACCCTCTTTCCACCATGTGAGGATATAATGAGAAGTTGGCAGTCTGCAACCTGGAAGAGGTCCCTCACCAGATCCCAACCATGCTGGCACCCCGATCTTAGACTTCCAGTCTTCAGAATGGTGAGAAATAAATGTCTCTTGTTTCTAATCCACCCAGTCGGTGGCATTTTGTTATAGCAGCCCACGCTGACTGTGACTGAACTCAGGGTGACAGAGCAGCAGCTCTGGGGCAAAGGGGAGGGTGGGGGCCACAGGGCAGCTGATGCAGGAGCAGGGCTCTGGCACAGTTCAGCCATCACCAATTCTGGGACTGCAAATTCAGTTTCTTCATCTGGAAAATTGAACTGGTAATACCAATACCTCTTTTCCCGGTTTACTAGACAGAGACAATGCAGTGAGGCACAAACATGCAACTGTTTGATTTTCCTCCCACCCATGCTCCCTGCTCAGTGACGTGTGATTTTCCTTTCCCATCCATAAACTGCGCATTTGGCAAACTCCAAACTTTTGAGTCACTTTTGGGTAACAAAGTCAGGTTTAAGATTTCCATCGCCTGCTTAATTGAATGCTCACCTGTCCTCTTCCCCCATGCTGTGAGGACCTTCATCACTCCTCTTCTGGGTCCCTCTCTCCTCTAGGTGTTGGGGCAGGGTGGGGAGGAAAGGGACCAATGTGTCTTTCCTGGTGATGCTACAGCCCTCTCTTGCTGACCTTGCTTCCTGGGCCATCAGTGCCCCCTGCACAGAACTCTCCAAACATCAGTCCACACCTTTGTAAAAACAGTCTCTCCGCTAAGCTATCCCAAAATGACCTGATTAGAGTGTGCAACGTCTTTCCTGCTGGGACTCTGACTGATACCCTGGTCTCCCTGAGTGATTTTCCTGCACACCCTGCTGGGGATGTGGAAGCCTGTCCCCCTCCCACCCCACACCCCACACTTGGCTGAGATCTCACAGTGGCAAAGATGTCTTTGAATCCATGGTGCCCAGGGTTCAGCGTGTAGAGTGAGGTGGGGTGTGTAGAGAGCTGGGGCAAGGAACCCTGAGAAGATGTCTTACCCCAGTTGTTTCCAGGTTTCTTTAGAAAGCGGGCTATTTTACCCCATGTGTCCTCAGATTTATGTCCTGGAACCAAATTCCAAATCAGCAGCCACATGAAAAGTCCCCTCCTCTCTGGCGTGGAATTAAACTGTTAGACCTGCCTTTGTGACCAAAGCAATTGTAAAACGTGGGGGAGGAAATTAAAAGCCTGCCACCTTAGTCCACACAGTGTGTGCTGTCTCTGTGTGTGTGCACGTGTGTTTATGTGTGTGTTGAATGATCACATGTTCCAGGGAGGATGGTGAGGGGCGAGGGGCAGTCCTGGCAGGTACCAAGTGGACACTCAGAGACAGAAGGGCTGCAGGTGGGCAGCCAGGCCAGAGGGGGGCAACAAGGGGCTGCCAGGAGTCAGACTAAACCCCGGAAGTGGAAGTGGAATGGCAGGAAGAGATGGGAATGGAGAGAGGGTCCAGCTGCCAGCTCTGTGGCACCCCCTCTCCTTCCCTCCCTCCCACTCTAACTCCCTTTCCCTCCCCACTCCCCATCACCCTCCCCTTTTGCTCCCTGTCCCCAGAATCCTTGGGAGCAAAGGGAGGCGGACAGGGACAGTCCACTCTGTGCTCTGCCCTGGCTGTTTAGTCTACGAAGGGCCCCAGGTTGGTTGGTGCTGCTCTGCTTCCCCCTGGTGGCCAAAGCTGGCAGCAGTGGCAGGAAACGGGGGCTGGGATCCAGACCTTCGCCTATGGGGTGATAAGAAAATGATCCGGCTGCAGCCAGGCTGTTGAGTGTGAGGGTCCGGGGGGAGAGCTGACAATTGAAACAGAGAACACAATTTGCATACAGTGACTTGCCAACATGCCCTGACTTGCCAACAAGGTGACGGTGCCTGGCCCAAACCATGATGTCCGTCTCCTGCACCCCAGCCAGGGGTAGAGATCATTCCCTGCTGAGCAATCCCTTTTCCTGTGGAAGACCACTCTTCACAGGGTCCTGCGCCTCCCCAGCTCAGACTCAGGGACACAGCACATCTGCCTAGGGCAGCCGTGGAAGGACATGGAAGGGTGTAACCATGCTCTTTCCAAAGAATGGGCACCCCTAACTCTCTCTTCTACCCCACTCCGGTAACCCCATCCTCACCAGAGACCCCTGCCCTCCGCACGCCCCTAGAAGTCCTTGTCTTCTCACAGGACAGCCTTCAAAACTGCACTCCATGCCCCGGAGAAGTGTGACTAGCACAGCCGGTTCTCCCAGGAACTCCATCTGGGAAGAAGTTGGGGTTCATCCACCACACCTGAGATGCCTGTAATTTGGATCCCACCAGCATGTCCGTAGGTAAGATGTGTCTGACTCCTGTGGAAGTCATGTGGAAAGGGAGGCCTGAGTTCGGGGTCCTTGTGTGGATCCAGAAGCAGAGGTAAGATGGGAAGCCTCAGCCAGCCTCCTAAGCCGTCCTCTCAGATCTCTGCACACCTCTCACCCACAAGCTTTTACTCCACATAAACCCAGATGCCCTCATTCACAGCACAGAAAGCACACAAATCCTGGAGTCAGAGGGACTTGCGTTTGAATCCCAGCTCTGCCACTCATCAATCAGGCGACCTTGGGTACCTGTTTTCTCATCATAAACAAAGGGGGTAACTGGCCGGGCATGGCAGCTCACACCTGTAATCCCAGCACTTTGGGAGATCGAGGCGGGTGGATCACTTGAGCTCAGGAGTTTGAGACCAGCCTGGCCAACATGGTGAAACCCCATCTCTACTAAAATACAAAAATTAGCTGGGAATGGTGGCACGTGCCTGTAATCCCAGCTACCTGGGAGGCTGAGGCAGGAGAATTCCTTGAACCCGGGAGGCAGGAGGCGGAGGTTGCAGTGAGCCGAGATTGTGCCACTGTACTGCAGCCTGGGCAACAGAGCGAGACTCCATCTCAAATTAAAAAAAAAAAAGTGGGGGGGGATGGTAACCATACTCACATCATAGTTTATTTATGCTGTTTCTCCTTGCTAGAATGAAAGTTCCCAAAAGGCAGGGATCTGTTTTGGTCACTGCTTTATCCTCCGTGCCCATCAGTGCCCGGCACATTCCTTTCCTTTGCAAAGGAAATAAATTAATTATTTTACAAGTTTCACAATGGCCCTTTGAGGCAGGAACCTTATTATCACCCACTCATTCATTCATTTATTCAACAAATATTTAGTAAGTACCTACTATGTGCCAGGTACTGCTCTGTGTAATGTCCGTAAATCATCAGTGAATTAAAAAAACAAAGACAGCCAGGTGTGGTGGCTCACGCCTGTAATTCTAGCACTTTGGGAGGCCGAGGCAGGCAGATTGCCTGAGCTCAGGAGTTTGAGACCAGCCTGGGCAACATGGTGAAACCTCGTCTATACTAAAATACAAAAGAAATTAGCTGGGTGTGGTGGCAGGCGCCTGTAGTCCCAGCCACTCGGGAGGCTAAGGCAGAAGAATTGCTCAAACTCAGGAGGCAGAGGTTGCACTGAGCCGAGATCATGCCACTGCACTCCAGCCTGGGAGACACAGCGAGACTCTGTCTCTTTAAAAAAAAAAAAAAAAAAAAAAAAAGACAAAGACGATGCCCTTGAGCTCACATTCTAGTAGGGGGAGAGAGATAATAAGCAGTGAACATAATAGAATGTAAATTATATGGTGTGTTAAAAGGTGACAAGCTCTGTAGGAGGCAAAAAACAACAGGAAGAGGGATTGTGAGGACATGAAGGTTGCAATTTTAAATAGGGTGGTTGGGTGAAAAGGAGGCATTTGGGCAAATACTTGAAGGAGGTGTGGGAGTTAGCCAAATGGAAAAGAGCTCCCAGAAAGAGGGACCAGTAAGTGCAAAGCCCTAGGGCCTGCAGCTGGGGTGGAGTGGGCCTGGAGGGGAGGAGGGGAGGCCAGAGGTCGGGGGAGATCTGGTAGGACATTGAATGAGAAGGGAAGCCATGCAAGGTCTGAGGAGGAGACAGAATCTGACTTACATTTTAGAAGGATTGGTCTGTCTGCTGTGCTGAGAATAGACCACAGTGGGGCAAGGTCAGAAGTAATGACTACAGGGAGGAGCTGTTGCAGAAATCCAGGTGAGAGCTCAGGCTGAGGACTGGGACCAGGTGGTAGCAATGGAGGTGGGGAGAAGTGGACCAATGCCAGATGTATTCTGAAGGAAGAGTGAATGGGATCCTTTATGGATTGGATGGAAGGAGGTGATAAAAGAAGAGGGGGTGCAGAGGATGCCTACAATGTTTTGTAGACAGTGACCCTGAGATCTAGAGAAGATGTAGTGTGAGGCCACACAGCTAGTCAGTGGGTGGGGGTGGAGGAGAGGAGGATGGGACCAGGGTGGCGGGAAGGTCCTCAGGTCTAGGACAGCATCTGGGAGAGGATAGGGGGAAGGACTCTGGCATAGCTGGTCACAAACCAGCCCCAGGGCAACTGAGCATTGATTTGATCAATGGCTTTTTCCTCTTCCCTTGAATTCCCCTATGATGGCCTTTTAATTGGGTCCATTTGTTCCAAGGCCGTGGGCTGAGCTGAGCAGACGCCAAATGATATGCCTATTATTAAATAGATTAGGAAATGGCCCTACATCTTGGGCGGCCAGAAAAACCAGAGTGACTGAACAGTGTCCCTGAGGAGTAACACGTGTATTGTGGAATACTGGATGTATTGCAGAATCCCTTCCAGGCACCTTGCCTTTCCTATGCTGTCCCTGCGTCTACAGAATCCTTCTGACTTCCTTGCTCACCTGAAATGTGTCTCCTCCTCCAAGATTCACTTCAAATCCCCTCCTCGGTGAAGGAGCTGAAGGAGCGCGCTAATCGCCACCCCTCCCTCAGCCTGCCTGAGCTACTGCCACAGAGAACTCACACATCTGCCTGGCAAGAGATCCAACCTGAATTGGAGGGTCTGCCCTAGGGGACACTGTCCAAGTCAGGGTTGTCCAGGGAACAGGATTACCCAAAGAACATTTAAATAACAATCCCACTTCAGTAAAAAAAAAAAAAAAGATGTCTCCATTTCCTGAGCTGGAGTCAAAAAGGGTGGCTGGGAGGCAGCAGAGAAGAGGAGTGAGTGTAAATTCCGTGTGATGGAAATGAGTGGCAATTTAAATTCGACTGGAGAAAAAGAAAACTTTCATGTCAGTATCAAACTCAGACCATTTTTAAAAATCGGTTTCTTCCATTTTAGACATTATATACTGGTTTCCTTTTGTGAAATGAGGCTTTAGTTCTCTTCCTTCTCTCATTCTCCCATTGCAATTTTTGATTAAATATTCAGTGCTTCCATTTTTATGATGTCAAAAATGTTGCTCACAGTGACATCTTAGGGCATTCTATGTTTATATTTTCTTTCTTGCATAACTTTTTGTTTTTCCTGGAATTAATAACTGCCTCACTGTACATTCCTAAGAAGGACATATTCTAAGGACAAAGAGAACTAACTCTAAAGAAATCTGAAGCAGTCTTTGTAATCATATTACAAGTACGGTTACCCCTGAACATCATGGGCTTGAACTGCATGGGTCCACATATATGCAGATTTTCTTCTGCCTCTGCCACTCCGGAGATAGCAAGACCAATCCCCACCTTCCACCTTTTCCTCAGCCTACTCAATATGAAGATGAGAGGGATGAAGAACTTTATGATGATCCACCTCCACTTAATGAGCAGTAAATATATTTTCTCTTCCTTATGTTTTCTTAATAACATTTTCTTTTCTCTAGCTTAATTTATTATAAGAATACAGTATATGATATATGCAACATACAAAATATGTGTTAATCAACTATTTATATTTTCGGTAAGGCTTTGGTCAACAGTAGAATATTGGTAGTTAAGTTTTGGGGGAGTCAAAAGTTATATGTGGATTTTCAACTGCGTGAGGGGTTGACATCCCTAACCCCTGCACTGTTCAAGGGTCAACTTTAATACTATTGATGGTGTTAGTTTGAAACTATTACATGTAGTAGGATATAATGAAAATCTAATTATGTTAATGTCACTGGAAACCAACATTTTCAACATAAGAGAAAAGAGATACGAATATAAAATCAAAGAAGAAAAAACTACTATCAGTATAGTCTTGGATTTGGAAACATCTGTATAAACTCATGATGCTTTTTTCTCTTTAAAAAGTATTCTCTATTTCTAACTTCTAAAAAGGCCTGGGAACAATAACTAGCCCTGTGATGCTGAGCACCTCTAGTACCCGCTTCAAAGGTTCTAAATGTATTTCCTATTAAAAGGAACAAGGGCTTCTTGGAGAAATGGCTGATTCTGGGTTCGTGGCAGGAAATGCATAAGATGGGTTCAGAATATTTTGTCATACAAAAAGCAAGTTGTCAGCACTACTAACGTTGTGTTTAAAGGACATAAAAACCAACTTGAGGACTGTGCTGCACAAAGATGGGGTATTTTAAGTATCAAAAAGAATAATGCCTACGATGGATTGAAACATACAAATCTGAAACTTGTGTTTCAATCTATGAGTTTATAATGATACTAAGAGCAAACAAACAAGCAAACGTGTAGGTCTGTTCTGTAGGTTGGTAGCTTATCAATGTATTATTCTGAAAGGCAGGTTAAAAGGAAAAGAATCTGTCTTTCCTATACAAACTGTATTTCAGAGTAACTAAATAGACACCGAGGAAAATTCTTCTTTACTGAACTCCAGCCAATAAATGAAGAAGGTATCACAGAATTAAATATCATCATTTTGCATGCCCTAATCAATTAATGCCTGTAGGCCTGGGGTGTCCAATGTGGCAGCCACTACCCACAAGTGCCTACTGAACATTTGAAATGTGGCTTATCGGAATTGATATGTGGTATAAGTGTAAAATACACACTAGATTTTTGAAGACTTAATACAGAAAAGAAAGATTGTAAAATATCTTGGTTTTTATATAATATTTTTGATATAACAGATTAAATAAAATATATTATTTAAATTAATCTCAGTATTTCTGATTACTTTTTTAATGTGCTTACTTTAACATTAAAAAATATACCTATATGCTTTGCTTTCTATTTCTACAGGCAAGTCTGAGCAGTAATCATCCCAATGGTTGCTAGTCTGATAACACCAGAACCCAATGGCCAATATTAACATCACAAAAAAGAGAGAGAACTAGACATTATGTCCTGCTTTATGGGGTACAAAGAAGTACACACCACCTCCTATGAAGAATTCATAGGTGAACCTGAATTTGATCAAACCTCTAGATCTAACTACCAGTTTTCAGAAAATACAGGTGACTGAGGAAGTTGAGATAGCAATAGGTGATGAAATTAACCAAATCCAGAATTTGAGAACCTTTATAGGATACACGACTCAGTTTCTTTAATGGCAAATTAAAAAAAAAAATAAGTGTGGAGGAGGAGTAGACATCAGAATGGAGGTCAAAGCCAAGGTTCCATCTCTTCTCCCTGCTACAGAGATATGAGGCCCCAACTCCCTAAATACTCAGAAGCCACCTCAGAGGAAACAGGGAGAAAATCTGAAACAGAAGAGAGACTGGACAACATTTTTCTCCAGCCCTCTGTGGGGCAGGCACACATGAGAATCAGCAGATCTGTTACAGGCAACAAAGGAGCTGTGTTTTCTTGGGGTATATATTCCCAAAGGCGATGCCTGCTGGAAATGACTCCTCTGGGCCTGCATTTACTCTTGCTAGGTTGACAAGTTGTCTCCATGGTGGGGAACCTGGCCTTGATTGCTCTAATTGGCTGAAATTCATACCTTCCCACCCCCAAGCTCTGTTTTCTTTCACCCAGTCCTTCCCTGATCTCTATTGTCCTGTTTGCACCCCCAGAATGCTCATGACTTTTGTATCAAAGAAAAACATCTTCTATGTCAGGTGCATGACTCAGCTGTTTTTCTTTTTATTTTAAACACTTTCTTTAAAGACAGGGTCTTCTTGTTCTGTCACCCAAGCTGGAGTGCAGTGGCACAATCATAGCTCACTGCAACCTTGAACTCCTGGCTCAAGTGATCCTCCCACCTCAGCCTCCCAGGTAAGTATGACGATAGGATACCACGTAAAACCACACCTGGCTAATTTTTTAAATTTTTGTAGACATGAGGTCTTGCTATGTTGCCCAGGCAGTCTTGATCTTCCGGACTCAAGTGATCCTCCCACCTCAGTCTCCCAAAGTGCTGGGATTACAGGCGTGAGCCATCGCACCCGGCCTCGCAGCTTTTCTTTCTCTTTATTGTCCTCTCTATAAATACCACGTGTTGATGTTCATAGCCTGTGGTTGCTTTGTGGCCATCTACAATCCATCATTGCATGAGGTCACCATGTCTCCTCAGGTGAGAGAGAGAGAGAGACTGGATTTGCTGGAACCACTCCCACACAGGGCACATACTTAGGCCGACCTTTTGTAGTATTGATGTCATCAACCATCATCTTATGACAGCCTCTTGGTCCTCTAAGTTTCTTGTACCAGCACCTGTGCCAATGAAGTAGTGGTTTTCACTGTGGTGGGTATTAATAGTACAGTATCCAGTCTTTGCTTCTCTTACTTTCATTTAACTTGCTCAAGGCAAACTAAAACCTTTCAGCACCTGCAGCTTTCACGTCAATGCCATTTCTGTTTTCTTTGAGTCAGTGGCATTCATGTATCTCAAATATTTTTCTCCAGGGTCTATGAACCAGGAGATGTTGCTTTCTGTTTTCTGTTACAATTTGAGGTCTGTGCTGAACTCCCTGTTTAAAGCCTGAGGAACAAGAAGAATGCTGGTTAAAAATCCAGGAAAGTGGTGATAATGTAGGGAGATCTGTGATGGTTAATTATATGTGTCAACCTGACCGGGCTAACGAATGCCCAGATGGCTGGTAAAACATTGTCTGTGAGAATGCTTCTCAAAGAAATTAGCATGTGAGTAGGCGAACTGAGTAAATCAAATGGCCCTCCCCAAGGTGGGTAGTCATCATCCAACCCATTGAGGATGTGAATTAAAGAAAAGGTGGAGAAAGGACAAATTCACTCTCTCTTTCTCACTCTCTTTTTTTTTTTTTTTTTTTTTTTTTGAGACAGAACCTTGCTCTGTTGCTCAGGCTGAAGTGCAGTGGCGCAATCTTGGCTCATTGCTGCAAATTCTGCCTCCTGGGCACAAGTAATTCTCCCACTTCAGCCTCCTAAGTAGTTAGGACTACAGGCGTGGACCACCACCCCTGGCTAATTTTTGTATTTTTTTGTAGAGACAGGGTCTTGCCACATTGCCCAGGCTGGTCTTGAACTCCTGGGTTCTTGAACTCCTGGGTTCCAGCAATCTGCCTGCCTTGGCCTCCCAAAGTGTTGGAATTATAGGTGTGAGCCACTGCACCCCACTTTTTTTTATTTTAGAAACAGATGCTCTGTTTCCCAGAGCGATCATAGCTCACTGCATAGCTCACTGCAGCCTCGAACTCCTGGGTTCAAGCAATCCTTCCACCCCAGCCCTTGAGTAGCTAGGACTACAGGTGTGAACCACCACACTTGGCTAATTTAAAAACTCTTTTTTATAGAAACAAGGTATCGCTTTGTTGCCCAGGCTGGTCTCGAACTCCTTGACTGCAGTGATCCTCCCGCCTAGGTCTCCCAAAATGTTTGGATTATAGGCATGACCCACCGCACTCAGCATGCTCTCTTTTTGAGAGGGAACATCCACCTTCTCCTGCCCTTGGAAATTGGGGTTCTGGTCCTTGGGCCTTCAGACTTGGCCTAAATGACACCAACAGCTTTCCTGGTTTTCCAATTTACAGACAGACAGTAGATCATGAGACTTCTCAGATTCCATAATCCTGTGAGCCAGTTCCTAAAGTAAATAAATAAATAAATATGTAATTATTTCCTATACTTCCTTCAAATATAAATATATAATATATATTTTATATTTATATATTTATATATATAAATATATAATATATATTATATATTTATATATATAAATATATAATATATATTATATATTTATATATAAATATATATTATATATTTTATATTATATATTATATAAAATATATAATATATATTTTATATTATATATTTATATATATTTTATATTTTTTATATATTTTTATATATATAAAAATATATATATATTTATATATAAAATATAATATATATAATATAATATTATATATTTTTATATATAATATATAATATAATATTATATATTATTTATATATAATATATAATATTATATTATATATTATTTATATATAATATATAATATTATATTATATATTATTTATATATAATATATAATATTATATTATATATTATTTATATATAATATATAATATATTATTTATTTCTATAAAATATATAATATATTATATATTATTTATATAAACTATATAATATATTATATATAATATATTATATATTGTATATATAATATATGATATATATAATATATAATATATAATATATATAATATACTATATATTATATATATTATATATTATATATTATATATAATATATAGTATATTATATTATATATTATTTATATATATAATATATTATATATTATTTATAGATATAATATATTATATATTATTTATAGATATAATATATTATATATTATTTATAGATATAATATATTATATATTATTTATAGATATAATATATTATATATTATTTATAGATATAATATATTATATATTATTTATAGATATAATATATTATATATTATTTATAGATATAATATATTATATATTATTTATAGATATAATATATTATATATTATTTATAGATATAATATATTATATATTATTTATAGATATAATATATTATATATAAAATATATATTAAAAATAATTAGGCCGGGCACGGTGGCTCACGCCTGTAATCCCAGCACTTTGGGAGGCCGAGGCAGGGCGGATCACGAGGTCAGGAGATCGAGACCATCTTGGCTAACATGGTGAAACCCCGTCTCTACTAAAAATACAAAAAATTAGCCGGGCGCGGTGGCGGGCGCCTGTAATCCCAGCTACTCAGGAGGCTGAGGCCGGAGAATGGCGTGAACCCGGAAGGCGGAGCTTGCAGTGAGCCGAGATAGCGCCACTGCAGTCCGGCCTGGGCGAAAGAGCAAGACTCCGTCTCAAAAAAAAAAAAAAATTAAATATTTTGTATTTAAATATTTAAAATATTTAAATATATATTAAAATAATTAAATATATATGTAAATAATTAAATATATATTTAAAATATTTTAATATATATTTAAAATAATTAAATATATATTTAAAATAATTAAATATTAAAATAAATATTATATATTATGTATTTTATGTATTATATATTTTATATATAATTTTATATATATATAATTGTTTCTGTTTCTCTGGAGAGCCCTAATACAAGATCCCCACTTTTTTTTTTTGGTGTTTTTTCATTGCAAGATTTTGTTTCTAACTATATTTATTCTTTAGATGGAAGAATGTTCAGTCTCTCTTCAAATAGGGTCTTTTTATCACTTCCCTAATAGGTAATCCTGGTTCATTCCTTGCTTTCTCACCTCCTGAACATCTTGCAGACAGCTTTTACTGGGTTGTTGTTCATACAAGGGACCTAGACACTTTTCATTATAGTTTGGGACCCCTCCGTCTCCTGCTCTTTTCCAAATCCTAGGCATATACCACAAGTCCATAAGTTGCCTGGAGAAAAGCTGGGCGCCAAAGTCTGCTTACCTAAACCCAGAAGTGCCAAGTCCTTTGGAAGGGGTCTCTTTCTTTTCAGTTTTGTTTCTGCAAGAGGCAGCAGAATTTCGATGAAGTGTCTCCCTTCCAGCCTGTGACAGCTCCAGGTGGACCTAAACCACCTCAATCTCGTCCTTTTGTATTATTAACCTTACTGCCTTTGCTTTTGTTCTTCTGGCCTCTCTTGTCCCCTTCTGAGAGTGACAAAACCTAAGAGCATCTGCCTGCCACATCCTCAAGTGGTGACAGGTGGAAGTGTTTCCAACCAAACCAAGCTCCCTGGTGAGGAAGCACACTTGTGGCCCTCTCCACAAGACAGAAAGAAGTCAGGGCTTTTCCCTTTGAGATAAGTGTTACATTCCCTTATTCTAAAACATTGGGAAAAATAATAATAATGAACTGCAATGAACAATTCTGCTGTTTCTTTTTTAATTTAAATTTTTATTTTTAATTGACAAATAATAATTGTATATACTTATGGGGCACAATGTGATATATTTTTTATGTTGGTTTTTGTTTGTTTGAAACAGGGTCTCACTCTCCCACCCAGGCTGGAGTGCAGTGGCGTGAAGGCTCACTGCAGCCTTGACTTCCTGGGCTCAAGTTATGCTCCTGGCTCAGCCTCCCAAGTAGCTGGGACCACAGGTGCGTGCCATCATGCCTGGATACATACATACATACACATATATATATATATATATATATATATATATATATATATAGTAGGGATGGGGCCTTGCTATGTTGCCCAGGCAGGTCTTGAACCCCTGGGCTCAAGTGATACTCCCACCTTACCCTCACCACAAGATGCTGGGATTTCAGGCATGAACCACCATGTCTGGCTCAGTGTGGTGTTTTAATATATGTGTACACTGTGGAATGTCTGCTGTTCCTTACATGATAATTTTTAATGAAGTTCATCACTAATCTGTTACTATTTTTCCAGTCTGCGAATTGCCAGAAGCCCAGTCTGCGAATTGCCAGAAGCCCAAAGTGAGTATCATGTATGTCAGTACAATTAATCATTAGATAATGAAGAGAACACATGGCAGTGCCACCATTTTGGCACCATTAATGCCAAAAGCAGCATGGATGCGGGATGATTGGAGGAGAACTGGATATGTGCCTCTGTTAGGGTGGAACACAGTTGGTGATACAAGTTATGCACAACGTCATTTAAAATGGCTTCAAATATTCTGAAAAAAACAACATTTAGTTCTTACTGTGAATTTTGTCACGTATTGAAAACCACTGCACATAAAATTGGATGAACAATCCATCTGCATTTTAATTTTACAATGAGGTTAGCATAGAAAAATAAACTGAATATTGACAGTAATAAACTGTATTCCTAGAAAGGCTGTGTGGGCCTACTTAAAGGTTGTCTCACCAATAAAACCATAAGCATCTTTTAGGGCAAAGGTGGTTTCCTATACTTCCTTCAATTCTCCAATGCTTCTCCTCTTCTTAATTTATGAGGCAGGCATATAGGGAATTCAAGAACTATAGGGAGTTCAGTTGAATTAAAATATCTGGTTCTGCCGGGAGGTGGAGGTTGCAGTGAACCGAGATTGTGCCACTGCACTCCATCCTGGGTGACAGAGTGAGACTCCATCTCAACAACAACAACAACAACAACAATCTCGTTCTGTTATTTAAAGAAAACACTTCAACAGTTAGAAATTTTGATTGTTTGTGGCAGGCACTGTACTGAGAGTTTTACATACACTATTCCAGTTAAAACTCAAACCACTTGGGAGGACAGAATTATTATCCCCGTTGTACAGGTGACCAGAGCTCTGAGAATGAAAGGAACTTGGCTTGGCCACACAGCTATGAGTGGAAGAGCCAGAATTCAACTTAGGCCTGTCCCTGCCCAGGGTGTGCTTGAACCCCTGCATTAGCCCAGGGGTCTTCCTGGGTGGACTCTGTTCTGCGCTCTCCTTTGTTCCTGTGGTCGGGCTCCCAGATTCCATCCAGGACCAGCTCCTTTACTTACAGATGGGGGAGCCTTGGGCAAGACCACTGACCTCTCTGAGCCTCAGTTTCCCCCTCTGAAAAATTGAAATAATCAACTGTCCCTAATAAGGCTTAAGAAGGTTAATATCTTTTTTTCTTTTTTTTTTTTTTTTGAGACAGGGTCTCTGTCACCCAGGCTGGATTGTATTGGCACGATCTCAGCTCACTGCAGCCTTAATCTCCCAGGCTCAAGTGATCCTCCCACCTCAGCTTCCTGAGTAGCTGGGACTACAGGCATGTGCCACCATGCCCAGCTAATTTTTGTATTTTTTTTTTTTTGTAGAGATGGGTTTTTGCCATGTTGCCCAGGCTGAAGAAAGTTAATGTCTAAATTTATGCACAACTACTTAGAAAACAGTAAATCCCTATATCAATCTTTGTTGATAAAAACATTCCATTTTTCTCATCATTGGAACCTTGTCACGCCTCAACATTTGGGGCACCTTTACTAAATGTGACATCTTGATTTTTAAAAGTGATCTGTTTCTTTTTCATTTAATTTTCAACTAAATAATGTATTCACTTGGTTCAAACAAACAAACAAAAAAAGGTAAACAGTGAAGGATCTCCCTGTTATTGGCCCTAATAAGTAACCCAGTCAGTGGTTGCTTCTTTATGTTTCCAGGTAACTATATGTATATACAAATCCTAAAAGTAGTGTTTTTTTTCTTCCTTCATACACAAAAGTTTGCATACTACTACATACATATTTCTACACCTAGCTTTCTTCTGAAAATTCCTTTTTAAATTTATTTTTATTTTATTCTTTTTTTTTTTTTTTTTTTTTTTGAGATGGAGTCTCCCTCTGTCCCCCAGTCCGGAGTGCAGTGGCACTATCTCTCCCGGGTTCAAGCAATTTTTCTGCCTCAGCCTCCCCTGTAGCTGGGACTACAGGCGCGTGCCACCACACCCAGCTAATTTTTGTTTGTTTGTTTTTTGGTGTTTTTGTTGTTGTTTTTGTTTTGATTCAGAGTCTCGCTCTTGTCGCCCAGGCTGGAGTGCAGCGGTGCGATCTAGGCTCACCACAACCTCCACTTTCCGAGTTCAAGTGATTCTCCTGCCTCAGCCTCCTGAGTAGCTGGGACTACAGGCATGTGTCACCATGCCCAACTAATTTTTGTATAATTTTTAGTGGAGACAAGGTTTCACCATGTTGGCCAGGCTGGTCTTGAACTCCTGACCTTGTGATCCCCCTGCCTTGGCCTCCAAAGTGCTGGGATTACAGGTGTCAGCCATCACGCCTGGCTATTTTATTCTATTTTTTTAGAGACAGGGTCTCACTATGTTGCCCAGGCTGCTCTTGAACTCCCAGGCTCAAGCGATCCCCCTGCCTTGGCCTCTAAGTGCTGGAATTACAGGCATGAGCCACCATGCCTGGCCCTGAAGTTTTCTTAAAGGTCTTTCTACATAAAAACTCCCCTGTTCTGTTTTAACAACCATGATTTATTTAACCAGTTCCCTATGAATAGACAGGTCATTTCCAATATTTCAGTTTTGATTTGTTGATTTCTTAAAGAGCTGAAATAAATGAAAACACCAACTTTTTCTTCATTATGAACATAGTTTAGACTATTTACTAGACAATAATGTCTGCTTGAATCTCAGATTCAGTAAATCTGTTTTAAAATGGACAGGGATCTGTTGGTACCAAGTGAAAGAATTGCCCCACTCCCAAGGGTTGACTCACATTAACTTGGCTTTTTTAAATTTTATTTTATTTTATTCTATTTTGAAATGGAGTTTCGCTCTTGCTGCCCAGACTAGAGTGCAATGGCGCAGTCTCAGCTCACTGCAGCCTCCACCTTCTGGTTTCAAGCGATTCTCCAGCCTCAGCCTCCCCAGTAGCTGGGATTACAGGCACCAGCCACCACGCCTGGCTAATTTTTTGTGTGTGTTTTCAGTAGAGACGGGGTTTTGCCATGTTGGCCAAGCTGTTCTTGAACTCCTGGCCTCAGGTGATCCGCCTGCCTCGGCCTCCCAAAGTGCTGGGATTACAGGCGTGAGCCACCGCGCCCGGCCTAACTTGGCTTTTTGTTCCATGTGTTGGTTTCATCACCCTCTCAGTGTCCCTACAGTCCCAAGGGCAGCAGGCAGTGTTGCAGAGGTCACAGGGCTCCACAGGTAGTGTGAGCAGCAGATCTCTGTGGACTATCACCTCCTCTGACATAGGCACTATGCTCCTTTATATACTGCCAGAAAGTATGTTAACATTTATAGCCAGGCATGATGGCTCACGCCTGTAATCCCAGCACCTTGGGAAGCCGAAGCAGGTGGATCACAAGGTCAGGAGTTCAAGACCAGCCTGGCCAACATGGTGAAACCCTGTCTCTACTAAAAATACAAAAAATTAGCCGGGTGTGGTGGAACACTCCTGTAATCCCAGCTACTCAGGAGGCTGAGGCAGGAGAATTGCTTGAACCCAGGAGAAGGAGGTTGCAGTGAGCCAAGATCATGCCATTGCACTCCAGCCTGGGCAACAGAGAAAGACTCCGTTTTGAAAATAAATAAGTAAACAAACAAACATTTGTACCAGGAGCAGCGCTGGTGGGCATGGGTCTGGTAGGAGGGAGCTAAATGGAGTGTCCCATCAGTGTGCTTAGAGGCAAGAGAGGAATCCAGAGCCCTGACTAAGAGCTGCCAGGGCAGGATTCCTGGCTCATGAATTTGTGAATCAACACTTGGTTGGGCAGCTGGAATGTGGTGGGAATGAGAAAGAGGCAAGTTCCAGGAAGAGGTTCTCCTGTTCAGAACAAGGGCTAGCTGTGGCTGGTGGACTGACAGGGCAAAGGGGAGCCATGTGGGGGCTCCTGGACCTCAGGAAGGAGGCTGGGGTCTTAGGACTATGGCTGGGGCTAAAAGAGCAGCCCCGGCCCTGAGAGGAGGCCACAGGGACACCAAGGCCAGGGGCTGACAGGGGGAGGGGATATCTCAAAAGTTGTTGGAAATGCCAGATATGGCTCATCCAGTGCCGGATCTTGCTGGGCACCTGCCAGCTGCTAAGGATTGTGAGGCCATGGCTGAAGCTGGGAGGGAGCGGAACAGGAGGAAGCAAATTAGCTGCCGGACACAGTTTAACCAAGGGCTCCTTGACCTCTCCTGGGGCCAGTGGGGGTGGGGCCTGGCTCCCAGGCCCAGCTCTGAGCCTGTGGCCTCCCTCCTTCTTCCAGGCCCATCTTCCCTTGGCCTGAGTGACACGGCACTGACCTGCTCCTGCTCTTACTGCTCTGGCTGCCCCCTACAGTTCCACTCCTGGGCATCTCTTCCCTCCTTTAACTGATGGCTCCATCTTAAAGAGAGTAGAAGTGACTTCACCCACCCTATGGCCTAGAGGCCCAAACATGAAGCTCCTGGGCAACAGGATTTGGTTTTATTAAAGAGCTGCCAAGTTCCTTTGCCTTGATGTGAGTATGGGGATCAGGCGGCCTGGCTAAGCTGGTCAGAGGGAGCATTTCCAGAGGTCAGAGCACAGTCTCCATGGAAACCAGGGCTCTGCATACCCAGGAGGACCCAGGGACAGCAGGAGGACCAGTGAGAAAGGTGGAGTGCTGAGGAGAGAACACTGGGGTGCAGGCAGGGCCATCAGGTTGAAACCCACCCCCACTTCCCCAACTCCTACACAGAGTCCCTCCTCCACCCAGCTGGGAGAACCAGAGCTCAGCCTACAGGGAACAGACAGGGCTCCTTTCATCCTGCAGCAGATGCTGTGCCTCCTACGCCCCTCCTGGGCCTCAGGAAGGGGGCTGGGGGTTCTAGGGCTATGGCTGGGGCTGAAAGAGCAGCCCCGGCCCTGAGAGGACCCACAGGGACACCAAGGCTGGGGGCTGCCTGTGCCACTTAGCACTCTCATCCCCACACCTCTGCAGCTTCTCACTGTGGGACCCTGGGTTTCTGCCCTGGGGTTTCTCTGGCCTTTGGAGCACACTTGGCCAGAAGTGCCAGAAAGTTTGAGGATCAGCCTTTAACCGATGACAGCTGGAGTTGGTGACCAACTGCTCCAGTTTCCTTGCCTTTTGGGTGGGACCTCCCTGTGGCAGGTTCTGCGCAGTCTCCCACGGGTTCCCCACAGGACTGACCCACAGTGATGACCTGCTCGGCAGCCACCATGGCTTTCTTCTTTTCCCTGGATCACCTCTGAAATAAATGATTTGTACTTAAATGTTTGCCTCAGGATCAGCTTCTGGAGGAACCCAAACTGAGAATCCCCTCTCTCTCCCTCACATTCGCATCCAATCTGCCTGATTCTGCTGATTCTACCTCCTTAAAAAGCCCTCAAGGCCAGGTGTGGTGGCTCATGCCTGTAATGCTACCACTCTGGGAAGCCGAGGTGGGAGGATCACTTGAGCCCAGGAGTTCAAGACCAGCCTGGGCAACACGGCAAAAGCCTATCTCTACCAAAAAAATTAAAAAAATAAAAAAATAAAAATTAGCCAGGCATGGTGGCATGCATCTGTAGTCCCAGCTACTTCTCGGGAGGCTGAGGTGGGAGGATCACCAGAGCCCGGGAGGCAGAGGTTGCAGTGAGCAGAGATTGTGACACTGCACTCCAGCCTGGGCAACAGAACCAGACCCCCATCTCAAAAGAAAAGTTCTCAAATCCACCTTCTAATCATCTCCCATATATCACTCCTCCTCCATCCCCACTGCCCTGGCCACCTGCCTGGACTACTGGCCCAGCCTCCTCACCGACCCACTGCCTCTGCACATCAGCCAGCATAAGTCAGCTTTCTAAAACACACCTCTGGGCCTCTCCCCAGGTCCCACCCTGCTTAAATCCTACCATGGTTCCCATTGCCCTCAGGATAAACCAAGCTTCCCAGCCTGGCATCGAGACCCTGAAAGGACTGGTCCCTGCCCTCTCTACAGCTCTCTTATGCCACTCCCCTCTTCCACTGGACTGCCCAGTAGGACTGAACTTCTTGAGGTTCTCAGAGTTGGCCATGATCAACCCCACCTCCTGGTCTTCACAAGCTGTCCCCTCTTGTAAACAGGAACATCTTCCTCCTACTTTACCCAAACAATTCTAGTTGTTCTTGAACACAGCCTAAGACACAACTTGTGCCTTAACCACCCCTGTTCTCCCTGCTCTAGGGCTGGGTGGGCTGGGGGTCCCTCAGAGCTCCTATGTATCTTCATGTCTCTCTGGCCCAATGCCCACCAGGTTCTGGTCTGTTCTCCTCCACACTGGGCATTTCTGAAGGACACTAGCCATGAACAACTCATCTTTTTTCTTCCCCGGGCCTAGGCACATAGCAGGTGTCAGAGAATAAATGAGTGATGATGATGACTTTAAATCTCCAAAGAATTATGCCCTGGAAAAACTCCTTGGCTGGTGGAGGAGAAGTGTGAAGAAAAACAACACCAGGCCAGAGTGATCAGGGTGTTACAAAGGCCAACACTTGGACTTGGGAGCCCAGAGGAGGCCTCAGCCCTGACTGGCAGAGAGGTAGCCAGAGAAGGCTTTGGAGGGGAGGTGGCTCCTCTGTGTGCTGGCCCTGCCCATCCTCTTTGTCTTTGCAGAGTGTGCTAGGGAGCTGGGGAGTCAGGAGGGAAATAGAAAGCAGCATAGATCCCACACAATCTCACCCCTTCCTTTTCCTCAAAGGTGACCTCTACCCTGGTGGTCATTCTTACACATGCCTTTGTATGATTTCTACATTATTGTATAGAAATATACAATAATTAAAACTTTATGTGCATAGTCTCATACTGTGTGTATCCTATATATTTCTTTTTTGGTCACATTATGCTTGTGTGATTTTAGCCTTCTTGATGTGGTTGCTCAAGTTTATTTTTTGTCTGCTATATAGTATTCCATTTAAGAACATACAGTCACTTTTACTGTTAGAATATAATTCATTCCTATAATCCCAGCACTTTGGGAGGCCAAGGCAGGTGGATCACGAGGTCAAGAGATCAAGACCATCCTGGCCAACATGGTGAAACCCCATCTCTACTAAAAATACAAAAATTAGCTGGGCACGGTGGCGCGTGCCTGCAGTTCCAGCTACTTGGGAGGCTGAGGCAGGAGAATCGCTTGAATCCAGGAGGCAGAGGTTGCAGTGAGCCGAGATTGTGCCACTGCACTCCAGCCTGGTGACAGAGCGAGACTCTGACAAAAAAAAAAAAAAAGAATATAATTTATTTCTGATAACAAATTTGTGAATAGTGAAAGCTTATATTCCCAGAAATTTAAAAAGGAAAAATGTGTCACCAGCTCATCCTAAGACCCTAATTTTCCCCAAATGCCATTAAAATTTTTAAAACTATTAACACTCAGCAATGATTTCTGCACAGTATAAAACTACACTATCAAATATGATATCTGTTAGTCACATAAGGCTATTTACATTTAAACGTAAATTAATTTGGAGTTAAAAATTCCATTCCTCCGTTGCCCTAGACACATTTCTACATGTGGCCAGAGGCTACCCTACTGGACAGCAGATATAGGATATTTCCATCATCACCAAAAGTTCTAAAGCATTTAAAATACTGACTACTTCATTATCTAATAATGAATGTGCTGCATTTTCTCACTCACAGAAGCGCTCCCACATATGGTGGGTGAGGATGAGTCTCACATCTCTCACATAAGCCAAGCTTACATCTTTCACTGTCCAGCCCTCCCAATGAGCTTTGTTACATCCACATTTTCTTCTAATAATAAATAGGCTTTTCTAGGTCTTTCAGGCTCAACTACTTTCTTCTCAGGCCTTTCCACTTTCTTAGAAGACAACTATACTTAATAATGAAGGGAAGAGGCTGGCATGGTGGCTAACGCCTGTAATCTCAGCACTTTAGGAGGCTGAAGCGGGTGGATCGCCTGAGGTCAGGAGTTTGAGACTAGCCTGGCCAACATGGTGAAACCCCGTCTCTACTAAAAATACAAAAATTAGCCGACGTGGTGGTGGGCACCTGTAATCCCAGCTACTTGGGAGGCTGAGGCAGGAGAATCACTTCAACCCAGGAGGCGGAGGTTGCAGTGAGCCGAGATCATGCCACTGCACTCCAGCCTGGGCAACAGAGACAGACTCCATCTCAAAAAATAAATAAATAAATAAATAAATAAAAATAAAAAGATACAGTGCTGTGATGTACATCTTTATACATGTGCAGGGGTTTCTCCTGATTATATGCCTTGAAGTGGAATGGTTCAGTTTTAAGCTATGCATTTTCACTTTTCCTAGATATTGACAGATTGTTCTTCAACTTGGTTGTGTTCCCAGCAGTATGTAAAAATTCCTGCCAATTCAAACAAAGTGCGTTTGGTTTCAACCAAATAATTGGTTTCAACGTTTGCTGAATAACCAATTATTGGTTGAAGCCAAGCCAATTTTGTTTTAATTGAGTAGAATCAGCAGAATCAGGAGCACTTCTGTATGTGAGAAAACGCAGCACATTCAGTGTTAGATAATGAAGTAGTCAGTGTTTTAAATGCTTTAGAACTTCCTGTGATGACGGAAATATCCTATATCTGCTGTCCAGTAGGGTACCCTCTGGCCACATGTAGAAGTGTGTCTAGGGCAATGGAGGAATGGAATTGGTTTCAACCAAACCAATTATCAAACTTTAAAAAGTTTGATAATCAGATATGCATGAAATGGTATCATTTCATTTGGTTTTAATTTAGATTTCCCTGGTTGATAGTCAGGTTGAACATATTTTCTTATGTGTATTGGCCATAATTGCTTTCTTTTCTGTGAAATGCCTGTTCATGTCTTTCAATCATTTTTCTGTTAGGTTGTTTAGCTTTTTCCTATTGACGTATAGGAGTTATTTTTATATACTGGATAATAATCCTTTGTTACATGCATTGCAATAATCTCCAGTCGGTAGTCTGTCTTCTTGCTTTTTTCCTTTTTTAGTGTTTTTGTACAAACATAACTTTTTATTACTCTGAGCTTATTAATATTTTCCTTTACAATTTTCTTTGTTTTTGCTGTTGTTGTTTAAAAAATTGTTCCTTAATCCTGGCAGATAGTGGAAATCCAACATTTGCTGAATAAAAGGAGAATAAGGAGAATGAGTGCCTTCCCCAGGGAGAACGTGCAGAGTGAGCAAGAAAAGGGTGGGGCAGAACCCTGGGGAGGACAGAGACAGAGCTACCTAGGGAAGAGTGTGAAGTGGAGGAAGAACAAGGAAGGGAGCTGTACAGCCCACATGGGGAATTTTGAAAGTGTCCGGTGGAGTGACTAAGATGTGTGCATTGCTTCAGAGACATGGAGGTCACTGGATACTTGGCAGGGCCGTCTTGTAGTTGCTACAGGAGCTGAGACCGGATAGGTGGGCAGGGCACTGCAGAGAAGAGTCCAAGAATTGTCACCTCTCTCAAGAACATTGACAGTGAAGGGAAGACCTGTCCTGTCTTGGGGCCTCAGTGTACTTTCTGCCTAGGATTCTCTTCCCCTTACCTTCACCTGGCTAAGTCTAACTCCTTCTCCTGGTTCAGCTTAAATGTCTCTTCCTCTGGGAAGCCTTCCCAGATCTCTCAGTTTAAATTAGATGGCCTCTTTCCCCATGACAGTCTTTCATCCAGTTCTTGACTTTTCCTTCTTAGCAGTTAACACAATATGCAACTATGTATGAAATTTGTGTGACTATTTGTTTGATGTCCGTGTTTCCCACTAGATTACCAACTCCACAAGGCCTGCACTGTCTGGAATGTTGTTCCAGTGCACCCTCAGTGCCTAGCACACAACCTGGCACAGTAATTGTTGAATAAAAAGCCACAATGGGGGCTGAGAGGAGGAGCTGGTTTGTATCTGGGGACAGCAGATCCAGGAGGTTTCAGAGATGAGGGAGTCAGAGGTCCCTGTCCACCAGCCAGATTTTAGGCGATAAAAGGGAAAAAGGGAAGGAGAGTGACAGTTAGGAGGAACACTGACATTGATGAGACACCAACTGTGTACCAGGCACTGTCCTGACACCATCCTGAGCATCACTCCCATCCCCACTCCCATCTTTAGTGTGATGTCCCACTAGCTGAGTGACCCAGAGCAAGCTAATCTCCCTGAGCCTCAGTTTCCTCATCTGTAAAATGGACTGGTAACACCAAGCTCCTGGGATTGTTATGAAGAGGAGGAAGCAGGGTATGGTGTGGAAAGTGTTACAAACCCACGCTTCAGGGGTACTTGGATTCTGGAGTCAGACCACCTGGCTTCAAATCTCAGGTCTGCCACTTACCAGCTGTGTGACCTTGAACAAGTCACTTCATTTCTGTGCCTCAGTTTCCCTGCCTGTAAAATATGAGTAATAATACCTCCAGAATTGCTATGAGGATTAAATGAGGTATGCATTAGAACACCTTAGCACAGTGCTTGGCACATAGTAGGTGCTCAAGGAAATAATAATTAAAATTATTCCTCCCTCCTCCCCACTATCCCAGAACTGCAGAATGTCAGAGCTGGAAAGATGGGAGAAATCACCATTTGATACCCAGCCCCCCCCCACACACATATCAATACAAAGAGGGAAACTGAGGCCAGGGAAAGGTAAAGTCGTGAAGGATTCTGGACTGGAGTCCACCGGTCCCAGGTCCCAGACCAGGAGCGGTCCCCAGAGGCCTGCAGCCTCTTCCAGACATCACCTCCCCGTCATCCCACGAGGGCGGGCCGCTGGGCGGGACTCCAGCGGTGCGGAGGCCGCTTGGCCACAGCCCCTCCCTGCCGCTTTGCTCTGGCTCCTCTGGGTTCCAGGGACGCTGGGGCCGGAGCTGCTGCCGCCGTCTACACGGTCCCCTCATTTGACGGGTTCGCCTCCTAGCAGCGCCTGGGCGAGTGACATCTGGGCCGGACCAGCTGGTGCTGCGCGGCGCAGGTAAGGGCGTGCGCGGGCAGGGACAGGGGTAAGGGGTGCCGGGGCGCGGGGATACAGGGAGGCCTGCCCACTCCAGGGTCGCGGCCAGTCAGGGCGGGTGCCGGGGGTGAGTCCCTGCATATGTGTGTAGTGTGGGCAATGTGTAAATGATTACTGTGAGCGCGATCTGCACTCCAGCCTGGGCGACAGAGCAAGACTCCGTCTAAAAAAAAAAAGAAATTACTGTGAGCAATGGGTTAATGGGTTGTATGCGGTTAGTGTGCGGTATGTGCAAGGTGTGACCCATGGATCACAGTGTGTGTCTGCCTGCAAGAAGTGTGCATTGCAACTCTCTATAGCTCTGAGTGACTGTGCTGGGGTAACACAGGGGTCCACGGTGCATGTACACTCTGTGGCGGGAGCCATGGCAGGGTGGTGCACTGGGTGTGCGTTGTGTGAATTGTGAGGTGTGTGTTTTGTGTGGCACATCCGTGGCCCCTGTGGTGTGCTGAGCTGGGTGATGGAAGGTGGGGCACATTTGTGCAGGGGTGACACTGACAGAATGTTTTCCGTGGTGGCTCTGCCTTTTCCACCCAGTGCCCGGGAGGGCTTGGGAGAGTGAAAGCTCACCCGGATCTGGGTGGAGAAAGTATGACAGGTCCCAGGCTCACCCTCTCACACATACAAACACATGCACATACAAGAGAAGCTGCTCCGAAATCTCATTTTTTTATCTTCCAAAATTCCTGTGGATTTTGCATTCTTCTATAATATTTCTGCATATAAAAACACTGTTCTGATAAATTACCATCCAATGAGTTGGCTCAAGTCTTGGAGGTAAGCTGGGTTTATCTTGTGGTGGGAATCCCCTGCCTGTCTCCCAAACTGAGATGTAAGAACTTGGACTCAGCAGGAGTGAGGCGGTGATGTTGGGTATGTGGTGTGTGCTGCAGGGCGGGGTGGGGGGGAGTTGTTTGGGTCACTCCTGGGGCAGGGGCAGGAGAGCTGGGCTTCTGAGGAGGAACCCTGACCATCAGTGAATTTCTTGCCTCTTCTCCACTGCCTGGGCAGGAAGGGGCTGCAGGACCCTGGGGACCACGAAGAAGGGGGTTCCCCTAGCAGGCTGCCTCCTGAGACAGTTAGGTGTTTGTGTCATCCAAGCTTGGTTCAAATTTGATTTAAGCAAACGCAGAAATATTAGAGAGGCTTCAAAAGGGCTCTGGCACTTTATCTGCAGAACTTTGGGCAAAACCTCACTGTGTCTCAGTTTCTTCCTTTGTAAAATGTAGATGTGGATAGTATTTGCCTCATAGGTTATTTTTAGGACTGACTGAGTGCCTGGATATTAAGTGGCTGGCACAATCTCTGATACATAGAAATCCTAACAGCTGGTGACAAAACTATGATGATAGTAATGGTGACCCCCACACAACTGGGTCCCTGCCCACCCCAGGAACTCTCAGTTTTCACAGAGCCAGTGATTCCAATAAGCTGTGTGGGTAGGAATCAGAGAGTCCCTATTTGAGTATCTCTGAGGGATCCTTTCCCATTCCCAGACTGAATCCTTGTTGAATTCTCAGTGACCACCTGCTTCCTGGGAAGATGCAGTCTGGGAGAGGACAATGCAGGTCTCTGTCAAAGCCTGGGATGGAGCGTGGGAGAGAGGTTGGGGGAGAAATGCAGGGGCAGCCATGGGCTTGGATGGAGGCTTCTCAGTCCTGACAAACCCTGGAGGAACCGAAAAATGCTGGCCCTGTGTATGTGTGTGTTTGGGAACTGGCAGGGGCAGGAGCCTGGGTTGCCCTCTGCCTGGAATGAGGAAAGTCCAGTACAGGATCAGGAATATTAGTCCCTGGACCAAGACAGGCCCTGAGAGCTGAAAGGGAGGCTGTGAGGTCAGCATTGAGCTGCAAGCAGAAGTGGACCAGGAGGCTCCCCGCAGGCTGAGCCTTGTTTCTGGGGCTAAAACTTCTGCATTGGCAGAGCAAGTGCCCCTGTTCCTGTTGACTTCATTGAGTCAGTTTAGAGGAGTTGCCCGGAGGCCTTGGAGGACAAGGGGACATAAAAGGCAGTGTTGGGAGCTGTGGAAACATCTGGGGAGGGAACCTAAATATATCTCATGGTGACGGGGTGCCATGATGGGCCAGTGCAACCTCGGGCACCACAGAGGCAAGCCACTGTCCCCACTGTCCCTAACAGGGAGTACTGCTGCCCCAGAGGCCCTGAGAGCTTCTCTGGAAGGTCTGGACAGAGCCCTCCTGGGGAGAAGGAGGCCTGGCCCAGCCCTGACTTTCTGAGTGATAAGGCCAGCTGTCTTCTTAGCTGTCAGGGAGGTGGGACCAAGTGATGCTGTCGTCACTTCTGGCCCTGATTTCCTTTAATCCCCAATTCTGGCTATAATTGTTTATAATTCCACACCCCTAGCCCTAAGAGTCTATAATTACTCAAACATTCTAGAAGTCTACAATTCGAACTCCAACTTTCTACACTCCAAAGCTGTAACATTCCCCAATTCTGGCTCCAATGTTGGAGGATTCTGGCCCTGGCTTTGGCAGTCTGACTCTTGTAAACTTATAAACTCCCAAGGAAGAGGTTACTTCAGCAGAATCATGTGAGAAGCCCCAGAAAAGGTCTCCTCCCTGCCTAAGCCAGCCTGGAGTAGAGGCAGGTGCCTGGTAAAATGGCCATATGCTCTCTGGGGTGGATGACAGTGAACCCAGAGGCCCCTCCTCATCAGAGCAGCAGAGTTGCTGGGAGTACCTCACAGCTCTCAGGGGACGGTGGCCCTAGAGCAGAGAAAGGTTCAGATCTTGGATTGTAGGCACCCCTCAGGATGAGGGAATTGTGGAGTCACTGGGCACCTTGCAAGGCCATCAAAAGGAAGGAGAGAGAGAACAAGAAATGGGGCTGAAGAGACCTCAAAGGCAAACCTCATTCTCTCTGAGAGACCTCAGGTTGTAGAAAAGACTCCTGTGGAGCCAGCAGGAGCAGCATCGTTGATGCACAGCCATGTCTGAACTCAGCATAGGCTGGGGGGTGGAGAGCTCCAAAATTCACAGTGATTAGCTTAAAACCTTGCCTTGAGCTGGCGACAAGCAGGACTGGTAGCTGACTGAGCAAGCTGGGGACAATCCTCCCATAGAAACCTTTGCCTACTTTCTGTGAGTATTCTGACCAGGACTTATGTGGGATGGCTGAAGAGGGTGAGCCAGACAAACCATCTGTGTTCTTGGGGAAACCTGTTAGCTTCTCTGGGAGGGGCAAAGGAAGGGCTTGGGCATCCAAGGACTCAGCTCTTCCTCTCCCATCTCTTTCCTGGTTATGAAAGCTCTTCACATGCAACTTGCTGCTGAGCTAAGCTAGAACACTATGTAAGCTGGCTGGAAGTGGGTCCATGCATGTGATGGTGCCTGCGTGCCTGCCGTGGGTGGTGTGTTCCCAAGTGTGGCAGGTGCCAGGGCACGTGTGCATATGTATGTGTGAACCTGTGTGAGTTATGTGGAGCTGTTTCCGGGGCTGGGTGTGCTGTGCATGCACCAGTGCAGAATTGCACCCACAGGCATGTGCTCCTTACAACTCTGTTAGGTCTCTGTGGCCTCTCTGTGGTTTCCTATGATGGAAGGCAAACAGCAGACCCCAGACTCTGGACAGTATGAGGGGCTCAGGCTGCAGAGAGGGAAAACCTCTGTGGCTCAGCAAGAAGGCCTAGCCCTGGCCAGACATGGTGGCTCACGTTTGTGATCCCAAAACTTTGGGAGGCTGAGGGAGGAGGATCGATTGAGACCAGGAGTTCGATACCAGCCTGTGCAAACTAGAAAGGCCCTGTCTCTACAAAAAAAAATACAAATTTAGCCAGGCGTAGTAGCTTATGCCTGTAGTGCCAACTACTTGGGAGGCTGAGGAGGATCATTTGAGCCCAGGAGGTCAAGGCTGTAGTGAGCTGTGTGTTTGCACCACTGCACTCCAGTCTGGGTGACAGAGTGAGACCCTGTCTGGAAAAAAAAGATGTCCAGTCTCCTCCTGTCCAAGGAGACCACCAACCATGCTTCCTGCAAGCTTGAAGTGGGCCAACTCTTTTTAGGATCTGATCTGAATCCCAGAGGGACCACATCTCCTCCCACGGACCAGGGCTAGGCAGCCTCCTGTTTCAGTCAAGAGGGCTGAAGGTGGTGTTTTCCCTCCTGACTCCTGGGAGCAGCAAGGGGCCAATGGGCGGTGGCCAGGGATGTGCACGAGACCATTCCTGCCTGCCAGGGGCCTCATTACAGGCTACAGAGACCCTTCTCAGCCCTTGACTCATGTGGATCGGAACAGCTCCATTCCACAGCTGAGAAAACCAAGGTTCAGGAAGGGGTGAGACCCACCCAAGGGAGTAGCCAGTACTGAACTGTGAGCCCAGCCCAGAGCCAGGAAGGAAGACACTAGGACTGAGCTAGCAGTGGCTGCCTGGCGGCAGGGCCTCGGGGGTAGGACGTGAAGGTCAGCCTGGCCAGCTAGTGGTGAGCATCACCCAGCAAGGGCATGTGGGGTGTAAACTGTAAAGCACCTGATTTATTGTAAAGGACCCAGGGGCTTCCTGCTGGTGACTGAGTGCAGGAGGGTGGCTGTGGAGGGGTCAGTGCCCACAGGCAACGGAGGGTCTAAGGGGCTTCAACCTTGGGCACTCCTCCCCTCCCCGTGAGGAGCCTACACCCTGGGCTGAGCTGGGAGAGCCTGCGCCTGAAAGTTAGCCCCTAAGGCTTCCTCCTCATCTTATGTAACTGCTTTTATTCCTGGGGAAAATCAAGAGCCTGGGAACCCCACAAATCTCCCGTGACATCTGGGACAGTTTGAAGATTATGATAAGGATTTCGGAGCCTGGGAAAATAAGGCCTGTGGACTAGGGGTTTGCGGGGCTCCCCAGGAGCAGCATGTGTGTGGAGCACATGCAGAGGCCCGGGCCTGGGCAAACAGGTATGTGAACAGGTGTACACACTCCAGAGCCACTCACAGAAACACACACACACATACTTAGGCACAATTCCAAACACCTGTGCCTTGTGAATGCATGCGCATCTTCCAGCACAGGTACACATGGCTGACAAGCCCCCAGGCAGACACTGTGCAACCAGCATTCATGTCCTCCCCCAGCCTGGGGGCCTGACTGGGGTTGGTGGCTCTCAAGGCTACCTCAGGGCTATGCCTCTGCCTCCCGGAACAAGCTTTCCCAGGCCTCCTTCCCAGCCTTGTCTCTTTCCCGTCTCTCCCCCCACACCTTCTTACCACAAGGACAGAGGAGGGGCCCTTCCTGTCAGCTGGCTGGGAGCAGAGGTGGCTTTGTCTTTTCGGAAGAACTGGTTCTGTGGAATTTGTGCTTATTTCCCATCAAGGATCAAGGACCTGCTCTGGGGCTACCTCAGGGCCCCACAGGATGAGGGGCTGGTTTTCAGATGAGTTTTCTGCTTGCCTGTCATCTGGATAGTGTCTAAAAATTTGCAAACTGCCTTCTTGTCAGTGTCTTGCTCATTCTTCATGACACTCCTGATATGTAAGTGCCTTCACTTCCTCTATTTGGCAGATGAGGGAGCTGAGGCCAGAGAGGGATGGGACTGCCTGGACTGCCTGAGGTCACACAGCAAGCTGAGGCAGGGTTGACCAAAACTCTCATGAGCTGGGGTTGCAAGGAAAATGCCTTCAGCTTCCTGGGGCTTGGGGTAGGAGAATTTGGCTGTCAGAGCCTGGAGGGTGGGGCAGGCTGGCACTACCAGGTGGGCCTGCCACAGAAACACCTCACACTCCTTTACCAGGAGCTGACGGGGGGCACAGCCAGCCCCTCACAGGCCAGCACTGTGCTGGGAGGCTCACCCCTGAACCTACCTTTGTGGACATGCCAAGAGAGGGCAGGAGAGGGAGCTCTGCCTTGCTGTGTGACCCAGGCAAGTCCCGACCCTCTCTGGGTCCAGCGCCCTCTCGCCTACTGGGATATTGGGATTGGGGATTGGTTGAGGGATGTGCTCCCTCTCTGGACCACAGAGGAAGCAGAGAGCTTCCCCAGGGCTGGGAGTGGGGCACAAGCTCGGGATGCTCCCTGCCAAAGCGTTGGTGGCCCTGAGTTGCTGCCTGTGCCCAGGGAGTCCCAGTCTTCGCACTAGCCTGCTGCTGAGATCCACTGAGGCAGAGCCTGGCACAGAGTGGGGGCTTGGGGCCTGGGGGAGGGTCTCCTCCAGGCTAGGTGGCTGGGAGAGGGTGATCTGGCAAATCTAGATGGGGCCTGTCCACCTGTCCGAGGCTGCAGCCCCCTAGCTCTCCGCCCCTTACCCTCCTTTATGTTTCTATATCGCTGCTCTTATCACTATCTGGCCTGCTATATATTTACTCATTAACCAAAAGAAACTAATCTCCCCTGCTAGACTACAGGTGTCTCAAGGGCAGGACTTTGTTTTTTGACCTCAAGTGCGTTGAACATTACCCGAACAGAGTAGGTGGCCAATAAGTACCTGTAAGAAAGAAGAGGAGGAGGAGGAAGCAGGAGAGTCATCTTACAGACGGGGAGGGCCCACCATGGGCCCAGGTAGAGCCGCCCGGGCTGCCTTCTCCTCATCAAGCCCAAGCTCAAGGATGGATTGGCGCTGGGGAGGGGAGGATTGCCTGGGGTCAGCCTTTCCCCCCCGGCATCACCCTCCATCTTCGGTGCTGTAGCAGGACGAGCCGCGGACAAAACCCTTCAGACACTGAGATAGTGAAGGGAGTGGCTTTAATCAGCTGGGAGCATCGGCAGGCTAGCATCTTAAAATCTGAGCTCGTCAGGTGCTCAACTTCTGTCCCTTTTAAGGGCTCACAGCTCTAAGGGGGTCCACGTGAGAGGGTCGTGATCAACTGAACAAGCCAGGGGGTACATGATAGGGACTGCGAGCACCGGTGGTCAGAGTGAAACAGAACAGAACGGGAGGTTTCACAATGTCCTTCCATACAATCTCTGGAATCTATAGATAACAACAGCTGCTAGGTCAGGGGTCGAATTTTAACTACCAGGCTTAGGTCAGGCAGGCCCAGGCCTGGTTTCGGGTCTGGTTCCTTGGTTTCGGGTCTGGTTCCTTGGTTTCAGGTCTGGTTTTTAGGCGCCGGGCTACCTGCCTTTAGTTTCGCTTCTCTTTCCTTTTCCGAGTATAAAACAGTATGAGAGGGTCTCTCTCCTCCCTCAGTGCCATCCTCATCCCTGGGTGGGAGTTGTCTGGATCCATAGGGTTGGAGCCACAGATAACAGAGCCATTAATCTCGGGGTCTCAGCCTCTCTTAACGGACCTTCCAGGCACTGCTGAGAAAACCAGGTTAATGGTTTCCTGCGGCAGCAATGAGCAGAAGCAGGGCCATCTCCAGACTCCAGAGAAGCCAGGAGAGGGCTGGGGTGATAATGGGGAGGAGGATAAAAAACAGCCACCCAATGCGTGCCTTCCCTGTGCCAGGCCCTTGTCCTGAAATGTTATCTCACTCCATCCTCCCAACAGTCCCTTGGGCTAAATTGGTGATGCTGCTTGTTTGAGTGAGCAAACAGAGGGTGAATGAAGTGACTTGCGGGCAGCTGGGTAGAGGATGAGTCAGCATTGGTGTAAAGGACTGGAGCTTCAGGGTTCTCGGGATTCGAGTCCTGGCCCTGCTGCTTGCCAGCTCTGTGCTGTGGCAAGTTACTTCCTCTCCCCAGGTCTCTCGGTTTCCTCATCTGCTGCCTCTCCAGACTTCTGCCAGAACATTGCACGCGACAGTTTCAGGCACAGAACTGACTGGCAGCAGGGGCTGCTCCACGAGTGGGAATTTGCTCCAGCACTTCACGGACTGCAAGCGAGGCACTTGCTAAC
The DNA here is from genome assembly GCF_000001405.40 of Homo sapiens. Taxonomy (NCBI): domain Eukaryota; kingdom Metazoa; phylum Chordata; class Mammalia; order Primates; family Hominidae; genus Homo; species Homo sapiens. The sequence goes on from NC_000011.10 coordinate 73,272,461, forward strand.
TCTTGGGTGAGTTTTCTGGGTCCATGCCTGGAAGGGCTTGCGCCCCTCAGCTCCCCTAGGAGCTTCCTGAGTAACTGCAGTCCACTTGCAGCCACCGAGGCTCATCACAGGCAAGAGTGGCAGTAGGGCAGGCACTGGGGTCCTCCTCCTTCCTCCGCCTGGCTATGCCTGGAGCCTGCAGACTGCACAGCATGGAGGGACGAGGCACCGCAGGACGGGGTCAGTGGGGGCGGGGAGGAGATGGACACATTGGTGCTGCGCCGTGCCTTGCTGGAGAAGTGGAATAGCTCAGTCAGGATTCGGAGCCACAAAGGTCTTGGTTGGAGTGCAAATGGCTGGCAAGGGCACTTTTCCTCTCTGGGCCTCAATTTCTTACTCTCTAAAATGGGGGCAACCGTGGTCTCTCCCTGCGTATGTGAACACTGCTAAGTGTAGTATCTGGAGAGGGGTCCTCACGGAGGAGGCTGGGCCCTGCCCTCAGAGCTCCCCAGGAACTTTGGTTGAGGGAATGAGTAGGAAGGATTAGTGATCAAATAATTGTCCACAGAGGAGGCCCTTGGGAAGCCTCTCACCTCTGCCATTCCAGCTAAATCTTAAGACAGCCTGGAGCTGGCCCCGTGAGAGTGGTTTGGAAAAAAAAAAAAAAAAAGTCCCTGAGTCCAGGTGTGACTTGTTAAGGGTGAAAGGGCCTATCTGGGAGAGCTGGGTTAAAACTTTTCCAGAGTTTCTATTGCCATTCAGCTCTGCTGACACCGACACAGAGAAAACAGGCAGCCCAGCCCATGCGTTCAGCCCCGGCCTCTTGAAGATATTTGGGACTCTCATCTCTTGCCAGCTCTAGAATGGGTCATATTCAGGGAAACTCTCCACCCCTCAGTATCAATGAGATGAAAAATGAGAAGGCCCTTTGCAAACTATAAAGTGTTGTGCCCCAGAAGGTGCATCTGTGTGTGTGCCAAGCCCCTGGGTGTGTACGTGAGAGTGAGAATGCCCAGCTTCCAGTGTATGTGTGTGTGTGTGACTGGCTGGGTGGGTGGAACTCTACACTCCCCTCGACTCCCTGTGTGGCTGGGACTCTTCTAAAATTCTTACAATCTTTTTTTGCATTTCCTCACTGTTTGTCAGTTTATCAGAAAGGGAGGGGGCCATGGTCCAGAAACCTGGAAATCGTTTCTGAGCCTGCCGACTCTTCTCTCCTGCCCTTGCCTTATCCTGTGGCTGTCTCTGGAGACCTGACTGCCGGGAGCTCCCAGCATGGCCTGTTCTGCCAGAAGCTTGCCTGGCTTCTCTGTGCAGCCCATCCACCACCTGTTTTTCCATCTGTGGCTATGCACTGGCTGTTTTCACACCACTGTCCCACTGACGCTTTTTATTTTGGGATTTTTATTTTTTTTAAGATAGAGTCTTGCTCTGTCACCCAGGTTGGAGTACAGTGGCACTGTCATTGCTTACTGTAACCTTGAACTCCTGGGCTTAAGCAATCCTCCTGCCTCAACCTAAAAGTAGCTGGGACTACAGGCATGTATCACAATGTTCAACTAATTTTTAAAAATATTTTGTAGAGATGGGGTTTTGCTATGTTGCCCAGGCTGGTCTCAAACTGCTGGCCTCAAGTGCCACTGACTCTTTATAACATCCCAATGCCCTCCAGAGATGGTATTTACTGTTCCCATTTTACAGGAGAAGAAATGGAGGCTTGTTGAAGGGAAATGGCTCTCCCAGAGTTATCCAACCAACTAGCGGCAGTGCTAGGGTTTCAATTCTTACCTAACTCCAAAAACTTTATTAACTGTTGTGGCTTACCTAGTAGGTGTGTGTTGGCTCTTTGGCTGAATGAATAAATAAATGAAATAACGTGAATAAATCATTCCGTCAAAATTGAGCTGAAAGAGAAAGTTAAGCAATAATAGCAAGGTCTGTCATTGACTGAGCAACTACAATGTGTCAAGTGTTTTACACAAAAATGAAAGCATCAGGAGGCTGAGGCAGGAGAATCATTTGAACCCAGGAGGCAGAGGTTGCAGTGAGCTGAGATCATACCACTGCACTCCAGCCTGGGTGACAAGAGCGAGACTGTCTCAAAAAAAAAAAAAAAGAAAGAAAGAAAGAAAAGAAAAAGAAAAAGAAAGCAGTCAGAATTATTGTTATTCCTATTTTGCAGCAGAGGAAGCTAAGGCTCAGAGAAATTAAAGGATCCTGTCCAATGTGGGAGCTGGGACTATAATTTGTCAGTGTCCAGGCCCCAGAGCTCTGAACCTAGCTTTCCTGGTTCCTTAGTGTTAGAGTGAGTCGGCAGAACCTGGCAACAGGTGCCCATTACAGCAGAGGACCCGGGGCCTGTCGAGACTCTCAGGAAGCTGGGTGCAACAGCCCACCCTGCCCCCTCCTGCCTTGGGACCATTTCCCCATTTGTCTCTGAAATAGGTTTCTATTTCAGGCTGGGGTGGGGATCCGGCAGCCCAGGCTCTGGCTCTCCCTCTGTGACTGTTGGCTTGTCCAGTTAGGGCCAATGCCCCGGCATGGGGTGATATATTGCTGCTTCCCCTGTCCCAGGGCTGGCCCTGTCATTAATAGCTCCATGGGAGGGCAGGGTCTGAGCAAGACGCAGTCATTTGGTCTACGGAGATGGCGTAGGCTGGGTCAGTGGCTTCTGTGCCCAGCCCTGTGTGGATTCCAGGGACCCAGGGGCTAGTGGGTCCAGCTCTCCCCTTAGGAACTCAGGGGCTGGGTACTGAGCTCCAGGAAGACGAACTCTGCAGTAGCTGAGACAGAGCCTGGCATCCTGACTCCCAGGGCAGTGCCGGTTTTCATGGCCTGGGACGGAGTGGTGGCTGTCCTGTGGTACCAGGAGGCAGATCTCAACTCAGAGTGAGGGATAACCTTGTTTCTATCATGCCAGAGGGATGGGAACCAGCCTTTCAAATCAGCCCACAGTTCCTGAGTGTCCTATCCCTTCTATTGAGGGACAGGGGCATGACAGGGACAGACCTGCACAGGAGAAGGAGAGCCCATTGTCTAAGGGAGGAGAAATTCCCTCAGGCAGCGGCTAATCTGATGGTTGAGGCAAGAGACAGACTTGGAAGTGCCAGAACCTGTCCTGCAGATTCACTAGTACTTGACAGCATGGTGCAGTCTCATTCCTCATGCCTTCGCATTGTGGCCCGCCACGCTCCTGAGAAGGACACACCTCCATAGCATGGAGAGGAAACAGAGGCACAGAGAGGCTAATGTTTGGCACAGAAATGCCTCTGTTGTAAGAAGTTGCTGGAGTAAAGCAGGTTATAGATTAAAAGCTAAACAGTCCCCAGCCTAGGTATCCTCCCAGGCTGGAAATCTCCCCTTCTGACTCTTGGATTCATTGGTGAGATTCATGGAGGACTTGCTTTGTGCCAGGCCCACTCAGGGGATTTATTATAGATTTATCTTATAATAACAGCAACACCAAGAGCGGTTAATACTATAACTCACATAGAATAAGTGGGGAAACTGAGACTCAGAGAGTTAAATAACTTGCTTGAGGTCATATAACTAGTAGATGCAGAGGGGATCAAACCTAGGACTATCTGTCCCCGAAACTCATGACTCTCCCACTCCGTGGGGTACTTGTTCCACAAGATGTCAGGCCTCAGAGCATACCATTAAATGGTAAAATATGAATGACAACATAAGAAAAGGAGCAATTAGGGAAATGCAAATCAAAACCACAATATGATACCACTTTACACCCATTAAAATGGCTACAATGAAAAAGACAGACAATAACAAGTGTTGCCGAGGATGTGAAGAAATTGGAAATCTCATACACTGCTAGTGAGAATGAAAAAGTATACAGCCATTTTGGAGTGCAGTTAGGCAGCACCTCAAAAGTTTAAACATAGAGTTACCATATGACCCCCTGGTTCCATTCAAAGGTGTATACGCAAGGAAATTTAAAACACAAAAACTTCTACACAAATGTTCACAACAGCATTATTCATAATAGCCAAAAAGTGGGAATAACCCAAAATGCCATCAGTGGATGAACAGATAAACAATTATGTGGCTTATCCATATAATGGAATATTATTCAGCCATAAAAATGAAATTTTTATTTATGCTACAACACGGATGAACCCTGAAGACACGCTGAGTAAAATAAGTCAGACACAAAATGATACATATTGTATGATTCAATTTGCATAAAATGTCCAGAACAGGCAAATTCATAAATACAAAAAGGAGATTCGTAGTTTCCAGGAGGATGGGGATAAAAGGAATGGGGAGTAACTGCTATTGGGTACAGGATTTCTTTCTATGGTTATTAAAATGTTCTGAAATTGGATAGTGACGATGGTTGCACAATCTTGTGAATATGCTAAAAACCTCTGAATTGTCCACTTTGAAAGGCTGAATTTTATGGTATGTGAATTATGTCTTAATTTTGTTTAAATCCGGGAGCAGGAATATAGAAACTACATAGAAGCTTGAGATGAATGTTGGTCCTCAGGTAGGTGAAAGGGAAACTTCACTGTGAGTTTCCTGGCAGCTGGAGTGAAAAGGGAGAAGCAGCCTCCAAAATGAGGAAACCAACTCTTCAGGGGCTTAGGTCCAGGGCAAGATTCCTATAAACCCAAGTTGGCCCACTGCATCACTGCATCATAATGTCAGAAATACAGATTTTTTTTTTTTTTTGAGACACAGTTTCACTCTGTCGCCCAGGCTGAAGTGCAGTGGCACAATCTCAGCTCACTGCAACCTCTGCCTCCCAGGTTCAAGCGATTCTCCTGCCTCAGCCTCCCAAGTAGCTGGGATTACAGACATGCGCCACCACACCTGGCTAATTTTTGTATTTTTGGTAGAGACAGAGTTTCACCATGTTGGCCAGGCCAGTCTCAAACTCTGCCTCCCAAAGTGCTGGGATTACAGGCATGAGCTACTGGGCCCAGCTAGAAATACAGATTTTTATTTTCTCCCACCTGAGATTCCGATGCAAAAAGTATGAAGAAAGTGGGAAGGGCCTGTAATTTGACCACATTTCCAAGCCAATGAGTTGGCCTGCTACAGTTTCATAGATGCTGGCAGAAGACGCAAGACTTCTGGTTAAAGATAAAGAACTTTGTTCCTCACAATAGGATTAGCCCAAATATCAGCATTTGTCCCAATTCCTGCAGGACAATGCAAAGGGGGCCAGGTAATACCTTCACATGCAATGGCTTGCATGACAAGGTAAGGAACCTGGAGCTTAGGCAATCCGCATCTTTTATAAGGGGCAGCAAACCTACCTGAACTTTGCCCCAGAGGAAGACATCATATTTGTTATATTTGTTATACCAGACAGTCAATAAACCTGGTTTTGGCTCCAGAAGGGGACACTATCTCTATCTTTATCTTCCAAGGCTGTCTGCTCTACAGATATCCTCGAAAAGATCATCTGGAACAAAGGCAGTCTGTCTCTGCTCACAAGACTTGCAGAAATCTGAGTGGCCCTTGGAGAATTGTCTCCCAATACAGTAGATGTGCTGGTCAAGGCTGAGTTTTGTTTGTTTGTTTGTTTGTTTGTTGTTATTTTGTTTGTCTTTTATTATGATAAAATATACATAACAAAATGTATGATTTTAATCCTTTTTGATTGTACAATTCACTGGTACTAAGTATACGCACATTGTTGTGCAGCCATCACATCACCACCATGCATCTCCAGGACTGTTTTATTTATTTATTTATTTATTTATTTATTTATTTATTTATTTGAGATAGTGTCTTGCTCAGTCACCCAAGCTGGAGTGCAGTGGTGCGATCTCGGCTCATCGCAACCTCTGCCTTCCAGGTTCAAGTGATTCTTCTGCCTCAGCTGGGATTACAGGCACACACCACCACGGCCAGCTAATTTTTGTATTTTTAGTAGAGACGGAGTTTCACCATGTTGGTCAGGCTGGTCTCAAACTCCTGACCTCAGGTGATCTGCCCACCCGCCTAGGCCTCCCAAAATGCTGGGATTACAGGCATGAGCCACCGTGCCCAGCCCTCCAGGACTTTTTAAAGTCATCCACTGAAACTCTATGCCCATTAAATAATAACTCCCCATTCTCCCACCCTCTCAGCCCCTGGCAACCCCCACTCTACTTTCTGTCTCAATGAATTTGACTTTTCTAGGTACCTTATATAAGTGGAATCATACAGTATTTGTCCCTTTTGGACTGGCTTGTTGTACTTGGAATAAGGTTTCCAAGTTTCATCCACGTTGTAGTATGTATCAGAATTTCATTTTTTAAGGCTGAATAATAATCTATTGTATGTATATATCACATTTTATTTATCTATTCATCCATCTACAGCTGTTTGGCTTGTTTCTACCTTTGGGCTATTGTGAATAATGCTGCTATGAACATTGATGTATAAACTTCTGTTTGAGTCCTTGCCTTCAGTTCTTTTGGTTGGAATTCTAGGAGTAGAATTGCTGGATCATATGGTAATTTCATGCTTATTTTTTGATAAATAGCCATAATATTTTTCACAGAGACCACATCATTTTACATTTCCACAGTAATGCAAAGGTTTCCAGTTTCTCCACATCATCCCCAACAACTTATTTCCTAGGTTGGCCTTTTTTTTTTTTTTTAATAATAGCCATCCTAATGGGTGTGAAGTGTTATCGCATGGTTTTAATTTGCATTCCCTATTGATTAGTAATGTTGAGCATCTTTTCATATGCTTATTGGCCATTTGTATATCTTCTTTGGAAAAATGTCTAAGTCCTTTGCTGATTTTTGAATTGGGTTGTTTCTTTTGCTGTTTAGTTTGTAGGAGTTCTTTATACATTCTAGATATTAATACCTTATCAGACATATGGTTTGCAAATATTTGCTCCCATTCTGTAGGTTGCCTTCCAACTCTGTTGATAATGTCCTTTGATGTACAATAGTTTTAAATTTTGATAAATTTCAACTTATTTAATTTGCTGTTGTTGCTGTTCTTGCCTATGCTTTTGGTTCAGGGTGGTTAGGGATATTTTGGTTACAAGATACAAATGCAACTAGCTTAGGCAAGAAAATGTATATCAGTTTATATAAATAAAAAGCCCAAGGTAGACCTAGATCTGACATGGCTAGATCCAGCAGTTACAAGGATGCCATGAACATCTCTCTCCTGACTTTCCACTGGGTTCCTACATTCTCACTCAAGTTCCTTCCAGAAGCACCAGTCTTCCATGGTCTGCACAGCTAATAATCCAGGAGAAAAAGAGTGAGAGTCTTTCATGCTGGTTCCACAAAATTCCTGGGGCAAACTCTAATTGGTTGCCCCTGAACCAATCACTGGTGAAGGGTCTGGATGGATCCTGGGTCTGGTGACCACCTTGAATGAAGAAAATTGCCACTGAATGGGGCGAGAGTCTCCCAGTAGGAAGAGATGCAGGACAGGCAAACATTCCTCCCCAGAAAGAGTCCAGGAATCTGATGGGCAGCCAGGGTTGGGAAGCTCTGCTTAGAAGGGTGTCCCTTACCTTAGGCTTCCTGTGAGGGGCCTGGGAGAAGTAGAAGGAATCCTTCTATTTGATCACTGAAGATTTCCTAAAGGACGCAGCATTTATGAGGCCCTGTGACTGATGGAAGGGCAAGGCCAGGGCAAGCTGGGCCCCAGGCAGGTTGGGTCAGAACAGTAGAGGGACTGGATTTCCCTGCCACCTGAAATCCTTCCTACCCCAGTCCTGCTCTGTTGTAGGGGCTAAGAATATGCACTCTGGAACCAGGCTGCCTGGGTTCAGACTAGCCCAGGAGTCATTCTTTCTTCCTGTGCTACCTTGAGCTAATCTTTGTGGCTTGGTTTCCCCACCAGAAGTATAAAATGAAAATAATAACCAGTCCCACCTTGCGGGGTCCTTATGAGGATTAAATGGGGCAATGCACATCTGGCACACACTAAGGCTTCAATAATTGTATTATCATCATTATTAGTTTGGGCCTCTTTTCAAGCACATCCAGAGCAGCTCCAGCTCTGTTCACCATCCTTCAACAGGCCTCTCACAGACTCTGCCTTTTGCCTCTACATACACTTGACCATTTCACTGCCACCTCCTCACCAAGCCTTCTCTCCTGTGGAACCATCCCTCCATGCCTGTGTTCTGGTAGGACTCTGGGGCACTGACTCTGGGGCTTTGGGTTATAGATCTTCAGGTAGATGTCCCTTGTCCCCACTGAACACCTGTGGGCAGGACCTGGGCCTCCCCTGTCCCTGAGTTTACAATGGGAGTTGGCCAGCCACAGATGTGGGGAGAGGGAAGTCCAGTGGTGGAAACAGCACTGACGAGGGGCAAAAGAAGAGCAGGAACTGAAAGTAAATCAGAGTCCAGCAGGTCGCGTGCAAGGGGCAGGAATGGGAGCTGAGAGTGGAGAGGTCAGCAGGGACTGGGTTTGCCTTTATCCTCAGGCACTGGGAAGATATAGAGAGGGCGTAGAAAGAGAAACAATGAAGTCAGACTTTTGCTGAGCCAGGGTCCATCTGGCCACAGAAAGGGGCTGGAATGGCCCTGGAGATGGAAAACCAGAAAGCATGAGAAGGATGTGGTCTAGGTTGGGGGAGGGGCCGTGGGGTGAGAGAAGAGGAGTTTGAAATGTGAAAATGGAGCACAAACAGGGCTTGGTGATTGACATGAAGTGGGACCTCAGTTTTTCCACCAGAGAAATGACAAGTCCTGCCCATCTGGCCTCTCCAGGTGGGATTAGAGGACAGCGGGCTCTTGGCACTGACCACTCTAAATGGCCAGTAACTATGTCTGCTATATCAGCTCATCCGCGCCCTCAGCCCATCCTCATGCCCTGGTACAGTCCAGGTCAAGCACAGACCAGACACTCAGGGTGCTAGGTCAAGTCTGTAAGCTCCAAGAACCAGAGTTGGGCTTCACCACCCAAGCCCACCCTGGGAAAGCCAGTGGGGCACAGACTAGCTGAGCTGTGCTGAGGACATCTGGCTCCCTTGGGCAGGGTGGGGCCCAGGGTCCTCCATCCAAGAAGGGACCAGCCCACATTCACAGTGATCTGGAGCAGATGGCACACAGTTCCTTCCTGTTCTATTCTGCTCAGCCATGGCTTACAGACACAGGCTAGGATGGAAGGGAAGTGACCCCTGGGAACTGTGCTGGGCACAAGGGCCAAGCAGGAGCCAGACAGTGGTGCCATTAGAACTCCACCCCTCACCAGCTGAGTGTCCTCGGGAACTGTGAATCCAGCTGCCCAGGGGCAAGGCCAGGCCTGGGAACCAGGTACTCTGTCTCCCACAGCTGACATCCCATGTCCAGATGACTGTGCTATCCCAGGAGCCGAATGTCTCTCCTCTCTTGGCCTCAGTTACCCTCACTGCAAAATGGGTGCAAAGGTGAGGAGAGAACTCTGGAAGCTCTAAGGGCTCCCCTCCCCAGTCTGTCTGATGGAGGAGGGCCTGCATGGGTCTGGCAGTTGGAGCAAGTCATCCTTCTACTCCTCCAAGTCCCCTGCAACCAAAGCCATGCCTTTGCTGCCCCTGGCTGGAGCATCAGGCTTGATGACTGGACACAGAGATGGGAGGCTCCCCACCAGCTCCCTGCAGGGCTACAGCATCCTCTTGCCTGCTCTGGACCTCAGCTTTCCACCTGTGACCTGCGAGCTGGTGTGGAACATCTGTCTTTCCACTACTCTGGCTGTCAGGGCTTGTTAGGGGGCAGGGGAGACTGCTGTGAGCCTGCCATTTGAGACTGCTGTGAGCCTACCACTGGCTGGTCCCTGGAGCCTCCCCATCCCACGGCCACAACCCCATTTGAGGCTCTATTTTCTCTGAATCTAACCACAACCAATTCATCCTCCAACTAGCAGCCCAAGGGACCTTCTAAGTCTCAAATTTGATCATGCCTCTGCCCTGCTTTAGAAAGGGATCTCCCAATGAGGACTTTCTTCAGCTGGCACCCTCAATGCAGAGGCCACGTGTGTAGCCTGGCATTTTGAGGCCTGTTGGGCCTGGCCCTAATGACCCCACAGCCTTACCTCCTGCAAGGCCCCTCAGCACCTGCAAACACAAACACTTGCAGGTACTCTGAGGTCCCACATCTCCAGCAGGTCTCTCTGCCTGGAGCACCTGCCTTTTTCTTTCCACACTCCACCAAAGAATCACCTCCTCCAGGGAGCCTTGCTTGATACCACAGACAGGGTTAGAGGCCTCCTTTGTCTTCCCAGAGACCCATGTTTCTACATCTTCATCTGTCTTTTCCACTAATGGGAGCTCCTCAAAGGACAGAGCCCAGAGAGGTGCCTGCATATTGTAAGACTCCTTGTAAATGCACGGCAAATGAATGAATGAATGGAGGAGGGAGGGAGGGAGGAAGGGAGCAAAGGTTGCAAGGGAAGTCATTTCTCATGAGTTTGGCTGGTCTATGATAAAATTATGGGTGATAATAGAAGCCCCACTGAGCAAATACTTCCTGTGCACCAGGTATTGGGCTAGGTGATCTAGATCCATTATTTCATTTGAGCCCCCAGTGATGCTGTGACTGTTGACAATACTTAAAATTAAGGACTCAGAGGCTCAGAGAGGTAAAGTCACAGCTCATAAGCTGCAGAGTCAGGACGGGAACCCCCAGGTCTGTTGGGTGCCAAGCTTTGCAGAGGGAACAGTGATGGGTGACAGAGGGGTACAAATGCTGGGATTGGGCATTTGGATCTAATTCCATGGGCTGGGATTTGAAGAACTCTGGGTTTTCTGGGGAGCTCTGAGGAGAGACCTGTTCCAGGAGTGAATCCTCACATTTTGTATCCCCAGGGGCAGTAATCTGGGGAGCCCTGTACCCCAACCCTCACCTACTCCATAAGCAACGACCCCTCCTATTCTGTGACAGAAACCATTGATGTTTTCTCAAACCAGTGTCACAAGCTATGCAAAGGTATCATCCCAACCAGTCACCTCCCTAATCCCCTGCTACACAGATGTCCTGGAGGTGCCCCTGCCGGCCCTGATCCCCACCCACCTTCCAGGCAGAGTCCAGGCCCTTTCCTGGAAGCCAGAGAGGTGGCTCTCCTCCCCTAGCCCTGCACCAGCCCTGGGTGGTGCTCAGGGACGTCAAGCCCAGTCATGCTCAGTGGCCTGTTTTCTCCCCGAGGCCTGTGTTTTCAAGATCACTTTGGAGATTTCCTTGTGGATGGAGCTCAGACAGTTGCTGGCTCCTTGGTTCCATCTTGCCAGCCTCACCCAGAAGACAGAGTGCCCACTGCTCTTCCCGGAGCTGGGCTCAAAGGCTCCTTGCTCTGCCCTGGGCCTGACTGTAAGTGTGTGAGAAATGGGTGCAGGGAGGCAGGGCTTGTGGGTGACTCTTCCAGAAGCTTGATTGCGCAGGGAGGAAGAGGAACAGACGGAGAGGCACGAGGGGTCAAGGAAGACATTTTGCTCAGATGAGAGAGGGACTGGGGAGTGGGAAGTGTTTGGGCTGAGGGGAAGGAACCAGCAGATGCAGCACAGGGAAGGTGCTGAAGAGAGGGCAGGAGGTGGTACCTGGAGTCCCGCGGGGCTGTGGATGGGTGAGGAGAGAAGGTGCAGACACACGGGTTTATTTGGACAGTGGGAAGCTGAAGGCAGCCCCTCTGAAAGGCTGTCTGCTTTGAAGGAGGAGTTGAGGGCTGGTAGAGTTGAGGGTATGGGGCTGACAAGAAAGATGGGGCCAAGGCTTAGAAGACAGAGGAGGGAGGATGCCCTAGGACAGACAAAAGGTTGGGGACCCAGCCAAGTGGGGCAGTGACAGGGTCTGCAGGGCCTCAGGCACTCAACCAAGTCATGTCCTCCAGCTCTACTCAGCCCCACAGTGCAGGATGGAGCAGTCTGGTGTCACCATGAATGAGGGACACGAATTGACTTGTTGTGTTCATGGGAATCCTGGGTCCTGGTGGGGAGGCCTAGGCTGGCAAGGGGAGGGAGAGAAGCCAGGAAGATCCTTGGCCGGGCCCTGGTGCAGAGGGAGTGATCCTGTGCAGGGAGGTGAGAGTACCAGAGAAAACCTCAGGCAGGGCAGGAGGGAGATGCAGGCTGCCTAGCCCTGCCAGGCGAAGTTCTATTCACCCGTCTCAGCTGGGACTGTTCACAGCCCAAATCTCACACACACGGCCAGGCAGAAGCAGCCCCAGGGCTGGCTTAAAGGCCTTTGGTGCTCACGTTTAATCTCTATCTGCTCCCAATCCCCAATAAACACATACTCTTAAGTACAAACTACAGCTTGCTACATGAATAGCCTCAAGCCAAGACCCCCGTGCACCCAGTCCTCTCTGTGTAGACATAATTGAACCACGTCTGGAATTTATTTGTTCATTCACTCAACAAATATTTATTGAGAACCTACTATATGCCAGACACCGTCCTAAGTACATGCAGCAGTGAAAAAAAAACACGAAAACCCCTGCCCTGGTGGAGTTTATGTTCAGTCATGAGAGAGAGACAATAACCAATAAATAAGTAGAACAGTGTATTAAAAGATTTTAAATGCTAAGGAGAAAAATATAGCAGAGAAGGGGCGTAGGAATCACACATGCACATGCGTTGCGTAGGGGTTTATAATTTTAGCTTAGAGTGGTAGGAGAAGGTCCCATGGAGAAGGTATCATTCGAGTGACCACCTGAGGGGGTCTGTCCTACGTCCCTTTTTTGAGACAGGGTCTCGCTCTGTAGCCAAGGCTGGAATGCAGTGGTGTGATCATAGCTCACTGCAGCCTTGGCCTCCCAGGCTCAAGCGATTTTCCCACCTCAGCCTCCCAAGTAGCTGGGGTTACAGGCACACGCCAACACATCCAGTTAATTTTTAAACATTTTTTGGTAGAGACAGGCTTTCTCTATGTTGCCCAGCCTGGTCTCGAACTTCTGGGCTCAAGTGATCCTCCCGCCTTGGCCTCCCAAAGTGCTGAGATTCCAGGCGTGAGCCACCACACCCGGCCTGTCCTGTGTTCTTCATGCACACTCCACAGCAGGAGCCACTGTTGCCTGCTGACCTCCTACATTGCACTCTGAATGAGGTAGTTGCCCCTTACTTTGATCTCTTCCTCCCAGGCCACCCCTTGGACACCCACAAAGTCCTCTTCCTCCCACACTGGACTGGCCACAAACAGGCCAGTTTGAGGGTGAAGATTTGGGGTTTGGCGACAGGCAGTCCTGCTGATTGGAAGATCACTGACGGATTGGTGGCCCTGGCAAGTAACTAAGCTGTTGGGGGCCTTAGTTTCCTCCTCCCAAAAGAAGAGACTATGCCCCCCTTACAGGCCCCAGGCAGGCAATGAAACAGGACAGAGGGTAGCAAAGGGTTTTGTCTTCAGGTTTGAAAACAGCCACAGACCACGGCCTCATCCTTGAGGATCCACCACTAGGTCTCCTGGGACCTGGACATGTGCCTGAAATTGCCTGGTGAGAATGAAGACCAATAGATGGATGGTCTTGGGACAACCTCTGCAGGGTGTCCTGGGGCAGCCAAGCTATATGGCCCCAGAGGCAAGCTGGACTGGTGTGGGAGAGCAGTCACTAGGGACAGATCTTGGGGCTTGGTGTGACAAAGCATATCTCCCAGTGAGCTTTCTCAAGGTGGAATGCAGTGGCCTAGGAGAGGAGTGAGCTCCCTGCAATGGGAAGTATGCAGGCAGGGGCCAAACAAGCCCAGTCAGGGAGGCTTCAGAGAGCCCCCTTCTCTGAGGGGATGATGGGGAGACCTCTGGGTCAGGTGACCTTAAGGCCTCCCTAGCCCTGAGGGTCCAGAACTCAGAGGCCTGTCATTGACCCCTGGGTCCAGCTGGACGTCTTATCACTGCCAGGTGGGCTCAGGCCCCAGGAAGAGCTAGGGATGATCAGAACAGGAATCAAGGCAGGGGCTGCCTTTCACGGGAGGGGAGGAGTTCCCTGAGGCTCCCCTTCCACACCCAAACCTTACCTGTACGAGTTGTGGACAAAACTGCCTACCTTCGGGCCTCAGGGTCTGCCTGGGAAATGGGCAGGATCATAACCCACAATAACCACTTGGCGGGGTTAGTGGTCTGCCTTTCCTGAGGTGGGGACTGGGGGACCCAAGCAGTCTCAGAGGTGCTACTCCTGAACCCATTACCTTCATTCTCCTTGACAAATCTTCTCTGTCATCAGTCAAGACAAAGATTTAAAAAAAAAAAAAAAATGGAACCAGGCAGCACCGAGGACAGAGCCCCGGCGCTCATCTTTATAGACTGGATCCAGTCATCCAACATTTCCCAGTGCCTCTTGGGCCAAAGCCTATACTGGTCTCTGAGGCTCCAGAGGCAAAGCAGACCTTGTCCCCTGTTCCTAGCAGAGTTAGAGAAGGAAAGGGAGGGAGTCTGACACCGCCCCTTCGACTGGTCTTCTTCTCTGCCCTGACTCTTGACCTCCATTTCTTTGTCCTTTCTTAAGCCACTCTTCCTGAGAGACAGGGTATCATGGTGGATTTATAGTGCACTTTGGGCAAGTTCCTAACCTCTCTGGCCTCAGTTTTCTCGTAGGGAAATGTCACCTGTCTTCCTGGGCACAAGGTGCAGATCTACAGGCAGGACTCCTAGTTTCAAGTGACAGAATCCTAGGTTAAATGGATTGAGGCAAAAAGGGAGTTTATCAGCTCATGACACCAAAGGTAAAACCTCAGGCACAGCTGAAACCAGGCACTCAATGCTGTTCTCAGGAAACGATGCATCCCCATCTCTCATCTCTGCCATTCCTTGGCTTTCTATGTGGATAGTCTCCTCCCTGGTGGCAGTATCTCCGTCGCCCAGGACAATGCCTGGAACTTAGTTCACTTGGCTCCAGCAGCTCCTGCCTCACTTTCTACTAACTTTGCAAATATTGTGGAAGACCTGTCTCCTTCCTGATGCCCCAGTAAAAGCGCCAGAATTGACTCTGAGGCATGCAGTGAAGGTCACTCCTCCACCCTGAGCCAGTTACAGGCCTGAGGGGCCCACTCTTCTCTCATTGGTAGGCTTAGATCACAGACCCATCACTCCCAGATCCCCAAGACTCTAGAGGGGAGAAGGGGGATCCCCCAAAGGAAAATCAGAGGGCAGCGTCGTCATCATAAGAGGGGGTCTGGGAACTGGGTGGGAAGAAGCTACAGAGGGGCTGAACAATGACTGCCAGGCTAGCCAGGTGGCTGGACCTGGGCCATCTCTCCCCCCACGGACTGGAGCCTGGTTATCTGGGAGGATGGGCGGATCCTGAAGGCACTAACTGTGGCCATCAGCCAACTGCACTACTTGCAGCTAAGCAGCAGGTTCCTTCTCAAAGGGAGAACCAAGTGGCCTCTCCCACAAGGAGACAAACAAATGGGACAGCCTGGTTGTCCAGGCAAGGCACAGAGAGCTTCTCCCACTAGCTCCAGGGGAGAGTTTTTTAGGAGGCCCTGGGGATCTCCTGGAGCACTGGGTGGGAGGTGCAGTGGCCCTATAGGCGTGGACTTATACAGGCTGGGCACCACAGGCCGTCCCTCTGCTCACCGGGGGCTGCCCTGTCACAGCTGCTCCCTGGGCCTCTGTGCTATCCACACAGTTCCTCAGTCTCAGGGCTGCCCTTGACCTCTCAGCCCTGTGCCCACCGGGGCCGCGTGGTCTCTAACCCTCTTCATTCACATTCCCAAGAAAGAACCTCTTGCTAACTTTGCTATGCCTCAGTCACCTCATCTGTAAAGTGGAAACAGTAGTTGTGAAGAGTGAATGAGACACGGCACATCAAGCATTTTGCACAATGCTTGGTGCATCGTTAGTGCTCAATGAATACATGTGTCCAGGTTGTGGTGGGACTTGTGGGTGCACTCTTCGGCAACTGGGGCCCCTCATACATAGTGGGGTCTTGGGAGATGCAAGTTCCATCTTTGCTAAGCTTGAAGAGGCTGGAGAGAAACCAAAGGAAGCAGCCCCAACCCTCAAATTCCCCAAAGCTGCAGCTTCCTCTTCCTTTCACTGAAAATGGCTGTTTCAGTTTTAGCTTTAATTCCTGTTGAGTGGGAGGTTGAGAAGGGGAAGTGGGAAAGGAGTAGAAAAATCAGGGTCCCTGCCTTCCACGTTCCCTTCTGCCAGGTTTGTCCTTCTGTAGCCAGCCAGATGCCACAGGTAGGACCAGAACTCCTCCAGGTGAGAGGACTCTGCTTCCGGCCCTCTGTCTTCTGGGTGCCAGGGAGGCACTGGCTTTAGGAATCTGGCCTCAAGCTGGCCTCAGGTGGGCTCCAGGGGCAACCCTGCTTCAGGCTAGAGGCTGCCCAGAGTCAGGATTGGGTTGATGACTGGGGCACAGAGGGTATAGTGACCCTGTATAGTAGGTAGGTACCATAAGTAGCCCTGTTTACCCAGGCTCAGAGAGGGTAGGTGGCTCTCCCTAGGTCACACAGCAAGTTGGTGGTCGATCCCAGCCTGTCTGACTCCTCAGGGGAAGGAAGCGAACTCTTGACCCCTGACATCCTGTGCCCTTTCTGCTAACTCACCGGCCAGGGGCCAAGCAAGGGGGTTTCCAGGCCTTTATTTCCCAGCAGGCAGGCAGGCCAAGGTTAGGAAGCCTCTTCCACATCCAGCCTGGTCTGAGCTGGTTCCTGCCTCAGCTGGCTGGCAGACAGTGACTCAGGCTTCCAGCTCCTGCCTTTGGCCAACAGGTCCCCTCATCCATGCTAGATATGAAGGCCTCAGGGGATTGGGGAGGCTGTGGGGTCATGTAAAGTTTATCCTGAGACCATAGGATCTACGCAGCCTGAAGGGCTAGGCCCCTTGTCATTTCTTCCTATGTCCATACTGAGTCGCTCCTGCTCTAGAACTGACCCCATGGTTGTCGCCTGAACTGAAAAAAGGAAACTGGAAGAGGCTGTCTCTGCTGTGAGGGGAGGGGCTGCCGTGTTTTGCCAAAGGTGTACCCGGGTGGAGATGGGCGGTGGATGCTTGAGGCCAGGGCCTCTATGTCAGACAGACAGGGCGTGGTGCTGACCCTGTCGTCCCTGCCACGTCCCCAGTGGCTCCTGTGACCACATCGACCAGGGTGAGGACCTGAGAACGAGAGCTTCAGCTCATCTGGGGAGGGTGAGTGGAAGGAAGGTTGGAGAGTGGGTCAAGAGGAACTGAGACTGGAAACCCAGTCCGGAGGCTGCTCAGTGCCAGCCCCGAGGGGAGGCCCCCCACTGTGGGCAGACCAGCCTTGCCCTCACCCCTCCCTGGCTGTGTGACGGAACGGGGCTGGCTGTCCTCTGGCGCCATCTCATGGCTACAGGGTCTCAATGCAGGGAAGACCTAACTCCCCTGGGAATCCCCTGATCTGAGCATCCAAGCTCCGATTTTGGGGGGAACAATGGAGAAGGGGGCCTTAGGGTCAAGAAGAACATGTTGAAATGCCACCTGGCTGGGATAGCTTGGAAAACTCACTGGCCCTTCCTGAGCCTTAGTTTCTTCGTCTATAAAGGGGAGGGAATAATCCACCCCCCACCAAATTGCCCAGAACTGCAGATAAAACATCTGGCACAGAATAGGCATTTAAGAAACAATACTGGCCAGGCACGGTGGCTCACGCCTGTAATCCCAGCACTTCGCGAGGCCGAGGCAGGTGGATCACCTGAGGTCGGGAGTTAGAGACCAGCCTAACCAACATGGAGAAGCCCCATCTGTACTAAAAGTACAAAATTAGTCTGGTGTGGTGGCACATGCCTGTACATCCCAGTTACTTGGGAGGCTGAGGCAGGAGAATCGCTTGAACCTGGGAGGCGGAAGTTGCAGTGAGCCGAGATCGTGCCATTGTACTCCAGCCTGGGCAACAAGAGTGAAACTCCGTCAAAAAAAGAAAGAAAGAAAGAGAGAGTCAGAGAGAGAGAGGGGGAAAGAAAAGAAAGGAAGGAAAGAAAGAAAGAAAGAAAGAAAAGAAAGAAAGAAAGAAAGAAAGAAAGAAAGAAAGAAAGAAAGAAAGAAAGAAAGAAAGAAGGAAAGAAAGAGAAAGAAAGAAGGGAAGGAGGGAGACTGGCTGGGCACAGTGGTGCATGCCTGTAATCCCAACACTTTGGGAGGCCAAAGAGGGAGGATCTCTGCCAGAAGAAGGCTCTGCCTTGGAGGTTCATGATGGGCCAGCCCCTCTCAGGCCTCCCATCTGAGGCCCCCTCTTTGCAGAGCTCATCCATTGCTCTGGCTTCTGTATTTATTTATTTCTCACAGAGGTTAAGCTCATTCCCCACTTCTGTGCCTTTGCCCACACTGGGCCTCCTGTCTGCGATGCCCTCTTCAGCCTTGTTATGTGTCCAGGTCCCTCTGGCCCTTCAGTGCCCAGCAATGGACATGCTTTCTCCATGAGCTTTGCAGGTTACTCCCTCCCAGGTGCACCCATGACCCCTCAGACCTGAGTGTTCCCTCCCGGGCCCTGCCCCCTCCTCTAGGCCTAGCCAGGTCCATGGGCAAAGCTAAGGCCCGGTGAGAGCAAGGCAGTTCCTTGGCTCCGATTCAGTCATCCTTAGATTCTTTGAAGTCCCAAGCCCTAGGATGCTGTGGTTCCAAGGTCCTGAGGGCCCTCAAACCTAGACTCTGTTAGGAAGGCAAAGAACTAAAAGGCCGGTGGGTAATGGGTACTCAGTGGTTGTTGAGGTGCCAGGCCAGGCCTCTTGTATGTCCTTGAACCCCTGAGAAGAGGGTGAGGAAGGGGCAGCTGGCCTTAGTTTCTTTCTCCATCTGTCAAGTGGGACCCCATGAGCCTTTCCTTCCCCTCTGAGGTTAGTCCAAGTGCTCTTATCTGAGCAGAGCGGTGGGATTAGGGGTCTCCAGATCTGCACGTCTGGGTGGATAAGGCATGATAGGGACAGCTTTGTGTTTCCCATCCATCCAGGTTGCAGGGACTGAGACCACTTAGGCTTCTTACCCAAGCCTTGCCCTGCCCTGCCTTGGGGCCAACACCTCCCAGGAGTCCTCAGAGCTGTTCCCATTCCTGGGACAGTGACCCGCCCTGCTGGGAGTGGGTACGGGAGGTTGTCCCAGGGACCCAGCAAAGGACTGGCTGCTGAGCTGAAGGCCACCTTGCTCTCCTGGGCCACAGCACAGGTCAAATCCAACCAGGAGGTCCACACTCAGCTGGCAGAAGTGACCTCTTAGCACAGGCCTGAGCAAGCACTAGGTGCTCAACCTGTGCACAACTGACCAAGTGTTTACCAGAAGTTCAAACCTGATTTTTCTCAGTGTGATCCAAACTTTGGGTTCCCACTCTGTTCCTCAATCCCCTTGCCTGTAAAAATGGCTTTGGGGTGAGATCGATGCCTTTAAAGGCACCTTCAGCTCTGATGCTCTAGGCTCTAGGAGTCTCCTCTGCACCTCCCAGGGTAGAAGATGAGCCACCCTGAGTGGCACTTCATCCTCCCAGCACACTGGTGATCAGTATGACCATATTCTACCGAGGAGGCTCAGAGAAGGGAAGGGGCTTATCTAGTCAGTGATTGGGGGCAAAGGTGGAGTAAGAACCTGGGCCTCAAACTCCCAGGGCAGCATTCTTTCCCCACACCATCCTCCCATGCCACCTGCCTTGCTGCCTCAGCTGCTCCAAATCAAAGCCCACCTCCTCCAGGTCGCCCTCTTGGAATGCTGCTTCCCCCTCTGGAGCTGGCCTCCCTGGGACAGTGAGGAGCCACATCCCCTGCTCTGGTCTCCTAACAGCTCTGAGGCCAGTTTGGTGGTGAGGAGGGGCTGGGGTGGATGAGGCAGCTGGGTCCTCAGGGGCATCACATCTATCTCCACAGCCCACGTCCATCACTCCTCATGCGCTCTGCGCCTGCCGTGTGGAAGGGGCAGTCGCTGTGAAATGGGGGAATGTGGGAGGATCTGGTGACACATAGTAGGTACTCGATAAGTGTGTGTGGAGAAAAGAAGAAGAGGGAAGCGGGGGGAGAAGGCGGCTGAGTAAGTTTGTACGTAAGTGGATTGCCACATGGAGGGATGGGTAGATGGACATGTTGGTGAGTGAGCTATTGAATGAGGGAAGGCAGGCTAGATGGGTGAGTGAATGGCTGGGAGGAGGAATGGACACCCCGTGGCTCTGAGTGTTATAGCTAAAGGAGGAGCCATGAGCTCTCTAATCACTGCCCTACCCATTTGACAACTGAGAAGACTGAGAGAGGGCTGAGCAGAAAGAAAATTCCTGGTTCTGTGGGGCTGGCAGCCTCTGGTTCTCCCCTACCCCTCCTCCTCTGCCCCCATCCCCCTCTTTCCCCTGCTGGGGTAGGGGAGTATTCCGGGAAGGACGCCTTTTTTCCACCTCCTTGCTCCTCTAAGCCCAGTTTCCGCCAGGCACTAGGCGTGGTGTTGGGGATGGCAGGGAGCCGGTGGCCCCCACAGGGGCTCTTTTAGTCAGAGACAGCCCTGCCAGGAAACAGAGGAAGCTGCTCACTCTGTCAGAGAAGTTGCAGCCTAGCTGAGGGCAGGAGAGTGGGGAGCCTCAGGTCTGGCTTCCCTTTGCCCCAACACACTTGGGACCACCAGCGTGCTGCAGGGACAGGAGGCTGCCTGTGAGTGTCAGTGCATCTTGGGGCCATGGGCCAGTGCAGGGGTTGCGGGGGGTGGGGGGGGGAGGTGGACACAAGGAACTGTGACTTCGGGTAGGTAGGCTGGGTTCAGCATTGACTTAAAGGAGGGCCACAGAGTTAGGAGGCCCAGAGGAAGGGATTCCACCCAGCTGGGGGGATAAAAAAAGGAAGAAGCAAGGTGAGATCTGGAGCTAGATAGACACTTAGGGTTTTGATGAATGGAGATTAGTTGAATGGCATTTTGTGTGAAGGGAACAGTGGAGATGGGGAGGCTGGAAAGGGATTCTGGCTCTCTGGCTGCCACTGGCTGTGTGGGAGTCTCCATGTCTTGGGAATGTGTGACAAAAGAGGAAGGGGCAAGGGCAGAGTGGCCCTGGCGTACTTCAGATAGGACTGGAGGGCTTGGCAGGGGTCTTGAATGTCAGGAAAAGGGTTTGGGCTTTTCCCCCAAAGGGCAGAGGGATGCAGAGAAGGATGTAGTCAGAGCCACTTGTTAGCAAGCCCCCCACCATGGGCAGAGTCCAGCCCAGGAAGAGGCTGGGGTCTAGCCTGGTCCAGGACTTAGGACCCAAAAGCTAGTGACAGATGTCAGCGCCAAGGTCAGCTGCTGCCTGGAGGTGGGAGCCAAGAGCACCCTCCTTGAGGCCGGCCCCTGCCAGGAACTGGAAGAACAGCTCACCTCTCCTAGGTCCTCAGAAAGTAGACAAGAGAGCCCAGGCAATGGCCAGGTCTGTCTTTCCTGACACAGCCCTGAAGGTTTTCCCAGAGAGCTGTGCACCGGATCCCCTCCTGCAGCCCCCTGCCTCCTTCCAAGAGGGAGGGGAGGGGGTCCCAGGAGGATCAGTCTCACCAGGGTGTGGGAGCGGCACACTGCAGCCCCCAGTCATCTGAGACAGAGGGCTGTCCCTGGGGGTGGGATCTGAGGGTGCAGGCCTCCCAAAGGGAGGTTGAGGGATGCAGCACCCCTCTAGCATGTTCTCCTCCTCACCACAACCCTCTTCCCTTGCAGACTGGTCTCCTCAGACCCTGTGTGAGGAGAGGGGTCAGGGAGGGGCAGAGGCTGCCTCTTGAAGGCCAGCCCCACCGAACCAGCAGTTTTCTTTCTCCTCAGATTTCTTTGTCAGACCCTGTATGAGAGGAGATCAGTCTGCAAGGACAGAGGGTTATGGTGACGAGGGGAACATGATAGAGGGGTGCTATGTTCTTCAACCTTCCTCCTCACCCGGAGTGTCCTTACACCCTTTTCCACTCATGGAAATCCTCCTCAACCACCCAGGCCTTGCTCTGTCTTTCATTCTGCTCTGAAAAGTCTCTTCCATCAGGTGGCTCACACTGGTCTCCTCCATCAGACTAGCATATCTGTATCTGTATCCCCATATCTCCATGTCCACCTATACACTATGCCCTCATGTATCTAGCTGGCAGGGAGGACTCCGTGAATCCCTGTCATGTGAAAACAAGAGAATGAACATGTGAATGAGAATGGCCTGAACCAATGAATGAAGAGATGAGTGGACATTCTCTGCCTGTGCTAATCCTGGCTTCCTGGCTATGCTATGGTGGGCTGCTATGTTTCTTCCTCTGGCCTCCCCATTGTGCCTACCTTGTCCTAGCTGGGCACCCAGCACCCCTAGCATATGGGCTAAAGTCCCACAAAGAATCTTTGATAACTGAGAGTGACATGGGATGTGGGCTGCAGACTATAGAATCCAACATTATCATTTTGCCCAAAAATGGGATAAAATAGCTCCACCAAAATGAAATTGCAAGTTGGGACAAATGTATTTTTCTCTAATATAACTTTAAAAAATCCCATAACCTTACTTAGTAGGTACAGTAAGAACAGCAAACACTTGGCCCCATGCCAGGCACTGATCTTCACAACAATCTTATAAGGCAGGTACTATCTCATCTCATTTTACAGATGGGGAATCTGGAGAACAGAGGTTAACTAGTATGCCCAAGACCACAGAGCTCATCCATGGCATAGCTGGGACTTGAACCTGAGCATCTGGATCAGAGTCCATATACTTTGCCTGAACCCTTTACCACCCACTGAGTGCATTT
Source organism: Homo sapiens (assembly GCF_000001405.40). Taxonomy (NCBI): domain Eukaryota; kingdom Metazoa; phylum Chordata; class Mammalia; order Primates; family Hominidae; genus Homo; species Homo sapiens. Next base: position 73,295,006 of record NC_000011.10, read on the forward strand.
GCAGGACTTCATATTTTTTCTGGGCTTCAGTTTTTCCATCTGTAAAATGGCAAGAGAGGAGGATTAGATTCACTATCTCAAAGGCCCATTGGATTTAAGTTGCAAATTTTCTCTAGACACCAGTAATATGGCAATGTCAGTTTCGAGGTGAGTGTCTAGGAGTCAGACTTACCCCATCAGGGAACCCCTTAGGGTATTTGTGCTGCTGGCTCTCCCAAAACCCAGCCCGAAAGAATGAGAGGAGGGACAAGATGTAGAATGCAATGGCATGGCATTTATTGAGCACTACTGAATGTCATCACCGCATATTTCACTGATGAGGACACTGTGACATAACCTGCTTCACACAGCATGGAAGTGGGGGAGCAACATTTAAACCCAGGCCTGCCTAGCTCTGAAGTTGGTCATGTAACCTCTACATCCCATGTCTGTGGGCTACACTAAGCTGTCTCTTCTGGATTGGGCAGTTGGGTTCTGGTTCTGACTCTGCTCTGAGTCACGAAGAAAGAAGGAGCAGTCCCTGCCCCTCACTGTGCCTGGATTTCCATCTCTGTAAACAAACGGTTGACTCGGTCCCTCACCCATCCGCCTTCAGGGACGCTGTTTTCACTCTGGGCACTAGGAGGCGCTGTGTTGTCAGAGGCTCTGCCAAACCTGCCTTTGTAGCCTCAAGTGGAAAGAAGCCTTGGGGAACTGGGTATCACCTCCTTCCCCTATTTTACAGATAACAAGACCTCTGCCAGAAGAACCATGGCTTTGGAAGGCGGAGTTCAGGCTGAGGAGATGGGTGCGGTCCTCAGTGAGCCCCTGGTGTGTGGACCCTTCGCATTGGTTAACTAAGAGTTATCAGGGCCCTTTTCCGCCCCAGACCCTGGGCGAAGATGCAGAGAGACACCAGACCTGGCCCCTGTTCTCAGGCAGGTCTCAGTCTCTGAGAGACATGCAGATCCACCATGACCAGAGTCTCCACACCCCAGTGAGCCCCTGGCAGCCCTGCACAGCATGATTTAGTGCTTCTAACCTCGTGACATCCCTGAGAGGCAGGTGCCGCATTCCCCCTTTTCTCGGGTGAAATGAAATCACCACCTCAAGGTCATATAGCAAATGCATAACAGAGTTGGGATTCAAACCCAAGTCCATCAATCTCCACTAACAGAGAAAGAAACATATGATCAGGGCTTTGAAGGATGAATAGAAGTTCACTAGGAAGGCTGAAGGAAAAAAAAAAATATATATATATATATATATATATAATATATAAACAAAATGAATCAGATTGCTCCCAAGAGTTAGCTTTATTGTATCCCAAGTTTTCTCAAAGTGAGGGCTCTGTGGGGCTTCACGGGGTGGTTAGAGTAGCCGAGTTGACAAAGTTAGTGCCCTCACTGTTCAGACAGGGAGATCAAGGCCCGAGGAGGGGCAGGGCCTGCTGGGTGGTGAGTGAGCATGTCACTGACAGGCTGTGTATTGCTTTCCCAGCCTCCCTGAACATAGGAAACCCACCTGGGCAGCCATGGAATGGGACAATGGCACAGGCCAGGCTCTGGGCTTGCCACCCACCACCTGTGTCTACCGCGAGAACTTCAAGCAACTGCTGCTGCCACCTGTGTATTCGGCGGTGCTGGCGGCTGGCCTGCCGCTGAACATCTGTGTCATTACCCAGATCTGCACGTCCCGCCGGGCCCTGACCCGCACGGCCGTGTACACCCTAAACCTTGCTCTGGCTGACCTGCTATATGCCTGCTCCCTGCCCCTGCTCATCTACAACTATGCCCAAGGTGATCACTGGCCCTTTGGCGACTTCGCCTGCCGCCTGGTCCGCTTCCTCTTCTATGCCAACCTGCACGGCAGCATCCTCTTCCTCACCTGCATCAGCTTCCAGCGCTACCTGGGCATCTGCCACCCGCTGGCCCCCTGGCACAAACGTGGGGGCCGCCGGGCTGCCTGGCTAGTGTGTGTAGCCGTGTGGCTGGCCGTGACAACCCAGTGCCTGCCCACAGCCATCTTCGCTGCCACAGGCATCCAGCGTAACCGCACTGTCTGCTATGACCTCAGCCCGCCTGCCCTGGCCACCCACTATATGCCCTATGGCATGGCTCTCACTGTCATCGGCTTCCTGCTGCCCTTTGCTGCCCTGCTGGCCTGCTACTGTCTCCTGGCCTGCCGCCTGTGCCGCCAGGATGGCCCGGCAGAGCCTGTGGCCCAGGAGCGGCGTGGCAAGGCGGCCCGCATGGCCGTGGTGGTGGCTGCTGCCTTTGCCATCAGCTTCCTGCCTTTTCACATCACCAAGACAGCCTACCTGGCAGTGCGCTCGACGCCGGGCGTCCCCTGCACTGTATTGGAGGCCTTTGCAGCGGCCTACAAAGGCACGCGGCCGTTTGCCAGTGCCAACAGCGTGCTGGACCCCATCCTCTTCTACTTCACCCAGAAGAAGTTCCGCCGGCGACCACATGAGCTCCTACAGAAACTCACAGCCAAATGGCAGAGGCAGGGTCGCTGAGTCCTCCAGGTCCTGGGCAGCCTTCATATTTGCCATTGTGTCCGGGGCACCAGGAGCCCCACCAACCCCAAACCATGCGGAGAATTAGAGTTCAGCTCAGCTGGGCATGGAGTTAAGATCCCTCACAGGACCCAGAAGCTCACCAAAAACTATTTCTTCAGCCCCTTCTCTGGCCCAGACCCTGTGGGCATGGAGATGGACAGACCTGGGCCTGGCTCTTGAGAGGTCCCAGTCAGCCATGGAGAGCTGGGGAAACCACATTAAGGTGCTCACAAAAATACAGTGTGACGTGTACTGTCATCAAGGGGTATGCTCCATGCTTTGAGTCACCAATGAAGCGGGTGAGGGAAGATGAGAGGGGGAGGTGAGAGCTTCTGGGAAGGGGCATTTGAGCTGGGTTTTGAGGGATGATTATGAGCTCTCTGGAGAGGAGTGATATTCCATTTATTTAGAAAGCCTTTACTGACACCTTGTGCTCAGGCCTGTGTTGGTTCTGGGGCCCTAGAAGAACCAGTCCTAGCCCTGGTCCATACGGGCTCCCAACTGCTGGAAGTACAGACTGGCACAGCAACATCAGGGTTGTGACAGAGGGAAGCATGGCTGGGGGGAGGGGGTACACAGACAGTGCCCATGACCCAGTCCAAGGAGTCAGGAAAGAGCTCTCTGAGGAGGGAGCATCTGAGCCAGATGTTGAGGGCTGAGTGGGAACTTGGCAAGCAGAAGTGGGGAGCACTTTAATGCAACCCAGGTATGCTCCATGCATATCCAGCTGGGCCAGCCTCGTGCTGGGCTCTGCCCTGGGCAGACAGGCAGAGGGCCAGAGCAGAGGACACATGGCCTTGCGTGTGTGAAAGCTGAGAAAATGGGAGCTGTGCTTCAGCTACCCTCCAGACAAGGGCAAGAGTTAGCCAGATGCTCCAGGCAGTGGGAAGCCAATGGAGGGATTAAGCGGCGGAAGCTTCTTAGAAGAGGCAGGGGGCGAAGTGCAGTGGCTCATGCCTGTAATCTCAGCAATTTGGGAGGCCAAGGAAGGAGGAATGCTTGAGCCCAAGAGTTTTAGACCAGCCTGGGCAACACAGTAAGACCCTGTTTCTACAAAAAAATATAAAAAATAGCCTGGTGTGGTGGTGTCTGACTGTAGTACTAACTACTCAGGAAGCTGAGGTGCTGAGTTCGAGATTACAGTGAGCTAGGAGTGATCCAGTGCATTCCAGCCTGAGCGACAGAGGGAGACACTGTCTCTAAAAAAATTAAAATAAATCGGGAGCAGTGGCTCACATCTGTAATCCCAGCACTTTGGGAGGCTGAAGCAGGTGGATCACTTGAGGTCAGGAATTTGAGACCAGCCTGGCCAACACAGTGAAACCCTGTCTCTACCGAAAATACAAAAATTAGCTGGGCATGGTGGCTGGTGCCTGTAATCCCAGCTACTCGGGAGGCTAAGGCAAGCGAATTGCTTGAACCTGGGAGGCGGAGGTTGCAGTGAGCCGAGATCACATCACTGCATTCCAGCCTGGGCGATGGAGCGAGAACCTGTCTCAAAAAAAACCCAAAACAAAACAAAATTAAATAATAACTAAGAAAAAAGAAAAGAAAAGAAGAAGGGATCAGCTTGAGCCAGGAGGAATTCAAAAAGCAGAGTGAAGCAGCTCTGGAGCTACTCCCAGTAGAAGGCATGGGCGTGATGTGTGCAAAACCCAGAGTTAGAAATGATCTGAGGGGCTGGGCATGGTAGCTCACACCTGTAATCCCAGCACTTTGGGAGGCCGAGGCAGGCAGATCACTTGCGGTCAGGAGTTTGAGACCAGCCTGGCCAACATGGCAAAAACTCATCTCTACTAAAAAATACAAAAATTAGCTGGGTATAGTGGCAGGTGCCCATAGTCCCAGCTACTCCAGAGGCTGAGGCATGGGAATCACTTGAACCTGGGAGGTGGAGGTTGTGGTCAACTAAGATTGCACCACTGCACTCCAGCCTGGGTGACAAAGCAAGACTCTGTCTCAAAAAAAAAAAAAAAAAAATTGGCTGTAAAGCAACAATGAGTTTCGATTAAATGGGGGGTAGGCGGGGTGGGGTGGGGCCTGGGTGTGTGGAAGGGGGTGGCCAGGAAAAGAGCTGGGTAGGGCCAGAGCATTCAATGCTAGGATGAGCCCCTGATCCACCTCTCCTTCATCTACCTCTTCAAGTGTGGCTCTTTCAACCTTAGGGTATCCTCTGTACCTGGGGTACCTCCACCAGGCCCCTAAGTGAGGGGAAACAACTGTTCAACATTGCTTCATTCTAAATGGAGGAGCCAGCAGCTTGAGAGCCTCAGGGCCACCAGGAAGCTGCTACATGGAGGTCCCACGGCTGGAAGCCTACTGACCAGTCTCATGACAGACTGTTCCCGCCGTGTTCCCCTCCTGCCCTCTCAGGCCCATCGTTCTGACGTGGGTACCCAGAGAGCTGCCTTGAGGCCATCTCATAAGGAGGCATGTCAAACGCAGATCCGAGCCTTTCAAAGCCTTGGAAAGGCATCTTTACCGAAGGTCCCTGGAGGAAGCAGCAAAGGGGACTGGTAGCACACAAGACCCCACACCCAGCCAGGTGTGGTGGCTCATGCCTGTAATCCTAACACTTCGGGAGGCTGAGGCAGGCGAATCATGAGGTCAGGAGATTGAGACCATCCTGGCCAACATGGTGAAACCCCGTCTCTACTAAAAATACAAAAATTAGCTGGGCATGGTGGTGGGCGCCTGTAGTCCCAGCTACTCATGAGGCTGAGGCAGGAGAATTGCTAGAACCCAGGAGGCGGAGATTGCAGTGAGCCAAGATTGCACCACTGTACTCCAGCCTGGGGACGGAGTGAGACTCCATCTCAAAAAAAAAAAAAAAAAAAAAAAGAAAGAAAGAAAGAAAGAAAAGAAAAGAAAAAAAAGACCCCACACCCTCCACCAAATCCTCTTCCCCTCCCAGAACCACCCCTCAGCCACTCCTTTGCAGCTCCTCATTCTCTCTGCCACTTTTTTTTTTCATTTCTTCTCCCCCTCACTTCTCCTCCAGTCCTTGTGCCCTCCTCCCAGATCTGTTTTTCTTATGTAGAACAATCTAGCCTGCCCTTGGCTGCTGGTGCACCATACAGAAACTGTCTTTTTGGAAGGCAGAGCAGGGAGGGGAAGGACTGTATAACTTATGCAATATTTTTCTTTTAGCCCCACCTAGTCCCCAAGCTGCTGGGCAATAGGGTCATTCAGAGAGGGGCAATGGAGGAGTTAAACACCATGGTAATGTCACAGGTGTGCTTGCAGCTGGCTGAGGAAGTTGGAAACCCAGGCCCAACCCACCCTGGGAGGCCATTCAAAGTGTCCTTGCTGGAGAGGCAGACCATTTGGACAGAAGGAACTTTGACTTGTGACCACAGCAAGACTGATTTATGTTAGAAGACAGAGGCTGGTTTTTATTCCCTGTACGGTGCCCCGCCGTGCCAAGCGGGGCACATAGGACCCACCTTGCATCTAGCTTTGAGTCTGAGACCAATCTTCTCAATTGCCTGGGATGGGGGCTAGGGGATAGTGAGAGCAAGGGCAGGGGACAGGGCCTCTGCTCGTAGCCCACCTGAGCCCCTGTAGAGAGTCCCAGATGACTGTCCCAGCTGACCTCCAAGAGCTGTGACCCTTTGCTTACTCTTCCAGGAGTGGAAATTGTGACCCACAGGTAAATTCCATTCCAAGCTTCCCTTTGTGAGGCCAAATAGCATGGAAGGTGCAGACTCCAGAGCCAGACCATCCTGGCATATGTCCTGGCTCTACCATTTACTAGCTGTGTTATGCTATGCAAGTTATTTATTTATTTTTTATTTTTAGTTTTTTAATTTCTTTTTTGAGACGGAGTCTTGCTCTGTCGCCAGGCTGGAATGCAGTTGTGCCATCTCAGCTCACTGCAACCTCCACCTCCTGGGTTCAAGCGATTCCCCTGCCTCAGCTTCCCGAGCAGTTGGGACTACAGGTGCGTGCCACCACACCTGACTAATTTTTTGTATTTTAGTAGAGACAGGGTTTCACCATGTTGGCCAGGATGGTCTCTATCTTCTAATCTCATGATCTGCCAGCCTCAGCCTCCCAAAGTGCTGGGATTACAGGCATGAGCCACCGTGCCTGGCCTATTTTTTATTTTTTATTTTTTTTGAGACGGAGTTTTGCTCTTGTTTTCTAGGCTGGAGTGCAATAGCGTGATCGTGGCTCACTGCAAAACTCCACTTCCTGAGTTCCAGCTATTCTCCTGCCTCAGCCTCCTGAGTAGCTGGGATTACAGGCACATGCCACCACGGCCAGCTAATTTTTATATTTTAGTAGAGATGGGGTTTCACCATGTTGGTCAGGATGGTCTCGAACTCCTGACCTCAGGTGATCTTCCCGCCTCAGCCTCCCAAAGTGCTGGGATTACAGGCATGAGCTACCGCATCCGGCCTGGGCAAGTTATTTCATCTCTCTGTGCCTCAGCTTCATTATTATTCCCATAACATTATTATAAATGTCTATCTTTTTAAAGCCACTAGTTTTGGGGGGGCTTTTGTGACCCACAGCCAAAACTAATACCTTTACTTGGGTTCCATCCTGGGATGGTGGACCTTAGGTGCAGGCGAGGCAGTGACCTGGACAGAGATGGGGCCAGGGTCTAGGCTGGAGTGGGAGCTAGGAGCCAACAAGGTCTAGGGACACCGGGAAGGCTGCTTAGAAAAGATGCAGAGCCTGGGGAATGGTCAGCCCCAAAGTGGCTTGAGCTCAAGTGGGTGGGTGGGCTTCATGAAAGAAAGAGTGGGAAGAGGGGAGTCGTTCTGGGAACTCCAAGATTAGGGAGCTGAGGAGAAGGAGCCACAGACGTGGAGGGCAGGAGCCCAGGGGTCTCTGAATGATGGTGGTATGAGGGGAGAGTGGAGCTGGGTGAGTGAGTGAGAGGTTTCAGGGAAGGAAGTAGGGGTAGTAGGCGGAGAAGAGAAGAGGGAGAAAGATTCCAAGAAAGGCCAGGCCCAGGGATGGAGTTTCCAGGACAAAGTTGTTGCTGAGAGTTGGCTGGTGGCAGTTGAGGGCAGAGAACCCGGGTGGGGTGGGGGTGGGGAGGTAGGAGCAAGGATTGGGAAGCTAGAAAGTCGGGAATCAGTGACTGTCTTGGGGAAATTTCCATTCCAAACAGGAAAAGCCCAGGAGCATTTGATCTGTCCTAGCAATGGACAAAGCTGGCCTCTTCCTCCCTCATTCATTTGTTCAATGAATATTGACTCTGTGTTTCTGAGACGAGCTCAGGTCCAGGCCCTAGTCTTGGGAAAGAATCCAAGGGGTTTGGGATGCAGACAAGGAAACAGTTCATCCAGTAAACAATACTTATTGGGCACCTCCTATATGCCAAGCATCATGCTGGGCCCTCAGGGAGCCCCTAGTCTGATGGAGGAGACAGGTAATAATGAAACATATACAGACCTGGATCATTACAGCTGGGGAAGAGAGCTCAGATCATAAAGAGGACCCAGGCAAGGAAGGTATCACTAGGGAGATGATGAGCTCCTGGAATGGTCCATGGCCAAGAAATGCTAAATACCAGAGGGGCCCTGACCTAGTTGAGGGGCAGAAAATGTATCTGAGTGAGGCCTAGAGCCTCAGAAGGCCTCAGAAGGCATTAGCTCAGTGCAGAAGGGCTGCAACAGAGTCTGTGACTTTGACCAAGCACCTTCACTCCTCTGAGCCTCTGTTTCCTTACCTGTAAAATACTAGACCTTCCTAAGCCACCAGGGATACCGAGGAATAGAAAAGTTAGAGCAGAAATTTCATAAAGTACTAAACATACTATAACCCAATAGAAAAATGAGCAAGAGGCACAAATAAGCACTTCATATGAAAGGAAACACAAGGCCAGGCGTGGTGGCTCATGCCTGTAATCCTAGCATTTTGGGAGGCTGAGATGGGCGGATCACAATGTCAGGAGTTTGAGACCAGCCTGACCAACATGGTGAAACCTTGTGTCTACTAAAATATAAAAATTAGCTGGGCGTGGTGGCATGCACCTGTAATCCCAGCTACTTGGGAGGCTGAGGCAGGAGAATTGCTTGAACCTGGGAGGCAGAGATTGCAATGAGCCAAGATCACACCATTGCACTCCAGCCTGGGCAATAAGAGAGAAACTCCGTCTCAAAAAAAAAAAAAAAAAAAAAAAAGGAAACACAGATGATTAAAAAACATAGACGAGAAATTAGATCCCAGCTTGACAATGCTTCCCAATGTTGATCAATTGCCTGCCCTATGCCCAAGCACTTCTGTCCATGTGTACCTGGAGTCATGCACAATGCTCAGCAAACACCTGGAAACACCCAAATGTGCATCAGCAAGACACTGGATCAACACACTGTGATATAGTCACACACTGAAATAGTCCACATGGCCAGAATGGAGTATAGAGGCATGCAACAATATGGGTAAATCTTTTCTTAATATTAAGAAAAAAGAAGTCCCAACAAATTTTGTAAAGCAAGAAACCCCCCTCCTTTTTTTTTTTTTTTTTTGAGACAGTCTTGCTCTGTTGCCCAGGCTGGAGTGCAGTGGTGTGATCTTGGCTCACTGCAACCTCCACCTCCTGGGTTCAAGTGATTCTCCTGCCTCAGCCTCCCAAGAAGCTGGGATTATAGGCATGCACCACCACGCCTGGCTAATTTTTGTATTTTTAACAGAGGCTGGGTTTCACCATGTTGGCCAGGCTGGTCTTGAACTCCTGGCCTCAAGCAATCCACCCGCCTCAGCCTCCCAAAGTGTTGGGATTACAGGCGTGAGCCACCACGTCCAGCAGGATGCCTTTTTTTTTTTTATAAAGTTAAGAACAACTAAAATGAAAAGATATAGTTTGAAGGAATATATAGTTTGAAGGAATATGTTTGAAGGAAAGCAAGAGAATGCTGAACACAGGATTTGAGATGATGATTTTCTGATTTTCTGTGTGGTGGGACAGCAGGAGGATGGGAGCAGAAGAACTGTATAATGAGATGTGAATTATTTTAAAGGTCCTAGTTGTATTGTTTTGTTTTTTGGCGAAAGCCAATTAAATAACTGATGAGAATGTATCATTATCAAAATATTATAAAGAATTTAATCCTGTGTGCTTAAGGTCTAATTATATAGGAAAGGGGGCAATCTCAGATAGTTTCTATTTGGCTTTGCAATGGAGTCAGAAGAGTCAGATTTCCCCCTAAGACAGCTCCTTCATGGAGCTCATTGCTTCTTGTCCCCGCACTCATCATTTCTCTCCCTCTTAAGTACAGTTGCTCCTCGACTTACGATGAGGTTACATCCCAATAAACCCACTGAAAATATTATAAGTCAAAAAGACATTTAATACACCTAGCCTACCAAACATCAGAGCTTAGCCTAACCCACCTTAAACAGGCCCAGAACACTTCCATAGCCTAGAGTTGGACAAAAATCATCTAACACAAAGCCTATTTTATAATAAAATGCTGAATATCTCATGTAATTTATTGAATACTGAAAGTGAAAAACAGAATGATTATATGTGTGCTCAAAGTATGGTTTCTACTGGATGTACATAGCTTTTGCATCATCATAAAGTCAAAAAATCATTAAGTTGAAATATCATGAGCTGGGGACTTATCTGTACCCGAAGCCCACCAAAGCCCATCACTGGCCATGACCTGTGACCTTCAAAACCTTCCCATCTTGATTTCCCCAAGGGATTCCACGGTCCTCACCTCACTAGATCACCATGACTCACTGGGTAGATGGGCTATTGTTTTCATTACCCTTTCATAGGTGAGGAGCCTGGGGCCCAGAGAAAAGGGGGTGAGCTGCGGAAGGTGAGCCTGGCTTCAAAACCCCAGCGTAGGGTTTCTCTCCACTCTGGTGCCCAGTGCTCCCAGCCCCCTATCAAATAAGTCTTCTTGGGGCTAAAAATTGCTGTACATAATTACCAAGCACCATTAAAATTCCAGATCTCTTCTGTTCATGGAAGATAACTTTGTCTTATACTGGATCATAAGGAGCTGGGGGTGGGAGGGTTCCTGAAGCACTGGAAGCAATCAAGCCACTCTCAGATTGGGTGAGCTTCCCTTTGGACAGAGACCCAGTCTAGATCCTTAAACACCCCCCTCCCCACCAAGGGGATTCCTGAGCCAAAGGCCCCAGCCAGCTCACCTCAAGGCCAAGCCACAGGACTCTGGGAGCCCATGACCTGAACCTCCACTCCTCTCTATCCACTTGCCCATCTGTGATATGGGATAAGGGTTTCTGTCCCAGAACTGACAGGGAGGTGGAAAAGTACAAATTTCAGATAGTAAGAGTCATCATTATGGGGGGAGAGAGTGACTCCTGGGATGAGAGTCCTGTCCCCCACCCCTCCACAACCCACCCCTCCACAACTCACCCCTCCACAACTCACCCCTCCCCAACTCACCCCTCCACAACTCACCCCACAGCACACACCAAAACTTGCCCCAAAGAGCAGAAAGAAAATACTAAAGGAGGTGAGAGTCTGACATCAAATGCCAGAGCCAGAGAGGGCACTCTTGGGGAACCTGAACCACTCCTCACTTTTCAGACACCCCACTCCTCACTTTTCAGACACCAGCAAGTGCAGGGATTTACCCAAGGTCACAGAGTAAGGCCGAACAGAGAGGCACAGGCCAGCAGGGCTCTCTTTTATCAATTTCCTAGAGAAAAGGGAGAGATTTACTCCTTGGCCCCCTTGAGGCAGAGCTGAGATGAGGTTGAGGTGAGGGACTCCCTGGATGCTGGTCTCAACACAGAGAGGAAGCACTTTCTTGCTACAGAGATATTCCACAACTCAAGAGGCTGCCCAGAGAGTGGAGAGTGACCTCCTCATCCTGTGGGGTATATGAGTAGCAAGCAGGTTCTGGAGTCCCGGCTGAGTCCTCTCTCTCTCATTCGGTAGTCAGGCAATCCCTGGGTGTCTACCATCCTTTCCTATCCTCCTGCCTGCCCCTCTCCTCTGAACCCCGTCTCCTAGCCTAGTCTGGCCCAGCTACATCTCCTTGGCTGGACCTGGTGGCAGTGGGGTTGGCTGGGTAATGCACAGACTGCTGACCTAACTATGTGTCCCCGAGGCCTTGCTACTGGGGGTTGGAGGGGCCAGGGCAGTTTGACCAGGCCTGAAGAAGGCTGGGCAGCGCTGGAGGGGCATGGGTCAGACCAGGTTATCCTCTGTTCCTGAGGAGAGTGAGCTCAGGCCCAAGGAGGAGAAGGAGGAGACTGGGGGCTCAAAGGAACGAGAACCTCCTTCTTCATCAGGATTTGGGGGTGCATCTCAGAGCTGGCTGGAGGAGCATGGTGTTTGAAGCCCCTGAAATCTGAATTTTAGCAGGAGCTGCTATTTCCTGACTTGCATAGTGGTCAAAGTTACTTCTCCTTCACGGTCCACAGAGAAGGGGTAATAATATTTGTCCCCAAGGGTGGTTTGTGGATTTTAAAAAATAAGTTAAATAATATTGCCCATACATTATAGGTACTCCATACATTTTCATTCGTTCGTTCATTCGTTAGTTGGGCCGGGAGGATGAATGGGATCTAGAGGCAGGTGGGAATGCGGAAGGGGATGATGCCCCAATACCGAGAACAATGTGAGACTCAGACGGAGGCAGGGGCGGGAGGGGAGCTCAAGCGAGGGATCAGCGTGAAGCCAGAGAAACAACCGACACTTTTCCTGCCAAGAAGGTGAAGCAGCTGCGGGTAAGAGTATAGGTTTGGCAGTGGGAAGTCGAGGGCGTTCCCGTCGAAGCTCCTTTTGTGTATAAGGCCTAAGAAGGGGCAGTGCGCTTTGCGAAGGTCTGAAAAAGACTAAGGGGATTAGGTAACGACTGAAAGGAAGTTTTCACAACTCTCCGTTTTTGGGGGATGGGTGCTGCTTTATCCGTCCAGGACTCCGTGCGTTGGGAAAATCACGCCGCGAGGGGGCGCAAGAGCCGCGTACTCCAGAGCAAGAAGAAAAGGCTCGGGGATCCAGGCGGAGAGTCCAGGAGAAGAGCCGCCAGACTGCAGGGGCAGGTGGAAGGCGTGGCAGCTGGAAAAGTAGGGGTGGGGGCGCGGTCGTGAAGGGTGGGACTTCTGGAGCAACGCTGGGCGGGTTGGGGGCCGGTCGGAGCCGGACAGGCGGCTGGGAGGTGGGATGGGCGGGGCGCTTGGGAGCGAGATGGGGGGACAAGGGCGTGGCTACAGCTAAATTCGCCGCAGAGGGCGGGCGGGGAGGGGGAGGGAAGGGGAGGAGGCGTGGCCTGGGCGGGGAGTAGGGCGCGACGGACCCTTCAGTTAGCCCGCGGCTCCCCGGGCTCTCCCTGGCGCCGAGTCCCACCCCTTTCCCGGCCCAGAGAGTGTGCGTCTGCGTGCACCTGAGTGTCAGTGTGTACGAGAGTTTGTGAGTCCGAGGTTGCCATGTTGGAGCCCCTGGGCAGGAGGTGTTTCCGCGCGGAGGCTGGTGGCCCGCGGTGGACGCGGCGCCCTGGCTGCGAGTCTGCGGAGCTGAGCACGCTCAGCGGTTGTGTGTGTCTCAGCGACTCCCTGGGGGCAGCTCGGCCTGCTGGGCTCCCGAGGGACCTCTCTGGAGGGCCAGAGGGTCGCCTCAGTCTGCAAGTCCTCCAGCAGGCTTTTTCTTCTTCGGCTCCTCCCTGATTCCCTCCCACCACGCGGTTCCCAGGCTCGCGCACGCCCGGAGCCCACCCCCTCTTTTGGGCGCGAGGCCCCGCCCCCCGCCCCCTTGCCTCTGCCGCAAAGTTTATTTGCAACAAAAGGGTGCCAGGAGCGAGCAGCCAAGGGCGTTGGGCAGGCGGACGCAGAGTCGAGGAACCAAGCGCTGGGATCCCGCCCAGGCGGTGCCGCGGTGCCCCTGGTCGCTCCAGCCGCGGCGGGGGCTGGGCCTGGGGGTCGGCGCTGAGGCGGGAGGGGCCGCCCGGGATGGAGACGTTGCGGCCGGTGGCCACAGAAACTTGAGCCGCGGCAGAGAAACCTCTGCTCCGGTCTCTGCGTCCTCTTCCCACACTCCCGTGCGCTGCTTTCGGCGTGGGCCGCTGCGCTCCTAGGGAGTGGGGGCGCAGGGGGGGTTGGCCGCGGCTGCCCGAGGCCAGCCCCCCCGGAGTGAGTTACGCCACTATGGCGGACGGGGCACCCCGGCCCCAGCTTTACCGCAGCGTCTCGTTCAAGCTGCTGGAGCGCTGGAGCGGCGGCCCCGGGCTGAGGGAGGAGGACACGGACACCCCCGGCTTGAGGCGACGCGCCTCGTGCCGGCCGACCACGGCTGCCCGGGGCCAGCCCTCTCGGCGCGTGTCCAAGCTGGCGTCTGGGCCCCTGGCCGCCCCCGCGCAGCCGCGCCCGCTCCGCAGCCTCTCGCCGTCGGTTCGCCAGCTCTCCCGGCGCTTCGACGCGCCGCGTCTGGACGACGGCTCCGCTGGGACCCGAGACGGAGGCGTCTTACCCGCGGCCGCGGAAGAAGCGGCCGAGGGCCCAGCGCGAGGAGCCTGGCCCAGCGTCACCGAGATGCGCAAGCTCTTCGGCGGTCCTGGCTCCAGGAGGCCCAGCGCCGACTCTGAATCCCCAGGAACGCCCAGCCCCGACGGTGCCGCGTGGGAGCCTCCGGCTCGGGAGTCGCGGCAGCCACCGACGCCACCCCCTCGGACATGCTTCCCCCTGGCGGGTCTGCGTTCGGCGCGGCCCCTGACCGGGCCGGAGACCGAAGGGAGGCTGCGCCGGCCGCAGCAGCAACAGGAGCGGGCGCAGCGTCCAGCGGATGGTTTACATTCTTGGCATATCTTCTCCCAACCGCAGGCCGGGGCCCGGGCCTCCTGCTCCTCCTCCTCCATCGCCGCCTCCTATCCTGTCAGCCGCAGTCGTGCTGCCAGCTCCAGCGAGGAGGAAGAGGAGGGCCCGCCGCAGCTGCCTGGAGCCCAGAGTCCGGCCTACCACGGCGGCCACTCCTCGGGCAGTGACGACGACCGAGACGGTGAGGGCGGCCACCGCTGGGGAGGGAGGCCCGGGCTCAGGCCTGGAAGCTCCCTATTGGATCAGGACTGCAGGCCTGACAGTGATGGGTTAAATCTAAGCAGCATGAACTCAGCAGGGGTTTCTGGGAGCCCTGAGCCCCCAACATCTCCAAGAGCCCCTAGAGAAGAAGGACTCCGGGAGTGGGGTAGTGGCTCTCCGCCCTGCGTCCCAGGTCCCCAGGAGGGACTTCGGCCTATGTCTGACTCTGTGGGAGGAGCTTTCCGTGTGGCCAAGGTGAGCTTTCCCTCGTACCTGGCCAGCCCCGCAGGCTCCCGCGGTAGCAGCCGTTATTCCAGCACGGAGACCCTCAAGGACGACGACCTATGGTCTAGTAGGGGTTCTGGGGGCTGGGGCGTGTACCGCTCCCCTAGCTTTGGAGCTGGGGAAGGGCTCCTGCGGTCCCAGGCTCGAACCCGTGCCAAAGGACCTGGAGGCACCTCTAGGGCATTGAGGGATGGAGGATTTGAGCCTGAAAAGAGTCGACAGCGGAAGTCCCTGTCAAATCCAGATATCGCCTCAGAGACCCTGACGCTTCTCAGTTTCCTGCGCTCAGACCTTTCAGAGCTGAGGGTCCGAAAACCTGGTGGGAGCTCCGGGGACCGTGGAAGCAACCCCCTAGATGGCAGAGACTCACCATCCGCAGGTGGCCCTGTGGGGCAACTTGAACCCATACCCATCCCAGCCCCAGCATCACCTGGCACGCGCCCCACACTCAAGGACTTGACAGCCACTCTGCGGAGAGCAAAGTCATTCACCTGCTCTGAGAAGCCCATGGCCCGCCGCCTGCCCCGCACCAGTGCTCTGAAGTCCAGCTCCTCCGAGCTCCTGCTCACAGGCCCTGGTGCCGAGGAGGATCCGCTGCCCCTCATCGTCCAGGACCAATATGTGCAGGAGGCCCGCCAGGTTTTTGAGAAGATCCAGCGCATGGGTGCCCAACAAGATGATGGAAGCGATGCCCCCCCTGGAAGCCCTGACTGGGCAGGGGATGTGACCCGAGGGCAGCGGTCCCAGGAGGAGCTCTCAGGCCCTGAGTCCAGTCTGACAGATGAAGGCATTGGGGCAGACCCTGAGCCTCCTGTTGCAGCATTTTGCGGCCTGGGTACCACAGGGATGTGGCGACCTCTTTCCTCATCCTCGGCCCAGACGAACCACCATGGCCCTGGGACTGAGGACAGTCTGGGCGGGTGGGCCCTGGTGTCGCCTGAGACCCCTCCCACACCAGGTGCCCTCCGCCGACGACGCAAAGTCCCACCTTCAGGTTCTGGTGGGAGCGAATTGAGCAATGGGGAGGCAGGGGAGGCCTACAGGTCCCTGAGTGACCCAATTCCTCAGCGCCACCGGGCTGCCACCTCTGAAGAGCCTACTGGGTTCTCTGTGGACAGCAACCTCCTGGGCTCACTGAGCCCCAAGACAGGGCTCCCTGCCACCTCAGCCATGGATGAGGGCTTGACCAGTGGTCACAGTGACTGGTCTGTGGGCAGTGAAGAGAGCAAGGGATATCAGGAGGTTATTCAGAGCATAGTTCAGGGGCCTGGCACCCTGGGGCGTGTGGTGGACGACAGGATTGCTGGCAAAGCCCCCAAGAAGAAATCCCTGAGTGACCCCAGCCGCCGTGGGGAGCTGGCTGGGCCTGGATTCGAGGGCCCTGGAGGGGAGCCCATCCGAGAAGTTGAGCCCATGCTGCCTCCATCCAGCAGCGAGCCCATCCTTGTAGAGCAGCGGGCAGAGCCAGAAGAACCTGGTGCCACCAGGAGCCGGGCACAGTCTGAAAGGGCCCTACCTGAGGCTCTGCCTCCCCCTGCCACTGCCCACCGAAACTTTCACCTTGACCCCAAGCTGGCTGACATTCTGTCCCCGAGGCTAATCCGCCGAGGCTCCAAGAAGCGCCCAGCTCGGAGTAGTCACCAGGAGCTTCGGAGAGACGAGGGCAGTCAGGACCAGACTGGCAGCCTGTCTCGGGCCCGGCCCTCCTCCAGACACGTTCGCCATGCCAGTGTGCCCGCCACATTTATGCCTATTGTGGTGCCTGAGCCACCAACTTCTGTTGGTCCCCCTGTGGCTGTGCCAGAACCCATAGGCTTCCCTACCCGAGCCCATCCCACGTTGCAGGCACCATCGCTCGAGGACGTCACCAAGCAGTACATGCTGAACCTGCACTCCGGTGAGGTCCCTGCCCCAGTGCCAGTGGACATGCCCTGCTTGCCTCTGGCTGCACCGCCCTCTGCTGAGGCCAAGCCCCCTGAGGCAGCTCGGCCTGCAGATGAGCCTACCCCTGCCAGCAAGTGCTGCAGCAAGCCACAGGTGGTGAGTCCTTTGTAGGGGCCTTCAGATTGGGGCCAAAGAAGGGCCATGGGCACCGACTTCGGTTGGAGCCTTTTGCATTGTATTCACTGGTCAGGTGCCCAGGTGCCAAGGGTGCTTTTCTGGTCCTGGAAGTGCCTGTGCAGTTTTAAGAGTTGTTAATGACACAGGGCTCCTGTCTACTCAGGCCCTGTAGAAGCTTCAGTTTTCTGCTGGTGCTAATGGCAAAGGGTCTTGTCTGCTCCAGGTGTTCTGGGTGGTAATTACAAAGGATTCTTATCTTGTCCTTTGGATGTTTCTCAGGGACTGGTTTTGGAAATCCCTGTGTGGTTCTTTGTTGGAGGGATGAGTGTGATGGCACCCAGCGCAGGCTCAGTCCTTTCTCTGAGGCTTGCTACTCTGTTGGCCAGACCCTTGATAGGATGTTTGGCTCAGGGGCCACAGTTGACATGGGTTTGCCCTTCTTCGTGTGGCTTTCCTGTGACAGGTCAGAATATAGATGTGTTCCTGGGCCTGGGAGAATTGGGGAGGTACAAGGCTTTACTTTATGGAGGAGCAGAGGGGGCTCAGGGTTCTAACTGCAGTTCTGTTCTTGCTGTGTGACATTGGCCTTTCTCTGTGACTTAATCTCCCCAATCAGGGGAGATAGGTGGACAAACTAGTGCCTATGTTTCCATCCAGCTGGTACTGTGCAGATTTGGGGGAGCCTGCGGTTTTGAGTTGGGGACTCTTGGGGCCTGAGTTCTGCCAGAGCCTCCTCAGATGAAAAAAGCTTCTAGATGGGGGCTTCTAGGGGAGGATAGAGGCAGGGAGGGGGCTGCAGAGGCTGGGCAGCCAGGGCCCTTTAGAGAGGTCAGGAGTGGTTCTGGGCCCCATATTCAGGGCTGCCTCTATGGGTCTGGGGGGTCGGTTCTTGTTCCCCCATCCTGTCTGCTTGCATCTTTTCCCCACTCTACCCCCTTCTTGGTGACTCTGAGATGCACCCCGTTTCTGCCAGACCCCCAGCCCTGGGGGCTCACTCTCCCTGAGACCCCTCCTTCTACCTTCTGGCTTCAGCTATCCCTGGAGTTTAGGCTGTGGATTCAGATGGGATCCAGATGGCATATGCCCTGGCATCTGGGTTGGGAGCTAGATTCCAGGCTGTGGATTCTGAGCTGAGCTCAGCGATGGCCAGTGGTTACTTCAACTGTGGCCTGCGCTCCCACTGCGCTCCCTGACTGTGTGAGAAGCCTGGAAATTATAAACCCTGGACTGATTCAGTCACTCCCTTTCCCAGCACTCTCATGGCCCCTCTGAACTCCCTTTCTCTTTGTTTCTCTCTCCTTGTCTCCAGTTACCCCTGGTCCTGGCTCTGGGGTTTCTCATGGAGGCTGCAGAGAGAGCAGGCAGGGAGTGGGGAGCGGGGCGTTTTGAACCTGTCCTTCCTTCTGAGTCCCAGTGAGGGCAGCTCCGGTGCCCCTGAACTCCAGTGCCAGTTCTGAAGGTGGGGGAGGGGAGGAAGACAGCAGGTCCAGTTCTTGTCAGGGGTCTCCTCCCCAGCCTCCTTTCCCATATATCTTTTCTGGGAGCCTTGAAGGCTCAAATGGGGGAGAGGACAGGAGTAAACCAAGGGACTCAGGGAGACTGAAGGTGGGTTGGGGGTGCTTCTAAGAGAAGGCTTTGAGACCCAGAGAGGAGGTGGGAGTTTACAGAACTTCTCCTGCCCCACCTCCCTTCACATTCTCCTCTACCCCCCACCCCTTTCTGGAGCTCTGAGGCGGGACAGATCTGCCATAACATGGGCTTCTCCCTGCCACGAACAGAGGCCTTCTCTGATCTCCAAGCTTTTGCCCACTCCAGGCCTCTCACTTTTCCAGGCCCAGCTTGATGTCCCCTTAGGGGGAGGTAACTGGTGAGTCTGTCATTAGAAGAGCAGGGTGTGAGCCTTGCTCTTCTGATCCCTGTGTGGCCTAGGATCCATCATATCCCTGCTCTGTGCCTCACTTCCCCCTTCCATAAAATGGGGGTAATGGCCTCTGCCTGGCAGGCTGTCTCTTGTGGTGAATGGGTGGTGTGATCATTTCCTCTCTGGTAGCAGGAAAGAAGAAAAATGGAGGCTGCACTGCCCAGCTGCTTCTCAGCCACCAGGCTTGGCTTGTGAACACAGGGCTGGGTCCTCGGGGGCCTCAGTATAACCTGGTGGACTGCAGTAGCCTCTGAGAACATCCATCATCCTCCAATTTCCCACACCCTCATAAAGCCTGGAAGTTCTCCCATCTGCTAGCTTGAACCCCTCCTGCTGTCCCCTTCCTTCTGGCTCCCAGAATATGGGGAGCAGCTGTCCACCCCCTCCTGGTGGCCTCTGTTGAGGAGACAATGTTCCCTTGTTTCAAGCCTGAGGCTCCAGTCATGCTCCCTGGGCCGTGGGTGGAGATGGCGTGGTATGGACTCCAGAATAAGCAGAGACGAGAGGAGCTGTCATTCTTTGCTTCTGGCAGTCCCTGGGGACTAAGGGGATGCCCCCCGCCCCCCAGGCTGTAGGGAGTCCTTCACCCTCAGGTCCACATTCGTGCTCTGTGTGGTGTTGCCCCCATTGCCGGGAAGTGGGAGGCCTGGGGCCAGGCCTGGCTCAGCCTTTGACTCACTCAGACCTGGACAGAGTCATCTTTGTCTCTCAGTTTTCCCATCTGTACAGTGGGAGGTTAGACTGCCTGGTCTGTGAGGCTCAGAAGGAGGGAGTCAGCCTGCAGGGGGTGTCAAGTGAAATGGGAGGAGCCAGCGGTGTGGCTGGAGGGGAGAGAAAGGCAGCTGTCTGCAATAGCTGCATGAACCCAGGAGAACAGGGAGTAACAGTAGCTCATGGGTCATTTATTCCAGGAATGCCTGTCTGTGTGCCGGGAGGTGAGGAGGCAGAGCTGTCAGGCCTCCCTGCCCCGCCCCTCCCACACTCTTGTTACCTCCACTGAGGCCCACTGTAGCCTGGTTGGTCAACAACTCTTCCTGTGAGGGAGAGCTTCCCCCGCCCCAGCCTCAAAGTGCAGAGTCTTGCAGTCCCACCTTCTGCCCTCAGGTCCCTGATACCCGTTTGACACATGCCACAACTGTAGCCCACAGCAGGGGGTGACTTGTCTCTCAGCATCATAGGCAGATGAACTCACGAAATTTTAACATACTGAAATAGCAGTAACAATGACGAACATTTATCAAGTGCTTGCTATGTGCCAGACACTATCTGTTTCATTCTTCAACTGTGAAAGCTGTGGATATCTTACAGTGCAGACTTAGAGTCGAAGACTGTTGGATTCACCCTGAATCCTAGCATATCAGTGTCTTAGAGGTGAGGGGTCCCAAGGAGATTGGCCTGCCATCTGAGTAGCGGGGACAAGTCAGCAGACAGTTGGGAGTGTCACCTCCACATCCCCAACAGCCTGAACACTTTCATAGTGGTTATTTAATTCACCAGGGCCTGGGGTTGGGATGGGAAGAACTTTGAGACCCAGAAAGGGAGAATGCTAGGTCTAAGGTCACACAGCAAGGGCGGGCAGAACCAGGCCCATGCACCAGGACCCTGGCCTTGTTCCTCTCCACTCAGACCCCCTCCCTACCCAGCCAGCTCCCTGCCTTGCTGATGAAGGTCTGGCAACAGCTCTTCTAGTCACCCTTCTTTCTCCCCTTTTGGCGGGGAACCTGCGGGGGTGGAGGTTCTCTCCTTCCCCTCCTTGGCTCTTTGTGTGATTTTTCCATGGAAACTGGTTCTGGGGGGAAAGGAGGAGGTGATTAGGACACTTGGAATTCTGAGCGGTACCAAATATCTATAATTAAATGTCTTGTCACCCAGCAGGAGGGGGTGAGATGAGGGAGGACAGGCAGAAGGGCAGCCCCTTTCCTCTGTTTATTCCTCACATCTCCTCCCAACTCCTTCCTAAGGGCCTGGGCTCTTGGGGGGAACACTGTCCAGGAATGAGTCCTCCCCAGCGAGGAAGGGTTGGGGGATGGACTAGAGTTGAGTCTGACATTTTCCAGCCCCACGTTTCTGGGACCAGCTGGGTTTGGGAGGCGGAGAGGCTGCTGCTAATCCTGTCCCCAGCCCCCTCTCCCCGTGTAGGGACTTACCCCTCCTGCTTCCCTCCCACCCTCCCATCTGTGATCTTTCAGGCTACACATTGCTGCCCCAAAGCAGGGTGGAGGCACCCCCAGGCTTCCTGGGAGCCGAGGCACACAGAGTGTAGGATCTAGAAGCCAACTCGAAGGGGCTTAGGATGTTGAGGGACTAGCCTGGAAACTGGCCGAGGGACTTCCTAGAAGAGGCTCTGCCTAAGCTTGAGCTTGAACACTGAGCAAGAGGGAGAGGCTCTATGAAGAGGGCACAGCATGAGCAGAGGCTAGGAGATGGAAAGAAATATGGCAGGTTGTGTGCAGTAAAAGTTTGTTTCAGAGACTCAGGTGGCCTTTGATAGGGTAATGCATTCATCCATTAAACAAATACTGTCTGAGCAATAAGACATGTCAGGCCTTCTAGGCCTGGGAATACAGCAGCAAACAAAACAAAAGCCTGTCCTTGTGGAGCTTCCAGACTAGGGAGGAGGCCTGTCTGTAAATGGAGATATTCTGTGTCAGGGAGTGGTAGGGTCCGAGAAAAAAATAAAGCAGGATAAGGGAGTAGAGAATGACAGGGTGGGGTACTTTAGATCAAGAGATCAGGAATGCCTGTCTGAGGAGGTGACATTTGAGCAGAAGCCTGGAGGAAGTGAGGGAGCAGGTCAGGTGGCTGAGGGAAACAGCATTCTGGGCAGAGAGGAACAGCAGATGCAAAGGCACTGAGGTGGTTGAGAAACAGTCAAGAGAACTGTATGGATGGAGCAGAGAAGTAGAAGATCAGAGGTGGGTTAGGGTGAGGAAGATCATGTAGGCCAATAGGAGGACTTCAGCACATACTCAAAGTGAGATGGGGCAGGTGCTGTTGGAAGGTTCTGAGTGGAATAGTGGCCTGGTCTGACTTAAGCATTCACAGGTCTGCTCTGGCTGCTCCATGTGGATAGATTGCAAGGGGCCAGGTGGAGGCTGTGAGGCCAGTCAGAAGGCTGCTGGAATAATCTGGACAAGAGATGATGGTGGCTTGGGCCCAGGCAGAGATGGTGGAGTGGTGGGTTTCTGCTGCAGCCCCAGGGGCTCCTCAAGGGCCTGGACCCCAATGTTCAAGGTGAACACAGAGCTACAACTTCTCACATGGCTGGGCAGTGTGTGAGGGGTCACTTAGGGTGGGGAGGTGGAGTTTGAAAAGTCCCCAGGGTGGACTGGGCTTTGCGCTACACTGGCCACCCCCTGCAGACCCACATTGGCTTGGCTGAAAGGCTAGGAGAGTGGAGCCGCCACAGGGTCCCAGTGAGGCAGGTGACAGGGCCATATCCCACTGGTGTCTCCTCTGCAGCCACCATGACACCCATTTAGCTCCAGCGTGCATGTCTCCTGGGACAGGGAGCTCATGCCTCCCCCTACCCCCCAAGGTAGCCCCATCCCTCCCATCTGATCCTCCAGCTACGTGGGCATTGCCATGGCTCCAATAGTCCAATAAAGAAGCAGGCTCAGAGTGGGCAGGGTCTGCCCAAGGCCCCAAAGCTTGAGTATGGGATTTGGCTCCCAGTGTCCTGACTCCCAGACCGTACATTGGTCCCACAGAGTTCCCACTAAGCAGAGTTGGCAGGGATGGCGGTAGCAGGGTGGGGGAAGGGGGAGCCAATGTTTCCCAGAAAGGCTTGAAGCCCTGGCGTACTTACTGGGAAATGTGCCCAGGCAGCCTGGCGCCTTGCTGGCAAGCCCTGAAATGGGGGCCCTGGGTCCCCTGGGAAGCAGGAGCCTATTGGAGCTGATGTCTCCCCATGGGAGTTGATTCCCCCCATGATGTCCTCCCTCTAATTCTCAGCTCCCAGGGTCTCTGGGGCATTCTGGGGGTTGGGAGAGACAGACACAGAGGAAAACTGTCAGGCTGCTGGGCTCTGTGCAGTGAGTGAACCTCAGCCCATGAGATGCAGGGGTTTGGGGCCCCAACCACAGTGCCTGAGCCCCTGGAGGGACTTCCAGGACCCAACCCTCCAGTAGCTCTAGGGTTCACTAGGGACAGCCTGGTGTCTGTACTAGGAGTCAGGAGATCAGCTTTGCCTCACCACCTTCCTGCTGTGAGGCCTTCAATAAGTTCCATCCCCCTTCAGAGCCACAGAGCTGTCCATGCTCTTGGGCACCAGGATAAACCTCCTCCCAGGGCTGTTGGGAAAGGACCCAGTTCTAAGGAGGATCTCGGTTGCAGAATGAAGTGCTGGCAGGCAGGGACCCACCATCCCACTAGGCTGCTGAGAAGGCAGGTTCAGAGTGGTGCCGGGACTCAGGCCTGGGTCTACCCGCTACGTGCTTTCCCCACCATCGCCTCCTGCTCTAGGATCCCCCCCACCCCCAGATAGGGTCTTTTTCCACACTTGTGGCAGGCTGTGGTGCTCACTGTGGGGCCTGTCCAGAAGTGTGATGTTGCAGCTGACGGGACAGTAAACCTTTATCTGGGCCGGGCGTGGTGGCTCACCCCTGTAATCCCAGCACTTTGGGAGGCTGAGGTGAGAGGATTGCTTGAGCCCAGGGGTTCGAGACCAGCCTGAGCAACACAGGGAGACCTTGCCTCTACTAAAAATAAAAAACAGGTGTGGTGGCACAGACCTGTGGTCCCGCTACTCGAGAGGCTGAGGTGGGAGGATGGCTTGAGCCCAGGAGGTTGAGGCTGCAGTGAGCTGTGATTGCCCAACAGCACTTTAGCCTGGGCGACAGAGTGAGACCTTGTCTCAGAACAAAAAGCAAGAACCAAACAAACAAAACTTCCTATGGTTTCTTTCCAGTGGAGCTTGAAGAAGCCGCCAGGCAGGAACAGGGTGAGAGGGGAGGGCAGAGCACACCCGAGGTGGGAAGACCTGTGCTGATTGCAGAGGTCTAGGTGGTGTATTAGTGTCCTGTTGCTGCAGTAGCAAACTACACACATCTAGTGGTTGAAAACAACACAGATCTCCTACTCTCCAGTCTGGAGATCAAAAGTCTGAAGGGTTTCACTGGGCTAAGATCCAGGTGCTGACAGGCCTGCCCGCCTCTGGCGGCCCTGGAGAGATCAACGCCTCTGCCTTTACCATCCTCTCCTGGCTGCCAGCACTCCTTGGCCTGTGGCCCCTTCCCCCATCTTCCCCAGCATCTTCAAATCTCTTGCTCACCCCGTACCTCCTTCCTCCGTCTTTTTTTTTTTTTTTTTGAGACAGAGTCTTGCTTTGTTGCCAGGCTGGAGTACAGTGGCACGATCTCAGCTCACTGCAACCTCCACTTCCCGGGTTCAAGCAATTCTCCTGCCTCAGCCTCCCAAGTAGCTGGGACTACAGGCATGCGCCACCACATCCAGCTAATTTTTGTATTTTTAGTAGAGACGGGGTTTCACCATGTTGGCCAGGATGGTCTCGATTTCTTGACCTCGTGATCCGCCTGCCTCGACCTCCCAAAGTGCTGGAATTACAGGCGTGAGCCACTGCGCCCGGCCTCCTTCCTCCTTCTTTAAGAACCCTTGTGATTCATTGTGTTCTTAAAGCCTACCTGATAATTTGATAATCTTCCCATCTCAGAATCCTTAATTACACCTGCAAAGTCCCTGTTATTATGTAAGGTGACATATTCACAGGTTCTGGGGATTAGCATGAGGATGTAATGCCAGGGCCATTATTCTTTCTACTGCACAGATAGGCAAAGGACCAGGCTGTTGGTTCCTGATATTCAGAGTCCCCAGCTGGTGCTGGTCCCGGGGCAGAACCTTCGAACTCAGGCCCACTGCATTTAACTTGCTATTTCTTTCCATGTTCATTTGTCATTCATTCATTTAGCAGTCAATCATTGAGCTCCGTGTTGGGCAGTGGGGACACACGGGGAAAACTTGGACACCATCCCTCCTTGCCAGGAGCTTTCACCAAGGATCCTAGCCTCCTGAGGTGGGTGAGGTCCAGAGGCAGGCAGAGCCCAGGCCTGGTGGGGCAGGGGCAGAAGTGCCAATGTGTTCCTGGGGCCAGGCCTGGCTTCCAGAGGTGGCAGGCCATAGTTTTGCTGACTAGAAGTGGGATGAGGCCGCTCCCAAGAAGGGCAATTGATAGGAGAGTTTAAATCCAGGGCAAGGAGGGAAGGTGGGCACCTAGGGAGGGGGTGGGAGTCACGTCTCTGCCAGGCTGCCCCATCTGAGGGCAGAACTGAGAGCCCAGCGGCAGAAGGAAAGAAACCCCATGTTCTGGGAGCTCCATGTGGGAATTGGTGGCATTGGTGCTGTCTGACCAGAGGAACTGTCAGGTCCCTTCATCCCTGAGAGGCCTAGGGAGGCTTCAGGGAGGTGGCATGTGGAGGGTAAAGGGTGCTGTCCAGAATGCTGTCTCCCCGCACGCTGGCTTTCAGACCCAGGCAAGCACTTACCTACTCCCCCGAGGCTGTAGTCGATGGGGGCAGTATCCCCTCACTCCACAGAGGATTATTGTTAAGATTATTTTGTTTTTCGGCCGGGCGCTGTGTCTCATGCCTGTAATCCCAGCACTTTGAGAGGCCGAGGCGGGCGGATCACAAGGTCAGGAGTTCAAGACTCAGCCTGGCCAATATGGTGAAACCCTGTCTCCACTAAAAAAAAAAAAAAATTAGCAGGGCGTAGTCCTAGCTACTCAGGAGGCTGAGGTAAGAGAATTGCTTGAACCCTGGGAGGCGGAGGTTGCAGTGAGCCGAGATTGCACTACTGCACTCCACACTCCAGCCTGGGTGACAGAGCGAGACTCCGTCTCAAAAAAAAAAAAAAAAAAAAAAGATGATGATGATTTTTTTTTTTTTTTTGAGGCAGGGTCTCACTCTCTCAACCAGGCTAGGGTGCAGTGGGTCAATCATGGCTCACTGCAGCCTTGACTTCCTGGACTCAAGCAATCCCTCCCACCTCAACTTCCCAATGAGCTGGGACCACAGGCATGCGCCATCATGCCTGGCTAATTTTTTTTACTTTTAGTAGAGGCAAAGTCTCACTATGTTGCCCAGGCTGGTCTTGAACTCCTGAGCTCAAGTAATCTTCCCGCCTTGGCCTCCCAAAGTGCTGGGATGATGGACATGAGCCACCGCACCCAGCCTACTGCTGAGATTAAGTGAAAGCATGCCAAGAGGGCTTGGCACACAGTAAGTGCTCAAGAAATGTTACCTCCTCCCCTCATGACTGAGATGCTAAGGTTTTATGATTCTAAGATTCTTGGCTGCTGGGCACCTCTTTCCAGCCGTGAAGCAGAAGACAAAGCTCTAGACAGGAAGGCAGGTTGGGGCCTGGCTACAGTACCCACATAGTCAGTGGCTCCGAGCCTGGTTCTCTGGAGGTGGGGAGGAGGGAGAAACCGGGGCTGGAGGCTGAGCCACATGCCCACTGTCCTTGCTCCACTCACCAGCTCTTCTCCTTTTGTTACCACCAGCCCCACCCTGTGACATGTCCAGGATAGCTCAGCCCACACGGGGAGGAGAGCAGAGGCAAAGCCCTCTCTGCATCAAAGCTGCCCCTCACTGGAAGCGGCCTGTGAAGTGGGGCTCAGTGAGTCTGAGTGTCTGTATGCCTGGTGGGCTTTGGGTTCAGACTGATAAGGGTTAAAATCACAACTGACTCTGACCCCTTGCCGGGTGATATTAACAAGTCATTGGATCCCAACTCTGAGCCTTAGTTTACTGCTCTGTAAAATGGGGGCACTAAGGCGTTATTATGAGGGCCAAAGAGAGAATGCTTGTGGAGCGCTCAGCCCTGGGCGCTGGCTCCAGACAGCTCTCAGAAATGTGGCCACTTAGTGTATGCTTTTGAGATTGTCATTCTCAGAGTCTAGAATCCTGTGGTTTCAAGATGAAGGATTCTGGGTTCTTTTCCAAGAGTCCAGACCTCTTTTTTATTTGTGATTTTGAGATTGTGACTTCTTGGTTCTGACATCCTGTGATCCTGAGACTCTGGGGTCTGGAGAGGTGCAGCAGGTCGGGGGCCAGTGGGAAGGCAGTGGGGGCAGTGTGATGGAGGGGCCAGCCGAGGGAGCAAGCACAAGGTTGGTGTCTGTTTCCTGTTTATTGGTTCCCAGGGGGTGAGCAGGCCCTGCTCCCGCACAGCGCTGTGGAGCAGGAAGCGGGGAGGCAGAGTTCCTGGCTGCCAGCCAGCCCCACAGCCGGGCCTCCAGGGACTGCTGGGACCCCACTCCCCAACCTCCTGGACAAACATTCAGTCCTTTCCCAGGACAGGGCACTGGAGGTTAAGGAGCAGATGTGGAAGGGAAGGGGTGGATAGATGGGGAGGGACGCCTTCCCCCAATAAAGGTCCCGATAGCTCCATCTTTCTTAGCTGCCTGAATCACTGAGGTCTCACTCTGGGTTTCTTGGTATCCCCCGCCTTTCCCTGTCTCCCTGGGATGGGGCCTGGTGATGAGATGTCCAACTTCTGGGCAGGCCAGAAGGGCAGGAGGAGGAAGAAAAGGGCCAGGGCCTTTAATGCCAGAACTGTCTACCTGGAAAGACTCTTAGAAACCAGCCATGTTTTCTAGCCTTCCTCACCCCTGCATCATTCAGATGGGGAAGCTGAGGCCCAGCAAGGGGCCTTGCCCAAGGCCACACAGTAGTGGACTAGAGCCAGAAATCCCCCCCATGCATCTCACCATTGCTCCAGCCTCACACTGTAAGGGGTCACTGAGAGTTCTTGAGAAGTGCAGTGACGTGGTTCACCTGGCATTTTAGGGAACTTGTCTGAGCCAGGGCAGGAAAGGGAAGCCCCTGTATGTGTCTGAGGCCAAGAGGGGCAGGGAGGTCTCAGTTTGACCAGAGCACCTGGGGAGAGGCTCTGTGTGGGCAGGAACCAGGTTGAAAGCCTCAAGTGCCGAGTTAAATGGCCTGAGCAGAGGGGCTCCCCTCTGCCAGCTCCCCTCTCCCTTTCTGGGAGAGGAAGGGCTGGGAGCACTGCCAGCTTTGCACATCACAGTATCCTCTGGTTGTGAGGTGATGATCTGACATGAGGGTGCGGGAACATGAGTAGCCTGAGCTTAGGTAGCAGAGGATGTGGAGCTGGCGAGGGGAGAACTGACTGGGAAGACAATTTGGAGGCAGAATCTGGGAATTCGAATTTAGGTTCAGGGGTTATATCAGAAACAGGGTTGGGGGAGCGGGACTCACTTCTTGTCTCGGCAGAAATTTCCTCTGCATTCTGAAAGAGTGAGGTGGCTGTGAGCCCTGCCTCTGTGCCCAGCAAGCCTCCTGTCTGACCTCAAACCCTCTGCTCCAGTGGAAGTGCCCTGCCTCTCAGGGGGGTCCCTGAAGAGCCCCAGAGCTCCAGGCCACACCTGCAGTCTGGCCCTCCTGGGAGAGGCCTAATGGAGGGAGCATGGAAGGGAATGAAAGAGCAGGCTTGGGCTGCCTTGCTGGCTCTAACCTAAGACAAGTCCCTCTGCCTTGGTTTCCCCATCTGTGAAGTGGGAGTCCTCCAGAGTCCAGCAGAGCTCTAGAATATGCAGGCTTTTGGGAACTGAGGGAGAGGGACTGGTAGGTCCACAGGCAGGCATCCTTGCCAGCAGCCCTCGTGGTGGGTCCTGTAGTCAGAGACAAAGAACCTTGTGATATTTGTACCCTAGATCCTGAGACCAGTGCTATTCTGTGGCCCCGCAGCCCTGGAGGCCTTCCTGAAGAAGAGGAGAGCCGCGCTTTAGGGAGAGGAGTGCCTCACACTGGGGGCCTGAGCGGAAAGCCTGCTTCCCTGTCAGATGCCTGAGCGCCCTCCCAGCTCCTGCCGCTCCTGGGCCCCTCCTCCCCTCTGGCCTGGACCCGCCACTTCCAGGCTTCTCCCCAAGGCCAGCGGGGGCGTTGCCTGGGGCGGGTGAGGAATTTCCGAGGGAATGGCTAAATTCAGCCCCAGCTAAAAATAGTCCCGGGCCTGGCCCCAAGGCTGGTGGAGGAATAGGAGAAGGGTGGGCCCGGCCTGCCCCATCTCATCACCTGGACGTGGTGCCTGGGCAGTGGAGGGTCTCTGCTGGTCCCCTGGGCATCTGTGTCTTTGTTCCAGCCACTCGCACCAGGACTTCCTCTCATGGAGGCTCCCTGCTTTCTTCTCTCCTTCTGTCCTCTGTCCTTCTCCCTGTTCTCCTCCCTGGGTCTTGCTCCTCTTCCTGTCTCTCATCTCCTCTGACCATCTGTGTCACCCTGCCTCCCTTTAGAGAGCCAGACAGAGACCCCTGGCCAGGGACTGGTCTTAGGAAAACGGCCGTGTAGGGCAGAGTCCCCCTCAGCTTCCCAGCCCAGGTGTCAGGAACCGCCTCTGTCCCAGGATACACAGTGATTGCAGCTCCTCTCTGCTTCGGAGGTAACAGACCTCTAAGGCTCTGGGATGTGGAGATGTGGGTGGGAGCCCCCAGTTTGCCCCGTGACCCAATGCTTGATTCTGGTCGGGTGGATCCACCCATGCCAAGCCCTCCTGTTCCTGGCACGAGGTGGAGCCTGGGTACACGTTTATTAAATAAATAATGTGGGGGAGGCAGGAGGAGGACAGCTGAGCCCTGCCCTGGGGGAGCGCCCAGGCTCCTCTCAGCTCCCCTTACCACCCATGCCTATGCCTAGCCCTATGTTGCTGCTGTCCTGGGGACCAGGCAGGTGGAAGCTGGCAGATGGGCAAAGGGTGCCGTCCCGAGTCGGCACTGATTGGGGGTGGGATGGGAAGCAGACACAGGCCCAGAGAAGGTGAGGGTGCTTAGCTCAGGTCACAGAGCCCAGAAAGAGAGAGGTGGTATTCAAACCAGGATAGTCTCACTGGGTTGGAGTTCAGACCCAGATGGTCTGGCTCCAGAACCCGTGCTTAGGCCCCTGGCTTTCAGGACTGCCTGAGTTGGGGGCAGTGCCATCATCAAGGTGGGCACAGAAAGAAAGGGTGGATTTTGCTTTGGACATAGTGATCCTACTGGATTCACAGTCCATGGTCTGAGTCCCAGGAACCAGCACATAGTAGTTGCTCAGTAAATATTAGTTGAATGGCTCAGTTGCACTTGAGAGGCCCTTGGGGAGTGGGAGGAGGTGACAGGCACAGAAGGAATGAGTGTTTCCTCCCTTTATGGGCCCAGGGACCCTTCTCTTGGTGCTGGAAAGCAGCTGAGGTGGGTGCTGGGCTTTCTGCTGGCGGAGAGAACTCAGCCCAGGAGTTTGGGAAGGTGGAGAGATGGGCCACGGGCAGGTGAAGGGGAGACAGGCAGGCCAGGCAGTGCAGTGCAGTCCCGTTTGCAGTATCTGGAAAGCAGATCTCTTGGGCCATGGCCGGCGTGACTCAAATGGAGACAAAAAAACCTTCCATATTTGGACAAAGAGCCCAGAGAGGCCCAGACCCGCAGCCAGCCCAAACCTCCCCCACCCCCAGCCTCCTGCCCTGTCTCCCTCTGGGCCCCTAGCCCTGAGTCCTGTCCCATGAGTTGAACTCTTGGGCCTCAGTCATCAGGTCGCTTCCTGTGTGGCCAGGCCTGGGCTGTGGGTGCTGGGGAAGAAATTTCGTTCCAGGGCTGGGCCCTGTGCTTGGGCTGGAGATGTAGAGAGGAGCCCTGCTGGAGCCTGCGGGCTGGAGGGGAGCACACTGAAACCAACAGTTCCCACACTGTGGGGTAAGCTGACAGCAAACCCCCACCCATCTCAACACAGGCAAAGCTTGAGGAGCATCGCATATAGGCATTGTACACACACACTCTCTCTCTCTCTCTCACTTTCTCACTTTTCAATCCCCAGCAGATTTCCATACCCACAAAGACATCTGTACAGATATCAGGAGTGAGGACCGAGCCTGAGACCTTCCCTGGAGCAAGCTTTGATGACAGCAAAGTTGGAGTAGATTGGGGCAGCCAGATGTCAACAAGTAACATAAACAGGCATTATCCATCTGGAGAGATGTGAACAGAGCAATTTGCTCCTGTACCACCCTCTGAGTGTCCAGCAAGGGGCGGGGCTGGGCAGTGGATGCCAGAGCCTGGTGAGTGGGGAGAGGGCCTAGGCCGCTTCCTGCCTGGGAGCAGACCTTGCTCCCATGGGACAGCCCAGCCATTTGACTGAGAACCGGGGTGTTCACTGTCATTGGTGGATTGACTGAGCCCTGACTGCACAGATGCTTCTACCTTTTCTAACTAGTCTTGGATAATTAACGCTGAAATAAGCTCTGAGTGGCGGGTTGGGGGAACCCAGGGGAACCTTTAAAATTCAATTGCACTGTGGCCCACTGGTGCCTGTATGTGCAGGGTTAGCATGGGGGCCGCAGGGTGAAGGAGAAGGGGTTCCTGACCCAAGAAGCCCCATCTGAGAACTGGGGGTCGAAGGAGGCCAAGAAGGGTGAGGGCAGGGAAGGCTAACTTAGGGCAGTGGCTGGAATCTTGAAGGACTAGCCAGACCTTGACAGGCAGAAATGAGCCAAGGCCCTTCAGGGAGAGAGAACTGCAAAGGTAGAGGCCTGTGATGGAGAAGCCCTGGTGTGTCTGGGGTACCATGAAAGCTCCCTGGTTCTGGAGAGGTCAGGTGGGCCCCGGGAGTTCCTAAAGGCCAGGCCTAAAAGCCTGGACTTGATCCCAGAGTGGTAATTTCCAAGCTCACGGCTGTAATCCCAGCACTTTGGGAGGCCGAGGTTGGGAGGCCGAGGAGGGCGGATCACCTGAGGTCAGGAGTTCAAGACCAGCCTGGTCAACATGGTAAAACCACATCTCTACTAGAAATACAAAAATTAGCTGGGCCTGGTGGCATACGCCTGTAATTCCAGCTACTCGGGAGGCTGAGGCAGGAGAATCGCTTGAACCCAGGAGGTAGAGGTTGCAGTGCACCGAGATTGCACATTGCACTCCAACCTGGGCAACCAAGAGTGAAACTCCGTCTCAAAAAATTAAAAAATAAATAAATGAATAAAAATAAAAATAGTGGAACCTTTTCTTCTAGAGGAATCTTGACACAGAAGTATAAAGCAGGCTGATCTCATTGATTTAAGTGAAAGTAGGGTCATGTCTGCCCCCTGGACCACATCTCACGCCATGTATTTCCATGGAGCTTTCAGGACTCAGTCAGGAAATCTCTGTTGTGGAAAGAGGGAAGCCCTCCCTGATGGGAGGCGTTAGAGTGAGACAAGCCTCTCCCTTCAGTGTCTCTGCAGGCTCAGAAGGGCAACCAGCCAGGCTCCCTGGGCAGGGGTAAACTCTGTTGGGGGCCAGGTCTCCAGACGCAGCCAGGATGATGGAGCATACCACCCATCCTTGGTGCTCCTATGAGCAGGCAGCACCTCCCACCCGGGGCCTGGAGCTGGCTGGGCCCCACTTGATCAGAAGGACAAACTGTTGGAGTGGTGGGAAAATCCTGCCTGCCCCCTGCTGACACCTGGAAGGACACAGGCCCTTTGAGGGAGGTAGGAGCTGGCAACCAGCTACGCTCCCAGAATGTGCACCCTGTCTCAGCCCAGCTCAGTCACACTGACAGTGGACAGGCAGGAGCACATTCTCTAGAGGTCCAGGAATCGTCCTGACTCCTGTAGGATGAGTGAATTAGGTTAGAATCAGGAAGGAATTCCCCAGAGTTTGTAGTGTGTAAAAGGAAGAGTATGAACAAGTGTTGGCAGGAGAAAGACTGAGCTCTGAGGCTGGCAGGTCTGAGGCCCTTCAGGACCTAGGCCTTGCCCCGCTTAGTAGACCAGCCTGCCTGGTCCACCATACAGCCTAAGCTCCCACTTCTTTGGCCACGAAAAATGTAGAATGAGTAGGAAGTTGCCAAACATAGACATAGGAAGCCACACCTGGCAGAGAGACCAGCATGTGCAAAGGGCCCAGGGTGTAACAATGCGATGGGTTGGAGGAACTACTGTGGCCAGAACATGATGCAGCCAGACCGTGGTAAAGGTGGGGAAATTTGATGCTGGTGAGTCAGCAAGGGCCAGGTCATTGAGACTCTCGGGGGACAAGTACTTGATCTTACATTCAGCTGGGTTAGTGTAATGGTTAGAACAGACTGAAGCCAGATGGCTTTCTTCAAATCCTGCTCTTCCTCTTAGTTTTGTGGATAGTCCTGGGTAATTATTCATTGGAAAAGCTGAGTACTCACGTGTTAGTACTTAGTCCCTCTGTGGCTCAGTTTATGTACCTGTAAAATGGGGATGATGATGATGGCACCTATTATAGGGTTATGGTGAGAATTTGATGTGATTATGTCTGTGGTGGCTGGGCTGGACCACAGACCACTGGGGATCAGTGGGAAGCCGTAAAACAAGTTGGAAGGGAGGGAGGGAAGTGACCTAGCTGGCTGAGGAAGAGCCCCAGGGATGGAGAGAAGAGGATGGGGTCACTGAGAGTAGCCCAGGTAATCCTCTTTGGTAGGGGGATGAGCTGAGCTCCCTGAGGGAGGCTTGGAGTTCCCCACGGGCAGCTGTCCAAAGGAAAAGAGTGGGGCTATGCAGGAGGGATGGGACTCTGCAGGCTGGGGGCTCTGCCGGAGTTTTGCTAGCAGAAATCCCCACCTTGCTTTAAAGTTGCCCATCACTGACTCTGGAGCAGCTGGTCTGTGTTCCTTGCCATACAGATGGGGGCCCAGAGAGGGGCAGGGTTGCCAGAGTCACCCAGTGACTTCTGACCCCAGGACCTTCCTCCAGGCTGGGGACTCACTTTGAAGCTCAAAGCCCAGCCCTGAGGTCGCTCTACCCAAGGCAGGGGTTGAGCGTTTGGCTTGAAGGAGGAATTGGACAGTTCTACCCCAGTCTGAATGTGATTTGGGCAGGGAGGGCTTCCTGGAGGAACACCACATGTGAGACTGGAACTGTCCCAGAGGAGACCAATGTGGAAACAGAAGAGGGAAAGCAAAGACAAAGGCTCCAAACTTGGGGCTCCAAGGCAGTGCCCCCTGTTCTCTGGTGCAGTCTTCATTCAGTGGGAACCTCGTCCTCTGTATGTAGGCTGGGAACACAGGTGGTGCCCCAGCTATGAGGAGGCACAGACTGAGACAGGAACATCAGGCCTGTGTCACCAGGGCAGGGTCCGGGCTGGGGCAGAGATACTCCGAGGCCAGGGGAGCCCAGAAGGTCTAGGAGAGAGAGTCATGGAGGGAGCCTAGAGAGGCAGGATGGAGAAGGAAGAAGAGGGGTGCAAAGGCTGTTCAGAGATGAGACGTGAGGCTGGAGTGGGCAGCAGGGGCCTGATTGCAAGGTGAATTTTTTAAATTAAATTTATATATTTAATATTTTGAATAGATGATATATTCACATGGTTAGGAAAAATCCAAAAGGATAAAAAGTCTCCTTCCCACCTGGCTGCCTATTTCCTACCCTGCCTGACCCCAGGCCACCCAGCTAGTAGTGTCTTTGTGAATCCTTTTATCTGCAAACACCAGCAAATTCATCATCTGTTCCCTTCCTGCACACAGATGGTAGCACACCGCTTTGCCCCTTGCTCGTTACACTTAATGTCATTTGCAGGTCTTGCCTTATCAGTATTTTGAGAGCTTTCATATATATATATATATATATATATATATATATATATATATATATATATATATTTTTTTTTTTTTTTTGTATTTTGGGTTTTTGTTTTTTTTTTTTGAGACGGAGTCTCATTCTGTCACCCACGCTGGAGTGCAGTGGTGCGATCTCAGCTCACTGCAACCTCTGCCTCCCAGGTTCAAGCAATTCTTGTGCCTCAGCCTCCCGAGTAGCTTGGATTACAGGTATGCACCACCACGCCCAGCTAATTTTTGTATTTTTAGTAGAGATGGGAGTTCACCATGTTGGCCTCGCTGGCCTTGAACTCCTGACTTCAGGCGATCCGCCTGCCTCAGCCTCCCAAAGTGCTGGGATTACAGGCGTGAGCCACCGCATCTGGCCTCATATTCTTTTTTGTACTGCATGGTGTCCCATTTTGCAGAATACCAAACTATGCAACCACATATTAACAGGTATTTAGGTTTTTTCAGTCTTTTGCTGTTACAAACTGCTGCAGTGAACAAGCTTGTTTGTAGGTCATTTCTTAGGAGTGCTAGGATACAGGGTAAATGTGATTCTCATTTTGCTGCTGTCCATGGGGGTCTGCCATCAGCAGTAGGTTAGAGGCCCATTTCCCCACAATCTCACCAACTCAGACCTTTGGGTATCTTCCCAATCTGATAGGTCTCAGTGTATTTTAATTTGTATTTATCTTATAATGAGTAAGGTTGAGCATCTTTTTCTATCTCCAAGAGACATATGGATTCCCGTTTCTGTGAATGCTTCATATCCTTTGTCTATTTTTCTGTTGGGTTGTTGGCCTTTTGTTTTTATCAGTTTCTAGGAACCTTTTAAATATTAGGGAAGTTAGTTCTTTGTCTGGCATATGAGTTGCAAATATTTTTTTCCTGATTTGTCACTTGACTTTTGACTTTGTTTATATTTTTACTATGCAGAAGGTTTTGTTGTTATGTGTTCTACTTTATCAAGCTTTTATTTTATTGCTTCTGGATTTGGAGTCATAGTTAGAAAGGCCTTTCCCACTCCAAGATTATAAAGTAATTCTCTCATATTTTTTCTCTGCTATTTTCAGTTTTCTTGTTTTATTTTACATTTAATTCCTTGATCGGTTTGGAATTTATCCTGGTGTGTAGTATGAGTTATGACTGCAACTCTTTTTTTTCTGGATGGTTGGTTTTAAGGTGAGGAATGACTTGGTCAGAATCTTTCTAGGGTGGGTGTGAAGGTCAGCTGAGGGGATCGAGGCTGTGGCTGTGGAGGGGCAGGGGCAGAGGGATGAACAGAAGGGCCTGGAGTGGCACCAGATAACTTGCTGGGCCCTGGAAGGTGGCATAACATTCCCAAATTCCTTGTCTGTACTGTGTGACTTTGGGCAAGCCCCATCCCCTCTCTGGGCCTAGATTATCATAGCTGGAAGAGGCCCTGGACATCGCCCTGGCTGTCCTGGAGGTGGAGGCAGAGAGTAAGACTGTGGAGCTAGCGCCCACTCAGGCTTGGCCCAAGAAGATGGAGGGCTGGCAGCAGAATTCACTGTGTTCCTGGAGTGGGCAGGCAGGAAGGAGGAGAGGGGCAGGCACCCATTTAAAAATGCCCACTGCAGCCTGGCACAGCAGGTGGGGGTGGGGGCAGGCCCTCTGCCAGCCCTCTGGATCCAGGAAGGCCAGGGGTTTCTAGGGGTGGGCACATTACCTGCTGTCTCAGCACTGTGGGCCCAGCTATTACCATTCTTGGGGATCCTCTTCTCCCTACCGTGAGGCAGGCACCCTTGTCCTCTCCTTTAGAAAAATAGAGAAGCCAGAGTGGACAGACCACATCCCCCAGAACCTAGTCCTGCCACTACCCTGGACTTGCTGTGTGACCTTGGATTGAGTCCCTGTTCCCTGGGGTCCCTATCCATCAAAGGGAGCACTGGCCTTGTCCTGGCTGTGTCCCATACCCCTAGCCCTTACCCATGTCTCGATTTGGATTAGAGGTAGAGAGATCTTAAGGCCCATGCCTCTCTCTCCCTCTTTTACAGATGGGGAAACTGAGGCCATGGAGGGGACCCTGGACCCCTGCCCTGCATTGCTCTTCTTGGCTTTCCTGGGCCCCTGGACCTTCCTCCCTGGCCCCAGCGTAGCCTATACCACCTCCCCTCCCCCACTCCTGGGCCCCAGTGGTCAAATTCCAGGGCTGTCATTGCCATGGCAACAGCCAGTTCACAGGGCCCCTCCTCTGGGGTTCTCCACCAGTCCTGTTGTCCAGGGAGGAGGCAGAAAGGGCCTCCCACCCCTGGGGGCCTGGAGGGTTGGGCGAGGGGGAGTGGGGGGGTGCGGGGGGAGGAGGTCAGACTCAGCTGGCTTCTCATTTGTTTTCCAAAGGAGAAAATGGAAAAGGCACAAAGTGCTGCCAACAAATGCTACTCTGTTGTCCTGGAGAGAGAGAGGGATAGAGGTGGTCACCTGGGCTGGGGACAAGAGAGCCACCTGGAAAACCTCTCCCAGCTCTCACCTGGAGAATCACCCCACAGAAGCATCAGAGCCCAAAGGATTTTTGAATGGGAGGTGGAGGAAATTTCTTCCTGAGGTGACTGCTGTCCATTTCTAAGGCCACCCAGAGACTGAGGGGTCCAGCCCAGCATGGCTTTTTCTCAAGCAGACATGCCCATAGTGAAAGGAGCTACCATGGCCCCATGGGAGGGGGAGCTTGTCAGCCCTGCGGATATGCCAGCGAGGGCTGCCAGGGAGGCCTGCCATGGAAGGAGGGTGCTTAAGCCAACCACTGACCCCTGAGGGGACCTGCCCTCTGAGATTCTGGTTATTCATAACAGCCAATATTTGTTGAACTCATGCTTTGTTCTGGGCACTGTGGGAAGTAAGCCCTCTATATTCTCTACTTTATAGATGGGGAAACTGAGGCACAGATGTGGTCTTCTGGAGGTCGGGAAGCCATCAGTGGAGAGTGGTCTCTGGCTCTACCCCTCTACCCACCTTTGTCCAGGGCCCCTGCCCACTGTTAATGTTCTGGTATATTTCCCTCCAGGCTTTTTCTCCGTGTGTGTGTGTGTGTGTGTGTGTGTGTGTGTGTGTGTGTGTGTGTGTGTGTGTGTGTATTTTAAATAACATTGAGATGGTGCAGAATGTATGCTTCTTGCTTCTTTCATTTGATGTTATACCCAAATACTTCTCCATAGCATTTCAAAGATTTCAGTAAGTGCATGAATCTCTGGGCTTTCCTGTGGTTGGACCTTGAGGTTGTCGCCAGTTTTCCCTGCTGTGGAAAAGGCTGAGTGGGCGAGTGGGCGTCCTCATGCTGGGAGCCTGGGCTGCTCCCGGGGTCACTCCCTTAGGCTAGAACATGCTCCTCTCTCCGGGTTCCTAGATAATCCCACACCTCTTCCTTCTGGGGTTCCTGGGGGGCGGGAATCCTGTCTGCTTGAGAGACCTTGAGCAAGGTACTTAACTTTTGAGCAAGGTCCTTAACTATGCCTCATCATCTTCCTCTGTAAAACAGGGTAATAATAGGGCCTACCCAGGAGGCTTATTGTGAGGTTAAAATAATACCTGCAGAGCGCTTAGTAAGCAGCGCAGAGGAATCCCTCAGGAGATCTTCTCCTCCTGGTTTATGCTTTTGCTCTCTTCCTGTCCTCAGGCCCAACGAGGTTGTGTAATTTGCTCACAGTCCCACAGCAGGTCAGTGCCGGCACTGAGATTTGGGCCCTGGCCCCACCAACCTCTTTGTCTTGAGAACCTAAGCACACATGACTTCTCACTGAGCCTTGCTTTACCCACGGAAGAGCTCATGAAATTAGGCCCTGGAAGTGTTTTGTAAACTCTAAGGTACTGGGTGGTTCCACTTATTGCCAATAATAATGACAAGACTAGAAAGACCCTGAGTTTTAAAGGCCGAAACTCTAGAAGTTCAGAGGAGGGGAGTGGGCAGGTCTGTGCTACCAGAAAGACTTTCTGGCGGTGGTGGCCTTGTCCTGGGCCTCAGGAGAGTATACCCTGGGTTTGGCTCAGGCTGACCTTCAGCTGTGAATCTTATCCACTGCGCACACTTGTGCACATGCACGCGCGCGCGCACTCACACGTAACTATCGCTGTCCAGGCATTAGGGCTGGTCACCATTGGTGGATAAATTCAGTAAGGCCTAAAAGCCCAAGCTGCTGTTGGTCAGCCAGAGGCAGAGACCACTTCTTCCAGAGGCTAGGGTGGAGGGATAATTGAACGGGCATGGTCACTGCCCCTGGACATCCTGACCACCCTATGCTTGCCTGGTGTGATGGGAGGGGGCTTCCCTCGGCTCTGGGTTATGCCAGAGTCCCCAGGGGCAGGGCTGGAGTGACCGACTGATGGGTAGAACTTACTCTCCCCTCAGAGTGTCACCCGGGTCCTGGAACAGGGTGGGAGTAGGGGAGGTAGGGGCCACAGTGCAACCCAGCTGGTTGGGCCTCTCTGGACAAGCTACAGTGGGAGAGCTCCAGAGGCCTGGTCTGGTCTGGTTCTAGCTCAGCTGACTGTCTGCCACCCTGGGGGTCATGAGACATTTCCTCTTTGAGCCTCTGTGCCCATATATCAAATGCGTAGAAATGGTCCCTTCTCTGCCTCCCTCCTTCAAGAGAGGATTGAACATGGACATTCTAAACTAATCAGTGCACATTAATTACACTGATACTTGCTTTCATTCATCCTCAAATTCACAAATGTGAACTGAGCACTTAACTGTGGGTCAGTCTCTGTTGTAGGCATGGAAGCTGCTGGAACAAGGCAGAAGTGCACCCTCCCTTTTGGAGCTCACAGACTTTGTTATATGTCCCTTAGTACCTGGGCAGCTTGCCTGAGTGCAAGCCTGACATATAGTAGGTCTTTCAATATGCCAAAAAGGAGGCTGCTGATTGGGGAATTAGCACCAGGCAGTTTGGTCAGTGCCCTGGTCTATAGCAGGGATAGGTCAGGGAGGGTGGAGGACTTAAAAGAAACTTCCAGGAAGAGGCAGAGCATAAAAGTTAGATGGCGTTTAAACAGGGCCAAGAGCAAGGAGGGCAGCCCAGGCAGAGGAGCAGTCTACACAAAGATGGAGAGGTGGGGAGGAGACTGGGGTTGGACAGTGGTGAAGAGACCAGCCTGGCTAGAGGAGAGGCTGGGAGGTCACACACGTAGGCTGCTGGGGGCTGATTGCACTTCAGGCTTCCCTAGGTCTCTGGTGGCATGAATAGAATTTCTGGCACTATGGTAAGTGGGGAAGACAGCCTCTTTTGGCTGTGGGGCTTCAAGAGCCCCCAGGATTTATCTTCAGCCGAGGCAGGCTCTGGCCCCCTCCTTCCTGCCTCAGCTCCTTGGGGCTCTGGCTGAGGCTGACCTGGCCTTTCCCAGGGTGCCTGGCCCACAGCCCAGTGAGTCATCTTCTGCACCAGAGGCAGGACACCCCATCCCACCGACAACACATGACTGCAGCCCTTCCCCCTGCTCCTGGGTCTGAGGGAGGGAGAGAACAAGAGGGGCTGGAAACAGACCCTGGATAACTTCCGTTCCCACGATCCCAGCCCCCCTGCAGGCTGGGGAACTGGGTGGAGGATAGGGAAGGGATCCCTGCTTTCCAGTGCTCTGTGCAGGTCAGGAATCAGAGGCTGAACGGTGGTGGTCCTGGGCCACAGGGCCTGATTCCCTGAGCACTGGTCTGGTGCTGAGCCAGTGTTAGACATTTTGAATGAAATAACTTTTAGAGCTGGGAGAGGAGGGCCCCTGGAGGTCATCTCATTCATAGGTTTTAAGCCAGGGCTGGGACCACAGGCCAGGCCAGTATGTAGGCAGAAGTGTGCATAGGGGAAGGTGGGTGCATTTCCTGGGAGCCCTAAAGCAGGAGTTGCCAGATTTAGCAAGTCCTACCTACCCTAAGGCCTCATGGGATTACCAGTGGGGTCCTTCTCGACTGCCAAGGGCAGGGCAACCTCCCCTGCTCAGACTCAGATGTGGGACCCAGAAGATCTGGGTTCTGGTTTCTCTGCCTGTAAAATGGGGGTGACAGTCCCAGCCTCTTGGGCTGAGAGGATGATTGCATTCAAAGCTTCTGAGCTCCTAAGATGTTTTTCACATCTGTTGGGGGTCTGTCTATCCATCTACTTCTCAAGCCCCACCTCCTGCTTCCCGCTATTATCCATAATGAGAAACTTTTCCTTCCCAGCCTGGAAGGTCCAGCTGTATCTTCTTGAAATTGGGAGGGAGGGGGGCGGATCTCAGAGAAGAAAGAAAGGGAAAAAACCCACATTAAAAAAAAAACCCACCAGTTAAATTCAAACCACATGCACCACAGCCCCTGCCATGTGGGCCTCTGCTGCCACCTGTGGGCGTCTGGTGGAAGTGCAGTTCTTGGGGCTTCAGCTTCCTCACTGGAGCCATAGGCTTAATCCTGAAGCCTGAAATCAGGAAGGAAGGTCAAGCTGTCCATCCTCCACCTCTGAGCATGACCTCACCCCCACCACCTCTGCTGCCAGGAAGCCTGGTGGGGAATTTAGAATCCATCTACACCTTCCCTTCTCCCCCATTTGTTTACAGAGGGGGAAACTGAATCCCAGAGTGGAGAGGAATTTGGCTAAAGTTGCAAAGCAAGACAGTCAATAGATAAGTATTGTACACCTACTGTATGTCAAGAGACCTGGTCTCTGCTCTTATGGATCTTCTGGTTGTGGAAAGCAGGGAGCAGACATTGAGACCGTCCTATTTCCATCTAACTCCCAGCCATCCATGGAAGAGAATACAGCCTCCTACCTTCTCATTCAAGGTGCTCTGGGCTTGGCTTGACTTCTTGTTAATGTGCTCTGTGACCCTGGTGAGGTCACTCAGCTTCTCTGATATGCCAGTTACTTGGGGTCAAATCCCAGCTTTGCCACATCCTGACTTCATAACCTCAGGCAAGTTGCTTTGCTTCCTGGAGCCTTTGTTTCCTCATCTGTAAAATGGCCATAACAGGAATACATAACTCAGAGGACTGGTGTGAGGACTAAATGAGATAATACATGAGAAACAGTGCCTCACTAAACATTAGCCAGCTGTATACATGAGCTCCCACCAAGGATACAGTGAGCACACCTCATTCCCAGAGGTCTAGGAGGGGGCTGGGAGCGCAGTGGGTACGGGGGTCCCTTCTGGGCTAAGAGTGCACCAGCAAGGTTCAGCAGTTAGAAGTCGGGCCTGAGTCCCAGCATAAGGAATGAGGGCTACCACCTCCATCCTCCTTTCAGCCAGCAGGGACAGTTTCTGGAAGGAGTGGTGAGGTTGGAGTCCCAGCTGGACCCCTCTGGGGCAATAGATGAAATCTAGCCTGTGCAGAAATCATCCCCTTCCTTCATTTCTCCTGTCAGCATATGAAGGACCCTGGGTTCACATTCCGTCTCTTCCACTCACTGCCTGTGTGACCATGGCTCCTCCACCTCCCTGATCCTCAGTTTCCTCAGCTAGGCACTTCTCACTGAGAGTCATGCAGTGTGGTCGGATAGTGCTGGGCTGGAATTACCTTGAAGGCATCCTCACTCACAAATTGGTGATTAATGCTGGCATTTGGCTGGACCTCATCTGGCCTGTCAGCTGGCATACCTACACATGGCCCCTGCATGTGGCCTGGGCTTCCCCACAACGTGGAGGCTGGGTTTCAAGAATGAGCAAGCCAAGAGAGCAAGATGGAAGCACATGGCATTTTTATGACCTAGCTTTGGATGTCACATAGTATCATTTCTGCTGTGCTCTGTGGTCAAGGCAGTCACAAAGCTTTACCCAGCTTCAAAGGGAGGGGACCTGGACCTCGTCTTTCTGTGGGAAGAGTCAATACCACATTGTAAGAAGAACATGTGGGCCAGGCGCAGTGGCTCGCGCCTATAATCCCAGCACTTTGGGAGGCCGAGGCAGGAAGATTGCTTGATCCCAGGAGTTCAAGACTAGGCTTAATCTCTAAAAAATATTTTTAAATTAGCTGGGCGTGGTGGTGCGCACCTGTACCCCCACCACTCAGGATGCTGAGACAGGAGGATCGCTTGAGCCCAGGAGTTTGAGGTTGCAGTGAGCTGTCACGCCACTACACTCCAGCCTGGGTGACAGAGTGAGACCCTGTCTCAAGAAAAAAAAAAAAAAAAAAGCATGTGAGATGATAGCTATCTTCAAAACATACAGTCTACCTGAAGATGATTATGAGGAAAACAGCTCATTGTAGCCTTGACATCCCAGAGCTCAAGTGATCCTCCTACTTCAGCCTCCTGAGTAGCTGGGACCACAGGTGTGTGCCACCAGGTCTGGCTATTTTTAGTATTTTTTGTAGAGATGAGGTCTCCCTGTGTTGCCCAGGCTGGTCTCGAACTCCTGGGATCAAGTGATCCTCCTGCCTCAGCCTCCCAAAGTGCTGGGATTACAGGCGTGAACTACCACACCCAGCTATTTTTTATTATTATTGAAGTGACCCCTTCACTTTCAGTCTCTGCCATTGAACCCTATGGACCATCACCCTCACCAGTTGTGCAGTCACATGTCCACAGAAGACCCCAACAGGAGTGTACACAGACACACAGAGGAGTCCACACAGAGAGGACACAGGTCGTGTCACTCATAATCCCACCCCAGGTGCATACACGCACCCACCTAAGCAGGGCACTGTCCCCATAGCAGGAAGATCCTGAGGCTCTAAGGAGCTCTCCTTCCCATTCCCAAAGCACATTCCCCAGAATTATGGAGCCCACCCTGAGCAGCCAGTCCCCAGGGAGCCCTGTGGCTTGGACACTTCCCTTCTAGCTGCCTCAGAGGCCTGGGAACTCTGTGGAGCCTTGAGAGGCTCCTCTTTCCAGAAGAGAGGGTCTCTAGGAAACAGGACCTGACCAGGGAAGGCAGGGGGAAGGGAGGAGAGGAGAGAAGATAGGGGGATGGGAAGAAGACAGAGTCCTCAAGCAGGAACAGATGGAGAGACTGAGGCCCCAAGAAGTGAAGTGTCCTGCCCAAGGTCACTTCCCCAGTAAGTGGCCAAGCCAGGATTTGGGATTGAGCTTTCTGGCTCCAGGGCCTGCCTTCTTAATCTCTCTACCCAAAAAGTCCCTCTTTTGGAACTTTCATCTCCTTGATGAACTGAGCACCTGAGGAAGGCAGCGGCTGTCAGGGAAATGGATAGCCCATTAGGTTGGGAACATCCCGTACCAACCCTATGCTTGTGGACTTTGGTGGGGTCAGGAGCATCAGACAGTCTGTGTGGGCCATTCGCCAGGGCCGAGTTCCCAGGGAAGAGGATCTTCTTTGACTCTAGCATTGCCTGTGGATGGCAGTTTGTTTACCACCTAAACCTTCAGGAGAATCTGTTCATGTCACTGTCTTGGAACAAAGGAGGCTGAAGAAAGGCAACCACCACACCAGGGAGGTGGGGGTTGGGGGAGCCCAGCTGTGTGCACCAGGCCAGGGGAGGTGGAGTGGGGCTCTCCCCACTGGGGAGAGGGTGGGGTTTAGGAGCCTGGGCCCTGGAGGTGGCTGGTAGAACTGGGTTCTACCTCTTACCAGCCAGGTGACCTCTCTGAGCCTCAGTTTCCTAGTTTGTAAGAAGGGAGAGTAATAATAATAGAGTTCTTGATGTGGGGCTGCTGTGGGGATTAAAGGAGCCAGGACGTGTAAAGTGATGGTAGGGTGCCTGGCCCCTGAGAATTGTCCAAACAGCATTAGTGGTGTGGCAATTCTGAGATTATGGGGTTCCTAGTCTTCCAGTTTGGGCAGCTCTGGGGCCCAGGCACTCTCTTGACAAAGATTTAATAGGGTTGTGCCTCCACTCCCAGGAGCCTGATGAGGCCTGCTGCCCCAGTACCGGCATTTCTCCTTCACCACCTGCATCATGCTTGCCATTTCTTTCTCAGTTCCTGTCTTCCTGTGTAGACTGTGGTGCCCAGTAGGGCACAGACCTCTTTCCTTACCTTTAAATCCCCAGCACAGTGCTTGGCATCTAATAGGTGCTCTATAAGTATTTATTGAACTAATCAACTAATGAATAAAATAAAAATGCAATTGATTACTCATGCATTAAACCATGTATCTGTGGATTCATTCATGTATTCATGACTGTCATTGATCTGTTCATCCATTAATTTATTATTTATTCATTTATCATGATTTCATCCTTTCATCCTTTCATTTATTCAGCCATTACCGGTTATCTGTCCATTTGTTTGTTCATCCCTGTGTCTAGCCTTTCTCATCATTGGTCCCATTTGGTCCAGCACCAGCTGGAGGACCAGGTGGCCCCCAGGTGGACAGTGCCCAGATGCAGGAGGTATGGGTGGGCTCAGACTGGGTGGTGTGTCCAGAGGCAGGTAGTCAGGGTATTGGGATTCCCTCAGAGATGGGGAAGTTGTTAGCAGATTGGGCAGAAGTAGGGAGGGTTAGGTGCTCCCCAGGGCTGGTAGAAAGGTGGTCCCACAGACTTGGGACCCCCAGCCTGCCCCTCCTGGAGTGGGGTGGTACTCTTGTAGAGCAGAGCCCTTTTTCCCCCTCTCTGTCTTTCCTTCTCTGACTAAAGAGCAGGTGAGAGTGTGGCTCTTTCATGGGAGAAGAGGTGTTTATGGTTGGGTGTGGGGTATGGAGAGGAGGGCTGGGTAGGCCTTCACCAAGCACCCTGTATACTTACAAAAACTCTTCTGAGCCACACTCATTCTATACAACTGCACATACCCCAAAGG
This sequence comes from Homo sapiens, assembly GCF_000001405.40. Taxonomy (NCBI): domain Eukaryota; kingdom Metazoa; phylum Chordata; class Mammalia; order Primates; family Hominidae; genus Homo; species Homo sapiens. The sequence continues at coordinate 73,339,988 of NC_000011.10, forward strand.
AGATAAAATCAGCACTCAGAACAGGAGCTCAGAGGAACAATAGCAGAACCAACCTGCATAGGGGTACCGTGGCCCACCTGGTGCCCTCAGCCCCCACCCCAACTGACCTCATCCTGAAGGGCTCTGATGCCTGTGCTGTTATGGGGCCCTCCCTGGACACCCTGCCTCAGCGACCAACCCATGTGCTCCTGTTCCTTCTCTTTGCTTCCTTTCATCTCCCCGAACCACCAGCCCCACTCCATTGCCAAGACAATAGGCTTGGATCTAATTAGTCATCCTTAATGAAGCAGCAGCAGCAAGCAGTGCCTTTGGCACCAAGTCCCGCCCCCTTCTTGGGGGCAGGGCCTTTCAGTGAACTCTGTCTTCTGGGCACCCATATGCCTGTGGATCTCTCGACCTCAGGACCTTGTTCTTGCCATGCCTCCTCCAGGAAGCCCTCCCTGAATACTTTCCCCTGAAGCAGCAGTGACTCCCTCTGCTGAGCCCTATGAGAAAAAGCCCTGTGTTGTCTGGGAGCTCCTGGAGGCAAACAAGGGTGGACTGATCTCTGCAGGGCCCCATCCCACTGGAACTAGTGAGGGAATGGATGCACGTCTCTAAATCCTGAGCCACACACTGCCTCTCAGCCACTCAGAGGAAGCTGATGCCCAGGGTTGTGTAGCTTGAGAGGGTCAGATGAGGGACGAGGTGCCCTGAGAGAAAGCCAGATGTGGGTTAAGTATCCTCAGTGACCAAGCAATGAGCCAGGGATGGGGCCTTCAGACCACCACTCTGCATGTGCTGTGGGACCTGGATGTCTGGACTGGATCACAGGCCTGTCCATCCTCCCTTTCAAGCCACCACTCAGTCAATTGGTCTGGCTGTTCCAGACCCCCTGCATGCCCAGCCCTGGGAGGAGGAAGAGGAGGAGCAGGCTCCATCCGCAGGGAAGCCCACAATCCATCCAGTTGGGAGGGTAAGAGGCAGAGAGCTATTCAGGCTGGTCTGCCTCTCAGTCAGTAACTGCTGGGCATGTGGGGAGAAGGGAGGAGGAAGAGCTATTGGGGGCTTGTTTATTAAGCCAGCCTTCCTTATAAGTGCCCTGGCTTACAAAAGGGACAAGGACGCTGCCCTCAGGAAGCATATAGTCTCCTGGGAGGAGACGGGCCTCAATCTAGTAATTGCTTAAATGTATATTTACGAACTGCCATACATGGTTAAGGTAAGGAAAACTGAGAGCCTTTAAGAGCAGAAATTAGATGCACATGACCTAATCTGAGGATCAGGGAGGGCTTCCCTAAGGAGGTGACATTTGCACTAAAACTGGTATTTTTTCTTTTTGAGATGGAGTTTCGCTGTTGTTGCCCAAGCTGGAGTGCAATGGTGCGACCTCAGCTCACCGCAACCTCAGCTCACCTCAACCTCCGCCTCCCGGGTTCAAGCTATTCTCCTGCCTCAGCCTCCCGAGTAGCTGGGATTACAGGCATGCGCCACCACACCTGGCTAATTTTGTATTTTTTTTTTTAATAGAGATGGGGTTTCTCCATATTGGTCAGGCTGGTCTCGAACTCCCAACCTCAGGTGATCTGCCCGCCTCAGCCTCCCAAAGTGCTGGGATTACAGGCGTGAGCTACCGCGCCCGCCCGAAACTGGTCTTAAAGGAAAAGAAAAAGCATTACTAGGAGAGGGAAAAGGCATGGGCCAAGACCCTGAGGCAGGAGAGGGCATGGTCAGTTTCTGGAAGTTAAAACGGAAGTGGCTGGAGCACATCAAGCAAAGAGATGAGAGGAGTCGACAGATGGGCCTGGCTTGAGCTATGGGGTCAGGATGTCCACTGTGCAGGAAACTCAGGGGAAAGCAGGTTTGGGAGAAGGAGTCAGCTGGGGGCTTGGTGAGCGTGGCAGCGTGCAGCACACTAAAAGGCATGAAGTTGGCCAGGGCTGAGGCACAGCTGCAGGGTGCTTCAGAGCCCCCCCATCTTGCTGGGTGGGAGCTGGTGCAAAAGCAGGTTGCTCGCCCCCACCCCTCAGTCCAGATTGAGTCTAGGATAGGTTCTGCTGTCACTCTGGGCTTTCAAGCAGCACGTTATGAGGATCCTGCTTGGAGACAGTCTAGGGGTGCACAGTCTAGGTACGGGAGCACAGTCTAGGGGTGGGAGCACAGTCTAGGGATGGGAGCACAGTCTAGGGGTGGGAGCACAGTCTAGGGGTGGGAGCACAGTCTAGGAGTGGGAGCACAGTCTAGGGGTGGGGCGGATGGACAGGGACAGGACTGGAACCCTCCAAGATGGTCCCAGGTATAGGACACAGGACAAGCTGGATCCGGGCAGGGGTAGGGATGATTCAAGGTGGGTGATTTGAGTGATAGCTGCCCTCCTTCAGGCCCAAGAGCTCCTCCCTTGGGTGGAAGACCAGGGATGTGTATGTGTGCACATCTCTAAATGTCCGAGCCTGGACATATGTGCCTGTTTCTGCTGGCAATAGTTATGTAAACACAGAAGCACTTGTCTGGGCGCAACGATGGATCATGTTCGTTTCTGTCAAGGTTCAGGTCTGTAAGGGACTGTGTTGATGTGGGTGCACTTGGCCTGACCCCCTTGTGCATACGGGTCCAGGCCTGAGGGCAGGTTTCCATGAACGTGGCCTATTCCGTGTAGGTGTGTTCGTGCCCCTGTGTGTGTCCCGTGCTCCGTGGCTCCTCGGTGGGAAGCTGCGTTCAGCGTGTGCCGGCGCTGGGTACAGGTGCGGACGGAAAGTACATGTCGGCGCCTTTGTCCACGGGTGTGCGCCGACTTGTGTCCTGGGGCGGGGGATGGGTCCGTGAGCGGACGCTGCCGCGTGGGGGAAGGGGCGGGTGCGAGGGCAGCCCAGAGCGTGCTGGGGGAGATGGGGCGGCGCGGAGAGGGCGGGGACCCTCCTCCCCACAACGGGGCCGCGCGCGCCTGGCTCGCCGGGCGCACTCCCAGCGCGGAGGAGGCAGCAGCGCCGCCGGCGGCCGGGCCGCAGCGCTCAGATCGACGCTGGAACTGACCACCGCGACCGCCACTGCGGCTGCCGCCGCGGCCGGGCTGAGCCCTTAGGGAGCGAGAGTGGGAGGCGGCCCCTGACTCCGCGCTGACCCCCGCCCCCCGCCCCGCCGCCACCCCGGCGCCCCCGCCCCAGCGGCTGGCCGGCCGCATGCTGCAGATGGTGAAGACCCTGGCCCAGTTCACCATCGCGCTGGAAGACATGCGCGATATGGGCCCAGCCGCCGCCTCCGGGGAGCCTGCCGGGGGCAGCAGCACTGACGCCGAGGAGCCTGGGGAGGCCCAGGTACGGGGAGGGGGAGGGGCAGCCAGGGACCTGGGCCATGGCCTAGAACTCAGCCGACCCAGGAGCCAACCCAGGAGACGGTGGGGGGAGGGGAGGCATGGGGCGCAGGGACTCTCTGTGACCGGGGATGGAGACCTGGAGATTGCCGGTGAGGAACCCTGGCAGGCGGTGGTGTGGCTGGCAGGGCGCTGAGGGTCAAGGCCTGGTGGCACTCCGCTTGCAGAAGTGCCTGTAGAAGCTGAGGCTGTCGCCAGTGTTATCCTGGGTCCACAGGCTCAGGAAGGAGAGGTTTTCCCAGCCCTCCTCTTAGGCTTGAGGTGGCCCTGGTGTATGTGTGTGCTGGAAAGTAGAGTCAGTTTTGCACCCCCACTGCCATCCTCTCCCTGCCGCTGGGCCTGCTGGCCCTTGGAGGAGTCATGCTGCGGTGGGAACAGCAGCGTCCCCGTTCTCGCTCAGTGTGTGTACCCCTGCAGGGGAGGGGAGGCGTCTTGGGGCTGTTTCCCTGTCTTTGTGTGTCTCTGGGCCTGGACTCTGTGCCATGCTCCCGGCCCCAGTGGGGGCTGTAATTCTGTCCCCTCCCCGTGCAATGATGTGTCTCTCCACAGCCTCAAGTCTCTGAGCTGGCGGGCCTGGTTCTCAGCTGCGTGACCTGGCTGCGTTTTTTATTTCTGTGTGGGGCGGCTTGCCTTTATGGCGTCTCTGTGTGCGTGTCTGTCTTCACACTGTGCCCGTCAGGGTTTCAGTCTTTGGGTTGTGATGCCCCAGTCATCCCAGGAGTGGCCCCCTCTGTCTTCCTGCTGTATCCCCCAGTGCCCACCTCAGTGCCCGGTGTAGCGAAGGTCTGGGGATGGGGCTGGTGAGGGATGAGGGGTGCTGTGGGGAGGCTGGGTGTGAAGGGCTGTTCTGCCTGGAACAGGTGGGCCTGCTGTTCAGGCTGACAGCTGCGCTGTCTGCCTCCTGCCTCCCCTGTCCACCCCCGCAACCCCCGCACACTACACCCGTGGTGGGCACGTGTAGAGGGCTGCTCGCGCAGTGACAGGGAGCTGGCCTTGTTTTCTGTGTCTTTACCTGACAGCTGAGTGACAGGCCGCTGTGCTCTGCCGCAGGGAGGAGGCTGGGAGAGGCGGGCATTTGCAGCGTCAGCCTCCCCGTGTCACCCCAGCCTCCCGGCATCAGGCACAGCGCCAGCCCTGCCTCTCAGGAAGCCTCCCTGACCATGACCATTGTGGTGCCCGCTGGGCCTGATGGGCCGTTGTGTGGGCGGGGGAGTGTGGCTGAGGGGCCCAGGGCCGCGCCTGGCCTGGCCCTGCTGTCAGGGAGCTCCCCACGCCGTCTCACTGAGGGGGAGAAAGGGTGGACACTGGTGACCTGCTGCGTGTGGACAGAGCTGCTCTGCTCGCTGCCGCCTTTGCCTTCACGGTGATGGGAGGGCGGGGTTATTAGCTCCATTTCATGGAAGAGAATGTGGAAACAGGGCCATTAGGTGACACCACAGTCACACAGCCAGTAAGGGCAGTGCTGGGGACCTGTGGCCCGTGGCTGCCCAGTCAGTCTGGGCGAGAACTCCAGGGGCTGGGGCCCTGAGAGTCATGAGGTGGCTGAAGAGACCCTGGTCCTTGCTTTGCCACTCACAGGCTGTGTGATCTTGGACAAGTCATGTCACCTCTCTGACATGACCCCTCACCTGTGCAGTGGAAATGGCAACACCTGTGTCACAGAGCTGAGTGTGAGGCTGAAGCAAGACCATGTCTGTGGGGTGCTGAGATGTCCCTGGCGTGGGGTAGGGCAGGATTAGGCATCTGGGCCTGTCCTCGGGAGGCCTTCCTGGCCCTCCACGCTCTCCCAAGTCTCCATCCTACAGTGAGCCTTGCTCGCACTGCCTCCTTCTGGAAGCTGCCCTGGTTTTTTAGAGGTCACAAGAGTACCGAGGATAGATGGTCTGCTTGTCTCCAGAGGCTCTGAGGCTCTGGTCTGCTGTTTCCGGAGGCCCTGAGGTACCTTCCCACCCGTCAGAGCCCAGGGCTGGCAATGGTGGGCTGGCAAGGATGGGGAGAGCCAGCCCCCCTTCCTCCCTGCCCCAAGGGGTGTCCTTCACACCCCCACCACTGAGTTCCTAGCATGGGAGCTCACTTTTCTGAGTGTGCTTCATTATAGGACACTGTGGGGACAGGCCTTGCCCCTGAGTCCCTGGTCAGAGGGCAAGGGATCTGAAGTGGGTGTGCCACAAGCAGAGGGGGAGCAGTGGCTGGGTCAGGCAGGACAGGCCTGGGCTCAGGTCCACTAAAACATGAGCCCTGGGCATAGCAGTGACCAGGACAGCCCCACTGGTTGAGTTCCTACCCTGAAGGACTAGAGGTGGAGGCTGGAGGGATGCCACAGACATGGACACCCTGGCATTGCCATCTGCACAGCACTTGCTCGAACCAGTAAGCCTTGATGGCAGGAACCCGAGATACGGTCCACAGATGCTCAGGCCAAGCCGAGACCTGGGAGGGGAGGGGAGAGAGGAGAATAACCCAGAGATCTGGAGCCTAGAGGAGTTAGGGGCCTTGCCCAGGATCACTCTAGGGCTTTAGAGGGGTCAGGAGTGGAGTCTAGGGGTCTAGGGCTTGGAGTGGAGTCTCTGCCAGAGAAGGGAAGTTGTTGGGGCTGGTGCTATCTGGGAAGGCTTCCTGGAGGTGGGGATTTTGAGGGGAGAGGTGTAGGGACTGGTGGAGAGGAGCAGCAGGTAAGTTCAGTCCCAGGGGCTGAACACAAGGCATCCCAGACAGGGATGAGCACCCTGTGCCTGGGGGTGTGGGTGCAGAGGCTGTGTGACCCCTTGGGGACTCAGTAATTCAGGTCATCAGATCCATAGGTTGGAGGCATCGGTGTCTGGGTTTCCTTTTTCCCCTCCCTAACATGAAGAGAATAATAACATATACCTCACAGGGTGGCCAGGATTATTGAATAATATGTCATGCTTAGAACAGTGCCTGGCGCATAGGAGGGCATAGTTAATGTTTTTAAATGACAGAATTGGGATCCAGCCTTGTCTGAGACTGGCTGAACCCTGATACTGCCCAGCTGTGTGACCTTCAGCACTGACTTCCCCTCTCTGGTCCACAGTGTCTTCCTCTGTAGCAGGGTGATGGTGTCTACTCTTAGGGATGGTGGGCAGCCCAGCCAGGTGGGCATGTCCCCATAGCACTGAGCCTGAAGTTGGGGTCTTCAGAGATGGCAGCTGGAGTGGGTGCTGGCCTGGAGGCATTGTTCTTTGCAAATGTGAAAGGTTATTGATTTTTTTAAAGACCCTTTTTCAATAGCCTGGCAGAGGAGCCAAGAAGTGGGTGGATGGGGCAGGGGCAGAGGAGTGAGTGCCTAACTGTGCAAGGCCACGTGTTTGAGGTGTAAGTCGGGGGCAGGGGGAGCAGCTGAGCAAAGACCTGGCAGAGTGGAGGGCCTGGGGGCCTCGGGGGAACAGCCCGGAGCCCTGGGCGGCAGGAGGGAAGGGCCAGGAGGGCAGGGAGAGGGTGTGGGCGGGTTCTCTGGGCACCATGTGGCTACAGGTGATGGGGTCTGGGGGGAAAAAGACCCCTGTTCACCCTCTGCTCCTGTCCCCACAGGACATGCGGAAGCACGTGGCCATGACCCTGCTGGACACAGAGCAGTCGTATGTGGAGTCGCTGCGCACCCTGATGCAGGTGGGGCTCGGGGCCCACTCCCCTGAGAATGGCCTTTCTGAGCCTAGGAGGCTGTCAGATGGGTGTGAGCAAACCCCTTTCATGGACAAGGGACTGAGGCCAGAGAGCCGTGTCCCTGGCATCCGTCGCCTTTCCATGAAGAACCCCCAGCATGGCCATTCCAGAGAAGGAGGAAGGCTTCTCCCGGGCAAGAGAGAATGCAGAGGGGCCAGGCCACCCCAGGGCAGGCGTCCCTACCCTGCTGTTCTTCCACGTCCCCCTGGCAACCCTGACCCTGAACTTAGATCCGTGAACTCCCTCTGATGTGCCGCCTCCATTGTATTCACTGACTGGGAAGTATGAGTTGAATAGAGTTCAGTATTGAGCACCTGCTGTGTGCAGGCCCTGTTCCAGGTGCAGGAGACACAGGAATGAATAAGAGAGCCCAGCCCCTGCCACAGGAGCTCACCGCCCTGCTGAGTACGTAGTGGAGTATACGGGCACTCTAGAAACATCGAGGGGCACCTGCTAAGCGTGGGGTCAGGGAGGTTTCCTGGAGGAGGTGCTCACTTCCACCATGACCTGTCTTCTCAACAGCAGGAATAGCACATTGCAAAGCCAAGTGAGGCCTGGCACATTCGGAGGTCTACGTGGCCAGCACAGAGCACAACGCGCTGGTCCCATAGCTATGCTGTCGGAGTCGGCAGAGGCCACGCTGTGGGGGCCTAGAACACCAGTTGGAGGCAGTAGATTCTGCCAGGGTCCGTGGATGATCAGCGAAGGGCTTTGAGCAGGGGAGGTGTGTGGCCTGATTCATGCTTCATGAAGTCTGTCTGACAGCTGGGAAGGTGGGTGGCAGAAGAGGAGGTCAAGGCCATTGAGATCCGGCAAGGATAGAGGTTACAGGAAGGGAGTGCTGGGGACAGACACTCAGGAAGTGGACTGGTCAGGCCAGGCGTGGTAACTGGTTGGTTGTGGGGGGCAAGGTGGGGAAGCCCAAGATGATGTCTGGGCTCCTGGCCTCGGATAGGTGGGGCCCAGGGGAGAAGCACAACTGGAGCAAGGTGGTGAGTTCAGGCTCAGACATGAACCTGGGAAGGCCCACAGCCTGGATGCACACATGGCCTGGGGCTGGATGAGTGTGGACCTGAGCTGAAGTGGGGCCTGGCAGTCACCATTGAGGATGAATTTGCCCAAGCTAGCTGGGCAGAGTGACAGCAAAGGGTAAAGGTAGAACCTTCACCCTATGGAAACATCCAGAGCATTCACTCACTCACCATTCATTCATTCATTCACTCACTCCACAAATCCACGGTGAGCCCCTTCTGCGCTCCAGGTAGTGTTCTCTGTGCAGGGGCATTAGTGGTAAGGGCCTGTCTCCTGGAGCTCACGGTCTATGGCAGAGACTGACAGTGACCAGCCAGACATCAACACACAGTGGCATGTGGTGATGCAGAAGTGCACACACAGAGAACCTACACACAACAGGGATACGCCTTAAAAGGAGGGAAATTCTGACATCCTACAACATGGATGAGCCTGGAGGACATGATGCCAAGTGAAAGAAGCCAGTCTCAAAGGACAAGCACTGTCTGATTCCACTTGCATGAGGTTCCTGGGGTAGTCAGACTCAGAGATGGAAGGTAGGATGGTGGGTGCCAGGGAAAGGGTGCCAGGCTGGGAAAGGAGGGAATGGGGAGTTACTATTTAATGGGTGTACAGGGTTGCAGTTTTACAGGATAAAAAGAGTTTTAGAGCTGGATGGTCACACATTATGAATGTATTTAATACCATTGAACTGTACATTTAAAATGGTAAATTTTATATTATATGTATTTTACCATAAAATACAATGCGTTTGTTTATTGTTTTTAAAAAGTGCATGGGGAGATGAGAACACAGAAGGGGGCCTACCCTGGTGTCGGGGTCAGGGAGGGCTTCCCTGGGGTTGGGGTATTTAGCTGAGACCTGAAGGGTGAGTAGATTTCAGCAGAAAGAGCCCGGAGGGATGGCTCCCAGCAGAGGGTATGTCAGGGACAAAGGCCAGGAGGCTGGAAGGAACCTAGAGCAGCAGGGAACCAGAGGTGGCCAGGTGGCTGCAGGAAGGAAGGCTGCTGGGCATGGAGCTGGGCTTTCCTGTGCACGCAAGGAAGCCATGGGAGGATGCAGCCAGAATGCCAGGCAGGAGGAGTAGACATGGCAGGGGCCTGAGGGGGTCCTTTGCCATCCCCTAGATGAGAGTTGGAGGCATTAGGGTCAGACAGTCCAGGGTTGAAGTCACGTGCGTCCTCACTGGGTGATACTAGCCTAATCACCTCACCTTCTCTGAGCCTCAAGTTTGCCTGCAAAATGTAGCTAATCTACCTATCTCCCATCAAGAAGACTTAAAGGTGAGCCAGGCGCGGAGGCTCACACCTCTAATCCCAGCACTTTGGGAGGCTGAGGTAGGCGGATCACCTGAGGTCAGGAGTTCAAGACCAGCCTAGCCAACGTGGTGAAACCTCATCTCTACTAGAAATACAAAAATCAGCTGGGTGTGGTGGCAGGCTACCTGTAATCCCAGCTCCTCCAGAGGCTGAGGCAGGAGAATAGCTTGAACCCGGGAGGCAGAGGTTGCAGCGAGCCGAGATCCTGCCACTGCACTCCAGCCTGGGTGACAGAGCGAGACTCTGTCTCAAAAAACAAAACAAAACAAAAAAAACAAAAGGTGATGACGGCACCCATGCCTGTTCACAGGCAGGAGTCAGGAGCAGTGGAGAGCTGGGAGCAGGCAGGGCTTGGGCATGTCTTTCTACCTCCGCCAAATCTCCCAGACCCGTCCAGGGCTGCACTTGGGAGAGGGTGCAGGACCTGTGGGTGGAGGAAGCCAGAATGTTGGGTGAGCAAGGTGGAGGTGGACAGGAGGGTGTCACGTGAACCCAAAGACCGTCCCTGGAGGCAGCCCTGGAGTGTGGGAGGAGGACTGAGGTCTGGCTCCAGGTCAGGAGTATGACTCTGGAGCCAAGCCACCAGCATTCAAACTTGGCTCCATCTCCTGGCCAGCTGCATGACCCGGAGCATGTCACATAACCAGTCTCTGCCTCAGTTTCCTCATCTGTAGAGAGGGGATAATAATAGACCTGCCTTGAGTGCAGTTAATTAGAGACACATGTTTATAATTTAGCATACTGCCTGCAGCTCTGCAAGCATGGTAAAAAGTTGCATTTAATCTTTGTATTAACCTTGTGAGGTAGATATTATATTCTTTATACAAAGAAACGAAGACTCACAGAGGTTAAGAAACTTGCCCAGGGTCATCCATCTAGTGAGTGGTATTAGTTGACATTCACTGAGTGCCCACTATGTGCCAGGCACTGTTCTGAATGCTTTAGAACAGTGAGTAAATTCATATAAGCCTGACTATAAACCCCATTTTGCAGATGATGCAGCTGAGACACAGAGAAGTAAAGCTGCTTGTCCAAGGTCACAGAGTTAGGAAGTGCCACACCCTGGGTTGAAACCCTGTCATTGTGACTCTGGGTTCTCCCTGTCACCCACTAGTCTACACTGCCTAGAGCACAGTGGTATTCAAATTGAGATTGGACTCCATAGTCCCAGTGTTAACTTCGAACCATCACTGCCCTCACTAATTGATAAGTGTTGTTCCTGCAGGCCAGGTGTTCAAAATGAACAAAGAAGTTAAATAGAAGTTAGGAGCCAGAAGGAGGGAGGATTTGAAACTAGGTCCTAGGGCTACATCCCTTCCTCAGTGTCACCCTCACCCTCTGAGCCTATTTTCAACTCTGACACTCGAAGCTAACAAACGCCCCTTCCCCTGACCACCCTGACGAGTCCCCCTCCCCTTGGCACCCTGATCCCACTTCTCTTTTCCGTAGCACTCACTGTCTTCCACCATGCTGTATAGTAATTTACGCATTTATCGTGCTTCTTTCCTGCCTCCCACCACTCATGTGTCAGCCCCACAGGGGGTCTGTGCAGTGAGATGCCCCAGTGCTGGGCAGGCTGAGCATTGGTGAGTGAATGGGGCATTGGCTTGTGCCAGGTTCCGTATTGGGCTCTCAGTCATTGTTTGTTCTTTCCTCCTGCTGTGTGCCCGCTTCTGTGTGGGGTGCCGGGACCCTGAGGTGAGCGGTTTAGCTGCTGCTCCTGCTCCTTGTGGAGCAGCGGGCCCTGACCCAGCCCAGGAGCTGGCTCACCTGTGGGCAGGAGACTGCCTGCCTATCTCCTCACCATCATCCCGGCCTTTTCAGAATCCCCAGCCAAGAGAGAGGATTCTGTTGAGCTTTACTTTCTCAAGCTTGTTTTACAAAACAAGCCAGATTTTTAAAAATGTTTAATATAAATGTTATTGCAACATCACATATGCTTTTTCAAACAACACCCTCCTGTTTTTTTTAGCCTGCAGTTACAGCGTAGGGCCAGTAGAGGGCGACCTCTCCACAAGCGCACCGGCCCCTGAGCTGGGCTATTAAAGCTAGGGGAACATCTTTGCACGTAGATTTGACGTAAAATAACGGGAGTTTTAGTCACAGACTGGCCAGCAGGTCTGAAATCTGTATAACAGCGTTCAGAAAGTGTCAATAAGAGTCTCCAGTAACTTCCCATGTGGTCTCATGATCTCCCACGACCCTCCCTGCTCTATCTTCACACCATTATCGCCTTATTTATTTATTTATTTAGTCCTCAGGCTGGAGTGCAGTGGCGCGATCTCGGCTCACTGCCACCTCCACCTCCCAGGTTCAAGCAATTCTTCTGTCTCAGCCTCCCAGGTATCTGGGACTACAGGCGCACACCACTAGGCCCAGCTAATTTATTGTATTTTAGTAGAGACGGGGTTTCACTGTGTTGCCCAGGCTGGTGGCGAACTCCTGAGCTCAGGTGATCTGCCTGGCCTCGACCTCCCAAAATGCTGGGATTACAGGCTTGAGCCACCGCGCCCTGCCGCATTATCGCCTTTTAACTGACTACGAGATTTCCATATGTCATCCATTCTGAGACTCGTGGTCTTCGCGTTTTAATATCCCTAAATCAGGGTTCATTCTATAATTGGTAGCATATCATAATTTAATTGGCAACCAGTTTTTCTTAAATATAAAATAATGGCTGGGCGCAGTGGCTCATGCCTATAATCCCAGCACTTTGGGAGGCCAAGGCAGGTGGATCACTTGAGGTCAGGAGTTTGAGACCAGCCTGGCCGACATAGTGAAACCCTGTCTCTATGAAAAATATAAAAAACTAGCTGAGTGTTGTGGCGCAGACCTGTAATCCCAGCTACTCGGGAGGCTGAGGCAGGAGAATCACTTGAACCCGGGAGGCGGAGGTTGCAGTGAGTTGAGATCGCACCACCGCACTCCAGCCTGGGTGACAGAGCAAGACTTCGTCATAAAATAAAATATTTCTTAGATTTGATGAAATATGATATTTTAAAAAATTTCTTCCGTTTGTGTGTTTCATCAGACTAGATCCTAAGCTCTATCAGGACAGGGATTGTGGTCTTTCTTATACATTGCTGTCTCCCAATTCTTAGAACAGTGCCTGGTACGTAGTAAGTGCTCAGTAAATCTTTGCTGAGTTAGTGGTGGGAGGTCTTTCAAGGAGCCCCATCTTGCTTTCCTCATTCCAAGCTCTGTTTGTTCATACATTAAACAAACCTCTTCCTGAGCGTCCTTGCTCCCATCTTGTGCCAGGCCCTGGGCTCAGCGATGAGGGCATGAGCTTAGATCTTCCCATCTCCCTCCTGGAGCTCTTGGTCTCATGAGGGAGATGTGGAAGGCAGGGCGCTGAGCTGCAGGCCCGGGTGATTCTGTGTGCACTCACACAGGGGCCCTGTGTAGGTGTGGTGGGGGCGGCATCTCTGAGGGAGTGTGCACCGACCCTGTGGGTCCTTCAGGGCTACATGCAGCCGCTGAAGCAGCCAGAGAACTCCGTGCTCTGTGACCCTTCACTGGTGGACGAGATCTTCGACCAGATCCCCGAGCTCCTGGAGCACCACGAGCAATTCCTGGAGCAGGTTCGGCACTGCATGCAGACCTGGCATGCCCAGCAGAAGGTGGGAGCCCTGCTCGTCCAGTCGGTGAGTGGCCCCGCTGCTGCCAATTCCCACAAGCACAGGCCCTCCTGGAAGGGGCTGGATGTGGCCACGGACCCCACCCCCACCCATCCCACCTGGATACTGACTCTGTTTCCAGATCTGACCATAGAACTTGGCTAGACATTGGTACTTACCCCAGCCCCTGGGTGGACCTGAACTTGGACACTCCCCTACCCCAAAGCTTGGCCAGACTCTGGCACGGACTCCGACCCCAGCCAGACACTGACTCTGATCCTGGACCCTACCCCGCTCCTGGCTGGCACTGACGTGACTCTAGTCCTGACCCCAAGCTGGTGCGGACGCTGACCCAGACCTCAGATGGATGCTGGTACTGACCTCCACCCTATCTTTACTGGAACCAAAATAACTGCCCTGGTCCTGACCCTGGACTTGGGCTGGATGTTGATGCTGGCTGAGTCTTGACTTTTTCTCCATCAGATATTTTCATCATAATAGCATACCTGTTTGCTAGGCATTGTTCTAAATGTGTTGTATCTATCAACAGCCCTGGTAGGAGAGTGCGTTGGTTACCCTGATTCTAAAGATAGTGACTGAGACATGGAGAGATTGGTAACCTGATGAAAGTTACAGTTAGGAAGTGGTGGAGGACTCAACTCCAGAAAGCCTGGTTCCAGTGCCCCGGCTTCCCCTACCCCATACTGCCTCTCACCACAGGCCAGATCTCCACTGTACACTTGTCAAGCTCCCACAATAGCGAGTGAGATCTTAGAAAAGGTATTGACTTCAGAATTCAAAAAGAACATCGAAAGCAAAACCAATAAGCATTTAATTAAATGCCTGTAAAACATAGCATGCCATTTTCATTCATTGTTAAATTTAGTATTTATAAGAATTTAATTACATTTGAAAAACTTCCAGTTCCATTTTATTTTGCCAGAATTCCCAAGAATACACCATGATGACTGATAAATCATAGCCAAATGCAAACTAAATGGTTTCTCAGAGCCACATAATTTCAAAAGCAAAATTGTAAAAATTCTTGCAAAAATTTTACAAGTGAAAAATTATATCTATTTCTGTGGGATGTATGTTTCAATATATTTGCTATGCTGTGGGGTGGGGCCTTGAACCATCTTAGAATGTCCTTGCTGACCCAGAAACTGATGGGACCAGACAGGGGTGATGGGGTTCCAGCTTGGATTGAGTGCTGATGTCTCCAGCCCATCATCACTCTCAGTGTCAGTAAGCTCAGCCCCCTGCCTGGACCTTGATGCTGACCATGGACTACGGCGAAGCCCTGGACCCGGAGGGGTCAGCACAGGATGCTGTGTCCCAGGGTGGGGGTGGTTGGTGAGGGTTGTCTTCCTCCCTTTGCTTCTTCACACCCTGCCCTGTTCTGTCCAGAGGCAGGGGCACTTGGCACCTTAGAGGGACAGGACTCTGGCCGGGCGCAGTGGTTCACGCTTGTAATCCCAGCACTTTGGGAGGCCGAGGCAGGCAGATCATGAGGTCAGGAGTTTGAGACCAGCCTGACCAACATGGTGAAACCTCGTCTCTACTAAAAATACAAAAATTAGGTGGGCGTGGTGGCATGCACCTGTAATCCCAGCTACTCCGGAGGCTGAGGCGGGAGAATCGCCCGAACCTGGGTGGCGGAGGTTGCAGTGAGCCGAGATCGTGCCATTGCACACTCCAGCCTAGGTGACAGAGTGAGACTCCGTCTCAAAAAAAAAAAAAAAAGACAGGACTCTGAGGGGTACAGAAATATCACTAATGTGGTCACGTAGCTTATCCACAGTACAGTTGAGACAGGAACCCAGGTTTCCTGGTTCCCAGACAAGGCTTCTTACCAATAACCTCCATATTTAGTCCGCCATCAGCATCAAGCAGGTATTAGCCACCAGCTGTATGTCCTGCCCTGAGCTGGGCTTTACTGTGGGTGGGATGGGAGCACTTTTCATGGAGAGGGAGAACTTGTCCTAGGAGATCAGGAGAAGCCAGAGGCCAGGTGGCGTACCAGGCAGAGCTCTAGTCAGGGAAAGGAGTACTTCCGAGAGGAGGCAGAACTGGAGCACAGCCCTGAGGCGGGGCGAGATTTGGATGAGGAAGGGCATTCCTGGTGGGGGGATCTGCATAAGCAAAGGCCAAATGGCTAGAATGAGTCTGTGTCACTCAGAGAATGGGGAAAGGGAGACCTGCCTGGCTGGACTTCGTGAGGGTGGAGGTCTAGGGATGGAAATGCCCAGTTGGAAGTGAGAGAACCAGGTCTGAGCTCACAGGATACATTCAGGTCTACATATGTGCATACATGAACAGTCACACCCAGATAATATGAGCACTCGTATATCCATGTGTACACATGCACATACGCCTAAACACGACCACACTTAGAGCCACAGGACATGTGCCTGATCCCTTAGAGATTGTATCATTTCTAGTTGGAGGGAAAAGATGGTGACTCATGAATCAGTGAAAACTAGGACAGGGTGAGGTGGGGTGAGGGACACCTTGAGGGTCCCCAACCTGCCTCCTCCTCCACAGTTCTCCAAGGATGTCCTAGTAAACATCTATTCTGCCTATATCGATAACTTCCTCAATGCAAAGGATGCTGTGCGTGTGGCCAAGGAGGCGAGGCCTGCCTTTCTCAAGTTCCTAGAGGTACTGTGGGCTAGGGCAGGGGGATGGAGGTGACCCTCACCTTGGGCCAGCTTTGAGGGCCCCAGGAGCTCCCAGCGTGGGTACCATAGTCCCAGCCAGTGGGCCAGCCTCCGCTCTCAGGCTGAGCTGGAGAGGCTTGCTGGGGACCTGTCCCTGGACATAGTCTTCCTGGCATGTCATTCCTCACATGATGCCCATCCATGGGTTTCAGCAAAGCATGCGTGAGAACAAGGAGAAGCAGGCGCTGTCTGACCTCATGATCAAGCCTGTGCAGCGGATCCCACGCTACGAGCTTCTGGTGAAGGTGGGCATGGACCTGGGTGGGCAAGTGGGCAAGGCCTGGAAGCATGGGGGGATACAAGGAGGTCTAAGGCCCCTGCCTCGTTGAGCCTGACATCAGGGTCCCTAGGGGACAGGTAGGAAAGATAGTCCTCTTTGGTGTCTACCCATAGTCCCTCCTGCTCCAGCAGTCTGGGGCCCCAGGGGTAGCTAAGCAGTCAGGTCTGCTCCCCATTCCCACCCCAGGACCTCCTGAAGCATACACCTGAGGACCACCCGGACCATCCACTCCTGCTGGAGGCGCAGCGGAACATCAAGCAGGTGGCTGAGCGCATCAACAAGGGTGTGCGGAGTGCCGAGGAGGCGGAGCGCCATGCCCGTGTGCTGCAGGAGATAGAGGCTCACATCGAGGGCATGGAGGATGTGCGTGCGCCCTGCCCCACCCCACCCTACCCCACCCCACCCACATCTGTGTCCACTCGGCCTCTGTGTGCATCTGTGGCCACCTGGAATCGTGGCTGTGTCCATGTCCGGAACCACAGTGTGTTTGCATCCATGTCTGCCAGCCTCTGTGGCCACACGTCTCCACCTGTCTGTTCTTCCACGTCTGTCTCTGACCTTGGGTCCTGTGGCCTGGCAGCACAAGGGCATTGAGGGTGGGAAGCATGCTGCTTCCATTGGCCTAGCCCATGGAGTGGGGCCGAGGGATCACTGGGATTTTTGGAGGGGATAGGGATTAATAACTGGCCTTCGAGATGCCTTGTCCCTCCTGTCCCACAGCTCCAGGCCCCTCTGCGGCGGTTCCTGAGACAGGAGATGGTCATTGAAGTGGTAAGAAGTGTCCCAGTATCTGTCCGGCTGTCCCCACCTCCTCACTTTGTCCTCTCTTCTGCTCACACCCTCTACCTGCAGGTCTCCCTGCTCTTTCACCCCGAGGGGAGCCCTGGTCGAGTCCCCACTCTGCTCTGACTCTCTGGGAAGCTGGGGAAGAGCCCTCACTCTCCCTGGGTCTCAGTGTCCCCTTGGGCACTATGGGCAGGGGGGTGGGCTTCTGGACTGTGTCCACCCAGCCTGAATTCTGCCTTGGGCTCCACAGAAGGCGATCGGTGGCAAGAAGGACCGGTCTCTCTTCCTGTTCACGGACCTCATCGTCTGCACCACTCTGAAGCGAAAGTCAGGCTCCCTGCGGCGCAGCTCCATGAGCCTGTGAGTGGCTGGGCCGGGGTTTGGGTGGTGCCAACAGGGGGAGCATTTGTCCCTCTCTGAGCCCCACTCCCCGACCCTGGCCAGAGCGCCCCATTGGCTCCCCACAGGTACACGGCAGCCAGTGTCATTGACACAGCCAGCAAGTACAAGATGCTGTGGAAGCTGCCGCTGGAAGACGCAGACATCATCAAAGGTGGGTTTGATGCTAGGGGTTCTGGGTGTTGGGGTCTTCCTCTGAGAAGCCCTCCTGGAGGGTCTGAGCTCCAGCCAGTCTGGCTGCCTGTCCAGCTGCTTTTCCACTTTTGGGCCTCGCTCTCTCATCCAGTGCAAGGGGGCTGGCATGAAGGACCCATTTGGCACCCATGGAGCCAGACAGTCTGTCCATGTACACTTCCTTCCAACTGGGCAGGGACCTAGGCTGGCAGCGGGAGCTGGGTGGGGGTGGTGCACACAGAGCAGCATCACTGTAATTAGCCATTGATTCATCTGTGCAAAATCATTTGAGCGCCTAATATTAGATGATGTTGCACTGTCTGGTTCAGCGGTTTCACACACAGGGAACAGACACTCGCTTGAGTTACTGCAAGCAAAGGGTTGATTGGAGCCATCCATGTTGTTCAGGGCTGAGACTGTTGGGAGCTGAGGCAGCTTCCAGGAGCCGCTCCTCCTGCGGCGTCTGTCTTTCTTCCCTTCTTGCTGAGTCTGCCCTGTTCTCACTGCTGTTAGCTTTCCCTGCTTCCTCATAACTCCCGTGATCAGACCCAGGCTGGCTCCTGGCTCAGCTGGAGGGGAGCTCACCTGGAGCTTGGCCCTCAGGGTAACAGACAGGTTTGCTCGGCCCCTTGGTGAACCCAGGCCTGCCCACTATGTAGGAATACCAGCTGATTATTACTCTAATTGGTCCAAGTCAATAGAATGACCACCTTTAAGTTAGGTGCCCACTCCTGGTCCAGTCAGCTGTGAGCAAGAATGGGGCAGGGTCATATGGAAGAAAACATGGCTGCCCAGGTGGTGAGGGTTGGGATGGGACAGTTTCTGTCAAAAGGAGTAGATCGGCTTCATCTCTTCAGGCTGTTTTAACAAAAATACCACAGACTGGGCAATTTATAAACAAGAGGAATGTATTGCTCACCGTTGAGGAGGCTGGGAAGGCCAAGATGAGGGTGCCAGCAGAACTGCAAGGGGCCTGTGCCTCACAGAGGGTGCCTTCTATGTGTCCTCACTTGGCAAACAAGCTCCTTCAGGCCCCTTTATCGGCACAAATCTCATTCACGATGGTTTCCCCCTCATGACCAGGTCACCTCCCAAAGGTCCGCCTCTTTTTTTTTTTTTTTTTTTTTTTGAGACGGAGTCTCACTCTGTTGCCAAGCTGGAGTGCAGTGGCACGATCTCGGCTCACTGTAACCTCTGCCTGCCGGGTTCAAGCAATTCCCCTGCCTCAGCCTCCCAAGTAGCTGGGACTACAGGTGCGCACCACTACGCCCGGTTAATTTTTTTTTTTTTTGTATTTTAGTAGAGATGGGGTTTCACCATGTTAGCCAGGATGGTCTTGATCTCCTGACCTTGTGATCTGCCCACCTCGGCCTCCCAAAATGCTGGGATTACAGGCGTGAGCCAACACGTCAGCCAGGTCCGCCTCTTAATACCAACACACTCAGGATTCGATTTCAACCTGTGAGTGTTGAGTGGACACAAACATTCAGGCAACAGCAGAGCTGTTCCCAGCCTCGGCCTGGCAGGAAACTCCACTGCCATCCACCGGGCACACACTCTTCTTCCCGTAGACACAGTGAGACAGCCTCCCTGTCCAGCGTGACTCCATCTTACAGTTACAAAGCGTGCCCTCCCCTCCTCAGCAGGCTGCCTCTCACCCCCACGGGGTTCTTGGTCACAGGGCCACTTCAGACAGGACTTGCCAGTCTCAGGTTCCATGTCTCTAGTGCTGTCATGACCCGTCCAGGGCTGCCTTACCATTCTGCAACCTGTGGCCCAAATATTAAATTTATATACACCAATAACACATTCTATAAACTAGATTGGAGAAAAACAGGAAAAGAAACTCATTTAGGAAAAAGCAAAAAGACACTTCTTTTCCCTTGATTTCAAGACACATGTGTCCTGGCCCAAGGGTGGAGGGACAGCTCCATGTATGGACCACTGGTCCAGAATGTGCGTCCCAAGCCTTGGGTTGAGGGCGGCAGGCCGTCTGCAGGACCAGCTGCTTGGCAGTGTTCAGGTATGGGATAGGACCATAGAAATCCAGGGCACCATGCACTGCCCCCTCCTTTGTGGGGCGATGAGTCTCTTGGTCAGCACATTTGACTGCCTGGGGCTCTGCCTGCTCTGTCAGCACGCCCACGGGAGGCTGCAACGCCGCAGCAGTTCCGTGTCAGCCAGGGCCTGTGTATCGCAGAGCCAGCCACCATTTCATACTCCATGCTCTCCTGGGAATTCTCCGTGGGCCTGACATCCTGCGCCACATGGCTCTGAATCAGGCCTAGTCCCCAGCTCACAGGGCTGGGGTTCCTCAGGGAGCTGCCTGTTAACTTTTTTCCCAAGAGCTTGGGGTTTCTATGCTTTCGGTTTGTCAGGTCTCTCCCCGGCCCAGCTGCAGGCTATGCAGTGAGGGAAGGAGAGTCTGTCCCAGCCTGACCTTGTCTGTCTCTGTATCAGTCCACGGCCTTCCTCTCTCCCTCTAGGGGCATCCCAAGCCACCAATCGGGAGAACATCCAGAAGGCCATCAGCCGCCTTGATGAGGACCTCACCACCCTGGGCCAAATGAGCAAGCTCTCTGAGAGCCTTGGTTTCCCCCACCAGGTCTGTGCCCTCTGCCTGACACTGGGGAGCCAGAGGGTGGGAGGCTTCTGACCCTGTCTGAGAGATAGACAGCCCTGACATTTGCCTGAGGGAAGAGACATCCCTTTCCCTCATCTGAAGGCAAAAATCGCAGCCTCCCTGCGTATGGGGGAAGTAACATGTTCCAGGTCTGAGGGTGGAGACATAGCTGCATCCCCATCAGAGGGTGACAGAGGCCCCATCCCCCATATATCAAAGGAATCCAGGTCTGAGGGAGGAGACAGTCTCACTTGCTGTCTAAGGAGAGAGGCAGGTCCCCACACATTAAGGGCAGGTGCAGGCTCTGGTGAGATGCTGGGGCCTGAGGCCTGGGCCCTCTTCCCCACAGAGCCTGGACGATGCACTGCGGGACCTCTCAGCTGCCATGCACCGGGACCTGTCGGAGAAGCAGGCGCTGTGCTACGCGCTTTCCTTCCCGCCAACCAAGCTGGAGCTGTGCGCCACTCGGCCCGAGGGCACCGACTCCTACATTTTTGAGTTCCCTCACCCTGACGCCCGCCTTGGTTTTGAACAGGCCTTCGATGAGGCCAAGAGGAAGCTGGGTAAGCCAAGGCACATGTTGGCCCTCTCCTCCTAGAGCTTCCAGGCAGGAGGCCAGAGGCATCTCACAGCTGTCTGTGACTTCAGGAGCCAGAACCGCAGTGCCCTGTGCTCCGGCTCCACCTGGTGGGGAGGGGGGCTTCTGCAGTGAAACATCAGACTGAATAATAGCTGTGGCCTCCCTGGCAGGGAGGGGATTCCATGGATAGGGTCTCACTGTCTGCTGGACCTGCCCCATAGTGGGCACCGATAGCCAAGACCCTCGCCATACCCTCCCTACACACACTCTGAGCAGGGCTGGATCAGGGAAAGCGATTGATCAGGGTTCATGGCTTAGAAGATCCACAGAGACCTCTGGGTCTAACCCCAAGACAATACACATGGGAAAAGATTGAGGCCAGGAGCAACTGCCTTATTCTAATGTGGCTGGGATCAGGCCTTCCCCTAAAGAGACCCTGAGGGGCAGGGGAGGAAGGGGAATGGGGCAGGGGCAGGACCAGGGTGAGATGGATGCTATGCTAAGCAGGGTCCGTCTGTCTGTCCATCTCCACTACAGCATCCAGCAAAAGCTGTCTAGACCCTGAGTTCCTGAAGGCCATCCCCATCATGAAAACCCGCAGTGGCATGCAGGTATGTCTGCATCTGGGTCACTTGGGTACATGTTTTCAAAGCCAGCAGGTGTTCATGAATTTTTGTGTACGACATTGTGTATATGCCGTGAACATTGCTATTGCTCCTTATGTCTTGGAGAATTCAGCTCTCTGTACATGTGTGTGGGTGCTGCATATGTATTACATGTACACATGTATATGGGTATGCTTCGTGCATATCTGTATCTGTGCATGTGAACAAAGGTTATATGAATGATGGGAAGTAGCTTCATTTATGTGCTTGTATGAGGCTGCATACATATGTACAGAGGTTACCAGCATCACATTTTTTCTATGCATGTATCCATGATTATATCTGGGGATATGTGTGTGTACATGTAGGCATGATGCCTGTATCCCATAGGCATGAGTGCATTTGATGTGTAGAGGGTCACATGGGCAAGGTGCGGTGGCTTACGTCTGTAATTCCAGTACTTTGTGGGGCCAAGTTAGGAGGATCACATGAACCTAAAAGTTCAAGACCAGGCTAGGCAAGACCCTATCTCTACAAAAAATTCAAAAATTATCCACGTTTAGTGGCGCGCCCCTGTGGTCCCAGTTACTTAGGAGGCTGAGGTGGGAGGATTGCTTGAGCCCTGGAGGTCAAAGCTGCAGTGAGCCATGAACCCACCACTGCACCCCAGCCTGGGAGACAAAGCAAGAACCAATCCAAAAAAAAAAAAAAGGGTCCTGTGCCGCGTGTATGTGTACGCGTGTGTAGAAGGGTGTATAGGGCATCCACACACACACACCCATGCAGGCCTGCCTCCCTCCATTCTGCCGGGGTTTCCCAGGAGTGGGGAATGCTGGCAGCAGTTCCTCCATTCACCTTCTCCTGTCCATTGGCGCCTCCTGCAGTTCTCCTGTGCGGCTCCCACCCTGAACAGCTGCCCGGAGCCCTCGCCTGAGGTATGGGTCTGCAACAGCGACGGCTACG
The DNA here is from genome assembly GCF_000001405.40 of Homo sapiens. Classification (NCBI taxonomy): domain Eukaryota; kingdom Metazoa; phylum Chordata; class Mammalia; order Primates; family Hominidae; genus Homo; species Homo sapiens. The sequence goes on from NC_000011.10 coordinate 73,362,119, forward strand.
TGGGCCAGGTGTGCCTGCTGAGCCTGCGCGCCGAGCCGGACGTGGAGGCCTGCATCGCCGTCTGTTCCGCCCGCATCCTCTGCATCGGGGCGGTGCCCGGGCTGCAGCCTCGCTGCCACCGGTGAGGCCTGGGCGGCGGGGTGGGCGGCACCGCGGGCCTGGGAGAACCAACCCCTGTCCCAGCACACTCTCAGGCCGCCCCGGCGTGGTTGTGGGCGGGGCCCGGCGAGTGTGGGCGGGGTCGGTGGGCGTGTCCACCACCGGGGCCCCGTCTGGCTCGTAGCTGCTGTCATCCTCACTCCGTCTTCTCGCAGGGAGCCTCCTCCGTCGCTGAGGAGTCCTCCAGAGACGGCACCGGAGCCCGCCGGGCCGGAGCTGGACGTCGAGGCCGCTGCAGACGAGGAAGCCGCGACGCTCGCGGAGCCGGGGCCGCAGCCCTGCCTTCACATCTCCATTGCAGGCTCGGGCTTGGAGATGACGCCGGGCCTCGGCGAGGGTGACCCCCGCCCAGAGCTGGTGCCCTTTGACAGTGACTCTGACGATGAGTCTTCGCCCAGCCCCTCGGGGACGCTGCAGAGCCAGGCCAGCCGGTCCACCATCTCCTCCAGCTTTGGCAGTGAGCTTTGGCCATCTCCTCCAACTTGGCCTTGGCAGGCAGGGTGGACTGCCCAGAGGAGGGGGAGAGGAGGGACCAGTGTAGGGCAAAGGCATGGCGTCAGACCTCAGGATGTTAGCACACAGAGCAATGAGGGCAGGGGATGTGACACCAAGGATCCAGAGGACAGTGGGACAGTCAGGCGGGATCATGAAGACCCTGGAGCACTCAGCTAAGGAAGATGGGGTGCTGGTGGAGTGGGGACCCACGGTGTGGCCACTGGGTCTGAGGGGCCAGGCAAGATCAAGGATTCTGTAGTGCTGAGCTGTCGGTGAGCAGGGCAGCAGGGCAGCAGACCGGAGCAGGCCGGGGAAGAACAGCTTTGAGAGGCCTTCCGGAGGGGCATGGCCAGGAGGGATGCATGGCCTAGAAAGATATCAGGTCCCAGGCCTGGCAGAGGGAAATGGAGACAGAGACCTTTGTCTCCCTCAGATGAGGAGACCCCGAGTTCCAAGGAGGCCACGGCAGAGACCACCAGCTCAGAGGAGGAGCAGGAGCCAGGCTTCCTGCCACTGTCTGGCTCCTTTGGGCCTGGTGGTCCCTGCGGCACCAGCCCAATGGATGGGAGAGCCCTTCGCCGCTCCAGCCACGGCTCCTTCACCCGGGGCAGCCTTGAGGACCTGCTGAGTGTCGACCCTGAGGCCTACCAGAGCTCCGTGTGGCTGGGCACTGAGGATGGCTGGTAGGGACAGGGGAGGGACTAGGGACACAGTGCCAGAACTCTGAGCTCCCTGCTCTGGAAATCATGTGGTCCCCTGGAGCCAAGGCAGGAGGGCTTTGGGTCACACCTCAGGGGTACTGCTGACCAGGGATGTCAGTGGGTCTGACAATCCCAGGGAGGCTGTGGGACCTCAGTACCTTGGGCAGGCACCCAGCATTGAAGACGTGGTGCTAGGGGCAAAGAGGTGGAGGGATGACTCCAGGGGCTGGTGTGCCCCAAGCATTTGTCCCAGGTGCATACCCCGATCCACAGTGTCCACGTGTACCAGTCCTCCGACAGCATCCGTGACCGCAGGAACAGCATGAAGCTCCAGCATGCGGCCTCTGTGACCTGCATCTTGTAAGGCCCCAGGGTGGCCCTTCCTATCTAGACTCTTCTCAGCCACACGTGCAGGCCTCCTTCTGTTCATCTGGTCCCCCTGCTCTACTGTCCCTCCTCTGTGTGGAGGCTGGAAGCCAGAGGCCTGGCCCTAGGCTAGCTGTGCCTCTTACACACTGTGTGAGCTCGGGCAAGTCACCCCCTTTTCTTAGCCTCAGGCAACCCCCACCTGGAGAACAAGGGGTGGGAAGAGGTGGCCTCTCGGGAGCCATACCCATTCTATCTGTGGTTCCCCTGGTCCTGGGTGACCCACTTTGGCTGCCTGAACTCCCTTACTGCTTCCTCTTTTCCCTACCCAGGTATCTGAATAACCAGGTGTTTGTGTCTCTGGCCAATGGAGAGCTTGTGGTCTACCAAAGGGAAGCAGGTGAGTATCTGCCCTCCCCCACACCCTGCCCCTGTCCCCTTACTGGTGTTGGGGCTCTCTCCTGGAGATGTGGCTTTGGGCAACTCCCAGGCCCTCTGTGGGCCTTGGTTTCTTTGCTTATAAAAGGGGAATGTTAACATCTCATTTCAGGGGAGACCGAGGCTCAAATTTAGAACTGGAGTGAATTTCCTGTTTTCTTTACCCCACTCCAGGCCATTTCTGGGACCCCCAGAACTTCAAATCAGTGACCTTGGGCACCCAGGGGAGCCCCATCACCAAGATGGTATCTGTGGGTGGGCGGCTGTGGTGTGGCTGCCAGAACCGAGTCCTTGTCCTGAGCCCTGACACGCTGCAGCTGGAGGTAGCAGGGGGTGGGGGAATGGAATTGGTGCCATGGGATGAGCTAGGTCCGTGTGACAGGGAGATGGAGACCATGGTAGGGGCATAAGCAGCATCCAGCAGAGGGCTAGGGCCTTCCTCTGACCACAGAGTGACGCTGGCCAGTCCCTGTCCTCCTTCGATCCTCATTTCTTCTGTAGCTGATGAGGAATACAGTAAGTGTCCCATATACATTAGGAATCTTATTCATCCTCCTGCCCACCCTATCTCTCAACTCAGGTTTTAGGGTCCTTTGGGGATAGGACAAGAGTCCTTTCTGATGTCAACATCCATTAGCATTAGACTCTGGCATTTATTGCTGCACATGTCACTTGCACACATGTCAGAAGTATCCAGGGGCAACGGGTTCCCTTAATTTCCCTCACTTATTCCATTGTTGGCTGGGCAGGAGTCCAAAGCCCTGGGTTCAGGCCCCAGCTCTGTGACTGACTTGCTGTGTGACCTTTCCCTTCTAGGCTTCAGCTTCCCCACCTGTCCAGGGGGAGGCCAGTGACTGATTTTAGAACCCTTTAAGCATTGAAGTTCTCTGATCCTTAAATCACTCAAGTTTAATGGGGAAAAAGCACCTCCATTGTAATTCCTGAGAACTAAGTTGGGAGGTGCTGGTGAAACCAAGCTTCGAAAGGTTAATCAGACCAAGGACCAACGCTAGTGTGAGTTGTGAGGGATGGACACTGGTGAAGCTCCAGGCTAGGGTGGGCCAAGGGAGGCAGGCCTGCCAATGACCCATCTTCTCCCCCGCCTTCCCCAGCACATGTTTTACGTGGGTCAGGATTCAAGCCGCTGCGTGGCTTGCATGGTGGACTCCAGCCTGGGTGTGTGGGTGACATTGAAAGGTAGTGCCCACGTGTGTCTCTACCATCCAGACACCTTTGAGCAGCTGGCAGAAGTAGACGTCACTCCTCCCGTGCACAGGATGCTGGCAGGTACTGACCTCAAACTACCACAGCACCCTCCTTGGAGCCTTTCTGCCCGATCGTAGAGGCGGCTGAGCCAGGGCCAGAATTCAGCCCCAGCTGTGGTCTGTCTCCCACCCCAGGCTCGGATGCCATCATCCGGCAGCACAAGGCTGCCTGTCTGCGAATCACAGCGCTGCTGGTGTGTGAGGAGCTGCTGTGGGTGGGCACCAGTGCTGGTGTCGTCCTCACCATGCCCACTTCGCCCGGTACTGTCAGCTGCCCACGGGCACCACTCAGTCCCACAGGCCTCGGCCAGGGACACACCGGCCACGTCCGCTTCTTGGCTGCAGTCCAGCTGCCAGATGGCTTCAACCTGCTCTGCCCAACCCCACCACCTCCCCCAGACACAGGTGGGTCAGTGCATCATACCCCAAGCTAGGGATCATGGACATTTGGTTTAGGACTCCCCACTATCCTGCCAGAAGAGCTTTCAAGAGGGAGGAAAAGTGTCACATAGAGCTGGAGGTGGCATATGTGACAGGAAATACACCACGGAAGTGTCCAAATGAAATCTAGGATAGTTGTGTGTGTGTGTGTGTGTGTGCGCACCTGCATGTGTTGTGTGTATATAAAGTTCTATCCAGAGAAATGTCATGAGAGACAGGGAGGGAACTATAACCTAAGAGGTAGAATATGTCACAAATAGAATATGTATATAGAAAATATGTCCTGTTGTATATATTTCCTATATGCACCAGGAAATAGCACAGGACTAGAAATGATATATAGGGCAGGAAGTGGAATCAGGAAGTGATGCACAGAGCAGGAAATAGAAATAGCAACAGAAAACAACATAGAATGGCACTAGCACAGAAAATGGACTGATAATTAGAAAGTGAAACAGCCGGGTGCCAGGCGCGGTGGCTCACACCTGTAATCCCAGCAGTTTGGGAGGATGAGGTGGGAGGATCGCTTGAGCCCAGGAGTTCAGGACCCAGCCTGGGCAACATGGTGAGACACCATCTCTACAAAAAATACAAAAATTAGCCATGTGTGGTGGCACACACCTGTGGTTCCAGCTGCTCAGGAGGCTGAGCTGAGGTGGGAGACTCACTTGAGCCCAGGGAAGTCGAGGCTGCAGTCAGCAGAGATTGCACCACTGCACCCCAGCCTGGGTGACAGAGTGATACCCTGTCTCAAAAAAATAAAAATAAAAATATGGCCGGGCGTGGTGGCTGACACCTGTAATCCCAGCACTTTGAGAGGTTGAAGGGGGTGGATCACCTGAGGTCAGGAGTTCGAGACCAGCCTGGCCAACATGGTGAAAACCCATCTCTACTAAAAATACAAAAACTAGCTGGGTGTGGTGGCGGGCGCCTGTAATCCCAGCTACTCGGGAGGCTGAAGCAGGAGAATCACTTGAACCAGGGAGGCGGAGGTTGCAGTGAGCCAAGAGTATGTGCCATTGCACTCCAGCCCAGGCAACAAGAGCAAAATTCCGTCTCAAAAAAAAAAGTGAAACAGCAGGAAATGAGGTACATCAGGAGGCCACAACCAGAAAAGTCTTGCTTTGGCAGGACAAGAAATGATATTCCCAAGAGGAAGTGGCTGTGGAAATCAGGAAGCAATAAAGCCTCGGGTCAGGAGTTGTCTGGGTTCACAGAAGACTTAAGCTACCTGGGAAAGGGCTGTTGGAAGTAGGAGGCTTATTTAATGCAAGGACGTTGCGTGCAGTAATCAAGAGAGATAGAAAGTGGCATCTTACAGGGCACTTACATTGTAAAAAGAAAAAAATCAGAAGTGGCGTCACCTTGGGAAATTATGTGACTCCTGACTAGAGATTACAGATGGGACATAAGAAGTCTGGCTGCCAAGAAGTGGGCATTTCTTTCTAAATAAGTTCCTAGCTAACAGAAAGTGGGATTCCCCCATAGGAAGTGTGCACATCTTCCTTCCTATCTTCTGGGGTGTGGGAATTCAGGCCCCGATGGGACAGTGAAGCCTCCATTCGCCCCCAAGCTGACAGATCCTCCCCTCTGCCCCCAGGCCCCGAGAAGCTGCCATCACTGGAGCACCGGGACTCCCCTTGGCACCGAGGCCCCGCCCCTGCCAGGCCTAAAATGCTGGTTATCAGTGGAGGTGATGGCTATGAGGACTTCCGACTCAGCAGTGGGGGCGGCAGCAGCAGTGAGACTGTGGGTCGAGACGACAGCACAAACCACCTCCTCCTGTGGAGGGTGTGACCCTGTCTGCCGTGGCCCAGGACTCGCCCGCCCACCTGCCTTCAGCCTGCTTGCCTCTCCCTAGCCCACACGCAGACTTTGACCAGGAGTATCCAGCCAGGGGCACACATGTGCCTGCGTGGGCTCTGCCTTGTCTTCGCGGAAGCATTCCTGATGGAACACCCACTGGCCAGCCAGGCCATGGCTTCTCCCGACCCTCTGGCTGCCCCGGTGCTTCCAGTCATGATCGGGTGGGGGACATGTGGGCTGACCAGGACCTCTGACCCTGGAGCTTCTACCAAAGACACAGCTGGGTCTGGACCCCACGGGGCTGGGGAGGGCCATGTGCAATATTTGGAGGGTTTTCTGGAGGGCAGCAGGAAGGCTGGGGAATTCCCCATGTACAGTATTTATGTTTCTTTTTAGATGTGTACCTTCCCAAGCACTTATTTATGCAGTGACCTGGTCACCTGGGGTGGGGGTGATTTGAGGAAATGACATGAGGAAAAGAAACCTATTCCTGCCCTGGGGACCACCCTGGGACTCTAACCAAGCCTTCCTGGAGGGACCCATGCGCCCCTGAGCCCCATTCCATTCATACAGACACACACGTACGCACACTGCATGTCCAAGGCCCTAAACATTGCCCGTTGACATAAACTTTCCAGGGCCCCAGCCTGATGGGGCTGCCCTCAGTCCTCTAGATCAAGATGCTGACTATTAGGGGGCAGTGATTGCCATCTGGGGACCTGTCAGGCTTTGTCATTTCCCAGTTTGTTGGTGGTGCCTTTAGTGGTTCCCTAATTTGGGAACACTGATGGGGCCTTGGACAGGGCTTTCTCTCAGGTAGGAGAAATGGGCCCATGATCTCCTCACAGTCGCCCCCAGTCCTTGGCCCTGCTTCCCTGTGTCTCATGCACTGGCACATATGGTCACCTTGGAGGGCAGACCTAGGAGCCCCTCTGACCACTGAATCCGTCTCCACACCCCTTCTGCCAAGGGAAGCCCCTTCAGGAAGGACCCCCCAAAGCTGAGGGGCTGAATGTAGCCTTTTCAACAGAGAAGGCTCCCACTTGAGAGCAGCCTCTACCTGACCCCCTGGACCACAGAGAGCCACTCTGACCCTCAGCCCCCTCGCTTCTTCAGCTAAAACTCCAAAGGTTTGGTTTCAGATGGGGTTTGTTTTGTTCTGTTTGGTTTTGGTTTTGTTTGGGGTGGGTGGGTCATTGCGGTCTTAGATTATGTTTCTCTTGCTACCAAACAGTCATGTATTAACTCTCTTTGGATGATGAAGTTTAAAGAGTCAATAAATAGAAACACCAGATGACTGCATTGGTGGCCACAGTGGCCTCCTGTCAGCAACCTCAGGGCTCAGTCTCCCTGGCCACATGGGCCTTCCGACGTCCACACACTTGGGAAGAAGGGAGGCCTTGGAGACCCAGAAGAGTGCTGGACGGCGAGGTTGCCACGATTTGCTGTGTTACCTGGGCAGGTGGCTGGGCTGCAGTTTCCTCATCAGGAAAATAAAGGGGTTGTACCAGTTCAGTGCTTTGTAACCAGGGTTACATGGTAGAATCCCTTGCAGATGACATGTAAATGCAGAAACATGATTCGTAACTTATTTACGTATTAATTGAGAGCTTCTGAGTCAGTGGGCCTGGATGGAGCTTGGGAATCTGAAGCTGACATGCTCCAGGTAAAGAGCCAGGACCCCTGTTGAGCCTGTCTACGGCTCCTCCAGGAAACAATGTTCTCCAGCAAAGCCTCAGCTGGAGAACCCTGATGAAGGCCAAGGCCCTGCTCCAACCCTCTGAAGTGTTTGGAGCAGGGATAGAATCCAAGTCTGTCTGATTTCTGGTCTGAAGAGGTCTGTCATTAAATCAGACACAAGAACGCACAGGCCCAGCAACATGGGACTATTCTGTGCAAGGACAGAGAGCCCTCCAGACCAGAGTGCACCTGCAGAACTAGAGGTGGCCATCACTAGAAGGCATGTCGTGCCTCAGCTCTGCTACACGCACGAACGTTTCCAGCCTAAATGACTGACTTTTGAGTCAGCCCCTGAAGGGGCATGCAAGCTCATGCTCTGCAAACTGGCAGCACACCTCTCAGGGGTCTGCTGGGTCCTCAACACCACAGGACGGGCATGGACCGTCTCCGTGCAGCATCATTTTACTGGGGCTATCTGGGGAGGAAGGGATTCTATTAATAAGCACAGATATATTATGGAGTAGGAGGCATCATTCATGTGGAATATATAACGAAACAAAGCATTAGAAGAAACACAGGCTTTGAAGCTGGACAGACCTTGTTTGAGATCTTGACTTTGCCGCTAACTAGCTATGTGCCTTTGGGCAAGTTGTATCCCCTCTGAGCCTCCATTTCCTCACGTGTGAAATGAGGCTGATGATCCCTTCCCGAACAGGACTGCTGCTTGGCGTGCACAGGTCTTTGGATTGCAAGAAAGAGATTCATTTTGCTTGTGAACTAGAAGGGTGCTTATTAGTGAAGATGTGAGCTGGCAGCAAGGAGCTGTCACAGGGCACTGTGGCCCAGACATCAGAGCTGCATCTCAGGACATCTGGCCTCTCCACTTGAGTCGCCAGTGCCTCCCACACTGCCAGTCAGTTGCTGTTCCACTGCTTTCCAGCTTCTGCTGCCTCAGGGCCTCCGCCTCCTCCACTCGGAGGACCCTGGGCAGACTTCAGTTTTAGCACAAGATACCCAAGACCAGATCCTCACCACTTCCCCGACTCAAGTGCCTCAGTAAGAATGGGCTTGGCCCAGCCCACTGTTACTTAGAGGCCCACATTCCAGGGCACTGGCCAGCCTGTGGACAGCCCGGACCCCATCAGCTGTGGGCAGGGAGGCCCTGGAATGAGCATCAGACCCCAGGCTCCCGGCCCAGGGGAGGCTCCTGGAAGGATTACCTCCTCTGAAGCAGTGGTTCTCAGCCTGGGATGCACATTATGATCATGAGGGCCTAGGCCAATTCCAAGCCAATTAAATCTGAACTTTGAGGGTGGGACCCAGGTGTCTATATGTTTTTCAGAAACCTTTAGTTGAAGTATAACATTTATACAAAAAAGGACATAAAAAAGGACCCAGCGTGATGGGTATTCATAAAGTGAACACACCCAGGTCAAGGAACAGAAAATCTCATCACCCCAGAAGCTCCCCTTAGACCTCCTTCTGGTCTGCCCTCCAAGGGTAACCACCACCCCGGCTTCTGACACCATGATCTAGCTTCACCAGCCAAGGTAGAGAACTGCTGCTGTAAAGGGAATGACTATGGTTAGCCACTGGTGTGGGGGAAAGTGGGGCTTGGGTTTGATGTTAAGAGGGAACGCCAGCCTGGCCAACATGGAGAAACCCCATCTCTACAAAAAATACAAAAGTTAGCCAGGCGTGGTGGCGTGCACCTGTGGTCATAGCGACTTGGGAGGCTGAGGCGGAGAATTGCTTTAACCCAGGAGGCCAAGGTTGCAGTGAGCCGAGGTTACACAGCACCCCATCCTGGGTGACAGAGGGAGACTCTGTCTCAAAAAAAAAAAAAGAACAGCTCAAACCAAGGCAAGGAGGGGTAGAGGAGCCTGGTGCAGGCCCAGGTGGATGGGGAAAGAGGAAAAGGCAGGGGCGCCTAGATTGGGAGCTCCGTGAGCGTGGGATTTTGTTCTTTGTTCCATCCCCAGGCCTGCCACAGTGCGTGACACACAGTAGATGCTCAGTAAATATTTGTTGAATTAAATCTGGAGAATTCAGGTGAGAACCAACTCTAGGTCTTGAATGCCACGAAACAATAAACCCAGCTTCCACTTAGTGTTTGCTGCAAGCCAGGAGCATGGATCATCTCGAATCCTCACAATGGTCCTGGGAGGTTGATACCATTATTACCCTCCTTTTCAGATGAGGAAACTGAGGTTCAGAGAGGTTAGATGCCTTCCTCAAGGTCACCTAACCACTAATTGATAGAACCTGGAATCTGTCTGCTCAGGTCTCTGTATCTCATGGAAGAGGAGGGCTGGCCTGGTGTGGCTGGAGGACAGGAGAGACAGCCTGAGCACCCAGAGTCACATGTAGTCACTCATGAGGCTGGACTAATGTTCCTTAGACCAGCCCTGGGAAGGGGATCCAGATCCCAGATGAGTGAGGAGAGTCAAAGCCAGAGGCCATCTCCTCTTCAAGGGAGTTCTCCAGGTGGTCCCTTGGGTTTGGGACAGGGGTCAGGGTTTAGCTAGACCATCTATCTAATGGAAAAGATGAGGCACAGAGAGGGTCAGGAACTTACCTGAGGTCACACAGAAAGGCAACATTGAGGCTGGGGGTAGCTGGGGAGGAGAGCCCAGGCAGGAAGGTTTCCTGTGGTCAGAAAAGCCAGGAAATGACCCTTAAAGCCAGGGGAGGCAGAAGGCTAGACGAGCTGGCCTCCAGGGGCCCCGTCACACACCTCAAACCAGCCTCAGCACTGGGCTGGTCCAGAGGGCTTGGAGGGAGCAAGTCTGGCTAAGGCCTTACCTTAAACCTTCTGGGCAGGGCCTGGGGAGGGCATGGGGGACCCCAGGGCTTGAACTCAAGCTCCAGCCCAGGCTCTCGGCACTGTGTGATGCCAGGCGAGTGTCTGTCCCTCCATAGACCTGGATGACCTCTGTGAGCCCTTTACATCTTCTGCATGCCTGCCAAACACCAAGTCTGTGTCCTCACAGACCTTAAGCCACAGGCCAGGTTGCAGGAAACGGCAAGGGGAAGTCTATTTTAGGCCCAATTATAGCCAATGAGGAGTCCTGCCTGGCAAAGGCAAGTGAGCTGGCATCCCAAGCTGGGTCAGAGGTAGTTTGCTGGGCTGGACTGGGGAGGGAGATAGTGAGCAGGCATCAGGGATAAATCGGGCAGAGCCCCTGCTGCCCAGGGCAAACAGTGCACCAAGGGAAGGGAGAGGAGAGAGAGCTCCTGAGCCCAGCGTCCTGGAAGAAGCTGGTGCCCCCGATATGAGGTCTCAGCAGATCCTCATAACACGCTTGGATGGGCGAGTTCTCAGAGAGGTGAAGTCACTTGCCTAAGGTCACACAGCCTGGCAATGGCAGAAGTGGGACTTAACCACTATCCATGTGACACCAAAGCATATATTCTTCCATTTTCCCCTAGATTTCTCTTCTCCAGGCTCCTTAATCTCAGATGCTTCAGCAAGCCACCTGCCTCCCTGGGCTTGGCTCACACTCCCTAGCTCTTGACCTGCTCATGTTCTGGGCCCAGAGGGTAACTGGACTGCAAGTCTCACCCTGACAGTCCCCAGGGTCCCCACCAGCCCCATTGTCTGCAGTTCATGGCTCTGGGTTCCTCTCTCAGACTCACCATGGGAACAAGAAAACCCTACACTTGCCTCCCTGAGCACCAGTCAGGTGGGCAATAGAACCTGGGATGGATGGAACTGAGAGTGCTGGGCCTCCCATGAGGGAGCCAGTGAGGCAGTCACCAAAGACTTGACACCTCCACCCCAGTGGGATTCCAGACCCAGGCCAGGGTCTGGACCTAAATGCAGGTTGAACCTGGTCCTCAGACCCAGACAGCCCCAGCTCAGCTTCTGGCCTGGCCCCAGGCTGAGCCCTATCCTGGCCTCCTAGCCTCAGTTTCCCCTCAGACTGAGCCCACCCTCCCCTGGAGCTAAGACACAAACACAGGACAGCAGCCCACCTTCTTAGGGTTAGGACTTGGCCCGCTGGGGGTTAGCCTAGGATGGAGCATTGAATTTTATTTTTTTTTTTTTGAGACGCAGTCTCGCTCTGTAGCCCAGACTGGAGTGCGATGGCACAATCTTGGCTCACTGCAACCTCCACCTCCCGGGTTCAAGCAGTTCTCCTGCCTCAGCCTCCCAAATAGGTAGGATTATAGGCGCCCACCACCGCACCTGGCTAATTTTTTTTTCTTTGTATTTTTAGTAGAGATGGGGTTTCACCATGTTGGCCAGGCTGGTTTACAACTCCTGACCTCAGGTGATCCGCCCACCTCGGCCTCTCAAAGTGCTGGGATTACAGGCGTGAGCCACCGCGCCTGGCCTGGAGCATTGAAATTTAAGTATGAGCCTGCTGTTCCTCCAGGCTTGTACTGTATGTACTTCCTTTTGGAATTCTAGCACAGCCAGCAAGCAGAGTGGCACCCACTACCTTTGGTCCATGACTCCAAGGCAGTCATCTACTCAGACCCCTGCATACAGCCACACTGTGGTGGCTCTGATTCTGTGACCCAGGATCCCCACCCCAGGCAGGGCCTGGCTGGGGCATGGCACCTGTACCCCTGCCTCCAGGTCCCCATCACAGCTCGTCCCAGTTTACTGGGACCTTGTGCTGTGTACCTACAATGAGGTGCACACATTCTCTGGGCCCACTTGCCCAGCTGTACCATGTGAAGTTCAACAAGATGGTCTCTGAGGTCCCTGAGCTCAGGGATTCCAGTGCTGACTCCATGGGTTCAGTTGAGATGCCAGGATTTTATAAAGCCTGTGATTCTGAGAGTCCTTTGTTCTCAAGCCTGTGGTTCCCCAAGCTCCATAAAAAGCGAGTCTAAATCTTTCCTGTGGCTTCCACAACTCCTTCCCTGTCTACTCACTGTGGAGCAACCCAGATGCTGGTAGACTCTCAGGGAGGAGCCCACGTCACAGTGGTTTCAGGGTCAGAGCTGGCTGCAGGAGGAGCTGGCGCATCCACCCAGCAGTAAATAATAATTAGGCTCCCTCCTAACCTGGGGGTTGCAGGAGCGAGAAGTGTTTGGGCTGTGGCCCCAGGAGACCTACTCTATGGAGCTGCTGCCAGGGCAGCCAGGTAGCCGCCTCCCACAGAGAACTTCAGGCAACATGTCTGGCACCCCAGTTTTCAGATGAGGAAACTGAGTTGGGGGTGGATTTGATGAAAACCTCACAGAGAGCTGGTGGTAGAGAGGGGCCTGGACCCTCTCTGGGATGTCTGATTAATAGCCAGTGCTCCAAAAAGCATTTCCCCATTTAGTTTATTGATTGAGACAAGGTCTCACTCTCTCACCTAGGCTGGAGTGCAGTGGCACGATCGCGGCTCACTGCAGTCTCAACTTCCTGGGCTCAAGTGATTCTCCCACATATTTTTGTAGAGACTGGGCTTCATCATGTTGCCCAGGCTGGTCTCGAACTCCTGGGCTAAGTGATCCTCCCAACTCAGCCTCCCAAGGTGCTAGGATTACAGGTGTGACCACTACACCTGGCCTTCCCCATTTGGTTTATTGAGTGACGACACCTGAAATTGCCACCATTTGAACTCTAGAACCTAGAGCTGGGGTGTAGATGGTCCCCTTACAAAGAAAACATTTCCAGGAGTGGAGGCATTCTGGATGCTCTGGCCTTCCGTAGGCTGGGATGTGGGACCCTGGAAGAACCCCTGCCCCAGCCCTGGAGGTCTCCATTGACATATGAGGGTGCTGATGTCATGATCCTGACATCAATGACCTGTAGCTCCTTATGCCCTTCCCCCACAACCTGAGCATGACCCAGGGAAATGAAAACTCATCCCCTGCTCCCCTCCCCATGCGGTGTCCAGTTCGCCTCCTGGAATCTCCTGGACCCTGGGGACCTGACCTTTTCCGTCTCCTAGCCCCTGGGTTCAGATTCTATGACTGTTTAGAACCCCACCCCCAGCCATCTATCCCCAGCTGACTTATTTACCTTCCTTTCTCCATCTCTGTCATGGGCTGTGATTATCCTGACCCCAGCCAGGCCTCTGGCCCAGCACTAGGTCCTCCCTGGTGTCTCAGTCTCCCATCAGCCCTACTGTCCCAGGAGGACCGCCTGAGATCCCCTGAATAGTACTGAGAGGGGGAACGGGCCACTGAGCTGCTCCCTCCAGTCCTGGCACACCCTGTAGCACAACTCCAGGGGACACGATTCGGAGTCGGAATACAGTGTGAATACTGCCTGGAGTTTGTGATGACTGGCATTGGAAACTGGCAGGGTGGGATGGCTGTAGTAGGGAGGGGGGCACTGAGTCACCTGTCCTGCTGGAGGGAAACTAACTACCCTGGCACAGAGAAGTGGTGCGGGGAGTAGGGGAGTGGAGGCAGGAGACGCCTCCTGGAGGATTTCACTAGGCCTTGAAGGATGTGCCGAAGCCCACCGTGTGGGCTTCCTTTATAGACTCACCTTCACCAGGCCTTTTCGCCAACTAGGTGAGGGTTTCCAGGGTTGGGCCTGGGCCTCGTCAACAAAGCAAAGTGAGGTTATTCTTCCTGGCCACCAACTGGCAGGAGGAAGATGAAGCCCAGAAAGGGGCAGAGGTGGCTCTAGTTACACTGGCAATGCTGAGAGGACCCAGAGGAGTATCTCAGTCTCCAGTCTCTTTATCTTGCTTCGCACAACTCCTTGCTTGGTTCAGAGCCTTGAAGAGGCGGATACAAGAGGCCCTCTGGGCACCGCCGCCCAGTCCCGCGCAGCCCCCTGCAGTTCCCAGGGGCGCGAGAGAGGGCGACGTAGAGCAGCACCGCCCAGCGGCAGAGCGGCGAGCCCCTCCGCGGCTCGGGGTGAGTCGGGCGCGGGGCGCAGACCGCGCTCTGACGTCGGGGGCGGAGCGGCCGTGACGCGCGGGGGCGGGTCTGCGCACCTTCCCGGCCCAGCCGGCGATTCATTCAAAAGGCGCGCAGGCTGCGCGGCTGTCCGGGCGCTCGCCGAGCCGGGCCGCGGCGCCGAGTCGAACGGGGAGCCGAGCTGGAGCTGCCGCGGCGCAGCCAGGTAAGGAGGGCGCGCGGAGCGCCCATCCAGAGTCTGCTCTCCGCGGCCGGGCCAGCGGGATACGGACCCTAGTGGCGCCCCCTGCCTCCCCGTGTCTCTGAGGAAGTTCGCGGGCTCGGCGGATGCGGCAGCCCGGCCGCGCGCCCCCCCACCCCACTCCTCCCGCCTCGCGTCCTGTCCCGGCGCCTTCCGCGCACCGGCCACCGCCAGTCTCCGAGCCCCGTGACCTGCAGGTCCTCCGGCCGCGACTCCGGGCCGGCCCTGCGTGGTGGCTGTCGGGGGGCGCGCGGGGAAGCAGCGGAACTTGCGGTGTGAGGGGCCGGCGGGGCCCGGAGCGGTCCCCGGCCCGGGAAACTTGGACCGAGACCAGGTTGTGGTGCGGGCTGGACGGCGGCGCCTCGGCGCGGCTGCGGCGCGGGGCGGCCAAGGGGGGGTCTGGATGGTGTCAGCCCGTGACTGTGGGTGACACGGCGCGTGAGGCGGCCTGGCCGGGCGAACGTGTGGCTGGGACACTGGGCGGTGACGCCGGGCCGAGCGGGCGACACAGAGGGGCTCTGTGTGTGGGAGACAGGCAGCGTGTGTGCGTGTGTTGTGTGAGGGAAAGACCCGGGGTCACTGGGGTCACGAAGTGCGTGGCTTGGGGCGTGACCGGCGCAGGGCCAGGGCCACCCGTTACTGTGAGTGTGAAATAGAGGGAGAGGAGCCCAAGTGACTGAGAACGAGCCGAGCTCGCTGGCGCCATGGTGTGCGTGTGGGGTCAAGTGGTGTCAGTGTGTGTGTGTGTGTGTGTGTGTCTGCGCCTAGGGTGATGATGAGTAAGAGGCAGGAGGAGGAGGGACCGGACCTAGGACACCTTCCGGCAGATGTGGGGCGATGAGGAAGTTGGGGAGCCAGGAGACAAGGGTCTCCAGGACTGTCCCCACGAGGGCACCCCTCAGGAGTTCAGCTTGGTGAGGAGATGGACCCTGAGGGATAGGCCCTGGCTGAGGGAGAAAGCCGAGGCTGGGCAACATCTGGTGGGGTGGCCCAGATGGCAGCAGGGTAGGGGCCCTGTGGTAGTCTCAGCTTCCCCCCGCCCACCTGCATCCACACACTCACGCATCGAAGTCCCTACACCTGGCAAAGTTCTGCCCCTGTGTAATCTGTATTCTCAGCGGACCCGGACACAATCTTGTTCTCAGACCCCCCCGCCCCCCTCCCCCGCGCAGGCCTCAGTCTCCCCATCTGCACACTGAGGTGCTGGGCTTTGAATGGACTGTGAATCATCACTTTGGGATCCTCTATTGTTTTGGGTCAACTGCCTGTGTTCTCCCTTCCCTTCAGGCAGAAAGACTGCAGTGGGGGGTGGGGGCAGGCTTCTCCTGGGGACACAGCGGCCCAGGGGCTGCACTCAGGGGCTACTGATAGGGTTGGAAGCACAGCCTTCTCCAAAACTGGTCAAGGAAACGTTAGCCTCCCACCCAAAGGCTTCCTGGTCCTCTGTCACGAAATGGATCCATAGACAATATGGATCCCCAAATCCATAGACATTCACTTCTCTGCCTGGGTGTCCTTTCTTCAGTTCCTTGGGTTGGGGGAGAGTGGGGAGAGACTTGTTCCCCAGGAGTGGTCTCTGGTCTGGGAGGCTAAGTTCTTGCTGGAGAGCTGGAGCGGTACCCTTTCGCCATCTGGGCAAGACCCTTCTGAGGCCCCTTCTCCCGTATGAAGGTCTGTGGGGTTCATGCAGGGTGGGGTGGAAGCTGAGCTCCCTAGTCTAGGAGAGGGTGGCACTTGCTGTAGAATCTGGAAGTTCTGTCTTCTGCTGTCGTCCTCTGAAAATGCTGATTACATTCTAGGGGTGGGGGACAGGGTGGGGGACAGTGTCAGGCACTGTTCTGAACACTTCATGGTGTTCTGTCTTGTTGAATCTTCGCAGTGATTCTGAGATGTAGTGACTGTGTTTCAGAGAAAGGAACTGAGGATCAGAGAAGCAAAGTGACTTGGCCAAGGTCATACAGAGTCAGGACAGTGCCAGGACTGGAATTCAGGTCTTCTGACCCCAGAGACCAGTGAGATGCTGGGAGAGAGGATCACCCACCTTCCTAATAACTGCTCATGGCTTTCCTGGACTTCTGTCTCTCAAACTTGGGCTAGTAGGCGTGGCCTAGCCAGGGCATTACATTGTGAGTTCTAAGTATGATGTGTGTGTGTGCACACATGTCTGGAACACTGGGGATGGGTGGGTTACATGGTCTTCCTGTTCCTCCCCAGACTTCACTCCCAACCAGACATCACCAGAAAGTCCTGTCCCCTGCCTTCTAGAGCCTGGACCTGGCTTTGGGGGTGTCCCCATGGCTTTGAAGAGTGTATGGAGTTAGCAGCACAGCCTAGGGGTAGCAGGGAAAATTGAGAGTCCCAGGTGACCTTCATCATACTTGAGAGGCCCCCTCCCCTTTGCAGTTGCTCTAGAGGCATTTCCCCAAATCCACCTGCATGTTATGGTGGGGAGCAGACAGGGAGTGACCTTGAGCTGGTCCCTACTCTCTCTGGGCCTCGGTCTCCCTGTTCTTCCCAGAGACCCCTTTTGGCTCTGACCACTGTTGCCACTTGGCCAAGAACTGGAACTGGGGATCAGGGTGTCCCTCGGTCCTCTCTGCAATGACTGGAGCTGTGCTTCTTGGGGCTGATGAAAATAGCTGTCGTGGTCTCTAGGGGCTGAGCCGGAGTTATTTCCATCCTCAACAAAGAGGTGGAAATAGCTTAGGGCCTGGGAGGGGGAGCAAGAGGAGAAGGGTTAACTTCTCCTTATCCCAGCCTTAAAGGAGGCCCCCAGCCTCAGCCTGTGCCCTGGCCAAGCCAAACCTTTCTGGGAACTTGGGCCTCTGGGGATGACAGTGGGGCCAGGCTGGGTTTCCACTTGTGACCACAGTTGGGACTGGTGTGATAGCTGCTGGAGGGAGGGCCCTATGTCTAGCCAAGGAGGGGAGATATTGAGGGCCAGTCAGCACCTGCCCCTACTCATAGGGTCAGGCCCAATCTCATTTCACAGAAGGAGAGATTGAGGTTCTGAGAATTCAGGGACTTACCCTAGGACTCCTAGAACCTTCACCTTCCAGACGCGGTACCTGCCTTCTGTCCTGAGTTTGTCATTCTGTGTCCACACTTTCCCTGGCGGCTGGAGGTTGGCCAGCACTGGAAGCAGGCCCAAGACACACCTTCTGGACGTCGGCCTGCCTCATATTCCAGCTCTGGCCTTGCCATCCCTGCCCAGGCTCTGGTTCTAGCTTCTGTGCTTCCACGTCGGCTCTCCCGCACACTGCCAGAGTGACCTCCATAAAATAACTTGCTTTTCGCCTACAAAGTGTAGTTCAAACTCCTCACCTGGCAATGAGGCCTTTCCTTCCAAGGCCTTTCAGAATTTGCATCTTTACCCTCGCCTCTCCTTGCCAGATGCCTTGTCTGCCTTGCCTTTGCTTTTAAAGCTTCCCTCTTTCTAGAACCCTCTTGGCCATCCAGACTATAGCCCCAGCTCCACCTCACCCAGGAAGCCCTCCTGGCCCGAAATTAGTCTCCCTTCATTGTTGTGGGCCACCTGCCAGGTGTCCTCCCTCACTGCTGGGGAATGGGCACAGGTTTGGGGCACCTGTGGGTACCGCATGCTCAGCTTGGTGGGGCCAGCGTGGCCAGTAGCCCACCCCCTCCCACTGCCGTCTCTGTGCTGACGAGACCTCTTCCTGAGGAAGGGCAGCTGCTCTAGGATCCCAGCACCTGTGTGCTGGGAGGCACCGGGAGATTTGCACCCAGGTCTCTGGTGCTCACCATGACCTGAGGCAGAATGTGTGCTGGCGGGTGGGGGCAAAGACTCACGGCCACTCCTGTGGGTAGGGGGCAAGTGTAGTGCTTGTCATGGTCCTCGACATCTTGAGCCAGTAGAGGCAACTGTCCCTGCTCAGGCCCTGTAGTGTGCCAGGCTCTGGGCCCAGCATTTCCTCACAACAGCACTCACCCGGGCCCTCTCCTTTCCAAGTTGGTATGGGGGAACCTCGACTCAGAGAGCAGCCCTAGGCTGAGTCACGCAGCCACTTGTGTTGTAGTCAGGTACTCCAGATCCTACCCAGCCCCCAGCCTGGTCTCCAGGCAGGAGGTGAGGGTCGAGGGGTTTGTCTGACAATTCTAACATTAGTTTCTCAAGAAGGGCCAGGCTGGTCAGCACCCAGTCTGGCTGGGCGGGACCTGACTACTTCTGTTATGGGGCCAGCCCTTCTGCCAGGTCAGCAGGAGAGAGGACCAGAGAGGAAGGGGTTTTGCCTGAGGTTACTCAGCAGGGTGTGTTTGGCGCCATTCCCCACTCAGGATCGATGGGGGAGCAGGGATGTGGTCTCTGGACAGGGAGAATACCCACTGTGTGCTGAACCCGTGTCTTTCTGGGCCTAGGCTTGGTGCTGCTGAGTGGGGCTGGAGTGGCAGAGAGGACAAGAGCCAATGCTGCATCCCTACTCTGCCCATCCGTGGGATTATGGCCCGGGAGGCTGTCACATCCTCAGCCTTATACTCCTGGGGGTCATCATTCCCTCCAAGCACAGGCAGGGAAACCAAGGCCTAGAGAGAGGAGGCACTTGCCAGGCCCCAGTGTCACTGGGATCCAAACCCAGGTCTGCTGGCCTTGAAGACCAGAGTTCTTTCCTAGGCCACTCTGGGAAAGATGAGAGCTCTATAAATAAGCTGCCCATGTGGCTGTGAGCAAGTGCCCTGGCTAGTTGTCACAGACAGAGGGGGACAGCGGGACCTCTACAGCCAGTTAGAGTCAGGGTCTGAGTGTGCAGGTAGAGAGAGGAGTGGGGGCTTCCAGAGGGGGGACCTGCGCTTAGCCCAGTGCATGCACTGTGAGGAGGAGCAGTGAGAGGGGAGGACCTTGGCCACCCACACCACCAGCCTGCTGCATGCCTGGCCTCCTGCACAGACCCTTTCCCTCCCTCCCTCAAGGAGCCTCACCCCTTCTCGAGGAATCAAGGGAGACTGAAAACTGATGGCAGGGGTGAGGGGTGGGGGAGTCTGGAGAGGAGAGGGGGCCCTCTTGACAGGGAGGCTGGGGAGGCTTCCTACAGGAGGGGATGCCTGGCCCAAGGCCTGATTGTAAGAAGAGCCCCTGTTGCCTGTGAACGCTGAGTCCTCCACCACACCATGAGGTCAGCTGCACTGGTGTAATTGGGAAACAGGCTTGGGAAGTTGGGGCTGGGTTCCTGACTGCTGAACTACCCCTTACATTCCTGACCATGGCCCTGGCTGGTGTGGGAGCAGGTGGACGTAGGCCTGTACAGGGGCTGGGACATGGGCACCCAGGGCCCTCCCAGAGAGGCCGAGGCCCCTCTACTTGTGCTGCCAGGGTTTACGTGGAGTTCCCCAAAGCACTCTTGCCACACCCAAGCCTCTGGGTGACCTCGGCTGGCTGTTGCTTGGTCCTGAGCTTGGGTTCCTCTGGCCCTCGTGGAGCTGTGTTGAGAGCCCTCAGTATCCCATGAGGCAGGGACTAGCACCCCTGTTTGCAGAGGAAGACCCCGAAACTCAGGGAGGGTAAGTAACCTGCCCAAGGCCATCGATCTGCGAAGTGACAGAGCCAGAGTCTGAACCCTGGTGGGTTGCTCCAGGGCCCAACCTTGTCTCCTCCCTGCTCCACCACTGCACTTGCACTGACCCCAGTCCTCAGCGTAGCTCCACTGGGTAGGACCTGACCTGGGATGGCCCTGGGGGCGCCTCTTTCCCCAGCACCGCAAGTCTGGGGAGAGTTGGAGAATGGGGCAGACCAGGGCTGTGGTCTCCCCCAAGTCCCTCCCAAAGCCTCTGCCCAGGTCTTCCAGGTCAGGGTGATTGGGGGCAGGGCCCATGCTGAGCACATTAGGGACTTGGGATCAGTTTTATGGCCGGGGCAGGTGGCAAAGGTGGCTTCTTGGAGGAGGTAGCAGAGCATGAGCCGGGGCTGCAGTGAGGTGTCCTTCAGCACCCCCAGACCCGTTGCTGTCCTGTCTCAGGGCCAGGGTTGGCAACACAGGGCTGTCTGTGGTGCTGAGAGGTTGACGGTGGCCAGAAGCAGTGGAGATACCAGGCCTGGGTGGCTCAGGCAGGGGTCGCCTGCCAGTTGCCCCTACTCCAGGGTAGGTAAACTTCATCTCCTTCAAGGTGAAGTTGTTACAGGCTACCACTTGACCTCTCTGAGCCTCAGTTTTTTCTGTGTGAAGCATGGAACACTGTCTTTGAGGGGTTCAGTGAGACCCAGCTTAGAGTGGGAAGGGGACAGGCAGTAGTGCTCAGTGAGGAGGGTTAGGGAGCCTCCTCTCTGCCCGAGATAACTGTCTGGTCTCAGACATCCCTCCTCTAGCCCCAGACTCGGCCCAGGAAGTGGGGCAAGGATTGCACCTGTACCATACCCAGACTGGGAGGAGCTGGGTGGGCCAGGTGTGGCCACCTCAGCCCTTTTCTTGGCCTCAAGGGGCCAATTTAGCCCCCTTAGCCTCAGCCCCACCCCATCCACCTGAGCCACTGAAACCCAGGCCTGGTGGCAGCCAGGAGGTCTGAGGTGCAGAACCATGCCCAACTTCTGGGGGTGTTGCTGAGAGTGGGCTGGGGAGCAGCTGCTGCCTGGCCTCGAGGTGCTCCCCAGCCCTTGAGGGACTGGTTTATACCCCATCGTGGTGACCTGGGAGCTCATGGCTGCCCAGGGCTGTGGGAGGGGGCAGGAGTGGAGCACCTGTCTCACTGAGTGGCCCTGAGCCAGCCTCTGCACATCTCTGAGCTTCCAGCAGCAGCCCTAGTAAGCTGGGGTTCCACCCTGGGACCTCTTTTTCCCCGCTCTGGGAATTCCCAGACTTCCCCGGTCTTCCTGCCTCTTTCAGTTCACAGCTCCCTTTCCTGCCAGAGCTGGCACAGACTAGAACAATATGCAAATGAGTATAGATGCAGGCAACTCCTAGAGGCCCCATGGGATGGCGGTGCAGACAGCACCTTCTCCTGGGGCCCTCCTGGGTCCTTAGTAACAGACCCTCAGTTGAGCCACCTACTGGGTGCTACTAGCTTGCTAGCCTCCACCATCAGGTTGGCAAACACTGCAAGGACATTTACTATGTGCCAGGTCCTGGGCTAAGTTGCAGGGCAAAAGGAGGCAGAAAAGAGACAGTCCTGGGCTCCATTCCTGCTTCATCTCTTACTGGCTGTGTGACCCCCGCCAGTGACCTCCCCTGACCTCAGTTTGCCCAGCTGTGAAACAGGAATGCTCACTTCTCCTGCAAGGAAAGGCAGCAACCCAGGATGAGGGCCCGGCCTGCACAGGGCTGGGGTCCATTCCTTTCCCTGTGAGTGTGGAAGAGGGAAAGCCACTCAGCGTGGTCGCTGCCCTACTTCAGCCCCACTTGCCAGGGAACCGCTGGGCTCCTTGCTAACCTGGATTTCTCTGTTGATGGGTGGCCTTTGTCTTCCTGCCTTGGGTGTGGCCACCGCCAAGGGAGGCCTGTGTCCAGCTGTGTTTCCAGGCAACCCTAGCCTCTGGAGGCCAGAGGGAGGTCCACAGGCTCAGGAGCCACTATCTGGGAAGCAGAGTAGCTGCCTCCCTACCTGCCCTCCTCCAGGTGGGCACCAGCCCCCACCTCCATCTCCCCCAGTGCGGCCTCTCTTAGCAGGCAGCCTGGGGAGCCTGCTGAGACCGAACTGTTCATTCTTCTCCATCCCTTGCTTAACCCTTCCTGGCTCCCATAGGCCCTAGGGGGAAGTGCAGGCTTTTTGGCAGGCAGCTGAGCCTTGGTGTGACCTGAGCACTGCCCACCAACCTTCCCAGACTCCTCCAGACTCCTCCCGTCTTCTCCGCCCTCCCACCCTCCAGATTCCCACCAGGGCGAACCCAGCACCGCCTGTATACCAGACTCTGTGCCAGGCACTGAACGTAAATAAAAGGTTTGTGCCCTTCTCCTCCACATTCCACACGTAGGGAAACTGAGTCACAGTGAAGTGTGGGGAATGCTTACTCTGTGCCAGGCCTGTGCTGAGTACTTAATGTGATTCTCTTCTTTCAGCCTTACCACAGCCCTCTGCAGGCAGGCCACAGAGCCAGTGCAAGACAGAGCAGAGCAGGACTGCACCCCATACTTTGTATCCCCAGGTTAGCCCAGGGGTTCAGATCTGGGTTCTGACCCACCCCAGCCTCTGGGCTCCTTCCCCCTCAGCCTGCTCACTGGCTCTTCTAGCTCGGCATAGCTGGGCTCTCTACCAAGAGTGCCTTTTCTGCCTTCTCCCCCAAATCAGCCCATACCCGCCCAGGTCGGCACTGGGCATGGAGCAGGCAGCTCGTGGTGGGGAAAGGGCTGGGTAATAGGATCTGCATGGCACCATGAATGCTGAGGGGGAGGTGGGGGAGAGGGTACTTCCAGGAGGAAGTGACTTCGAGCTGAGCTCTAAGGAAGAGTGGGTGCTGGCCAAGCGATGAGGGGAGAGCAGAAAGCAGGTGCAGCGTGTGTGAGGGTGGAAAGCACTCAGCGTGGCAGGCGTGTGGGTGGGGGAGGTTGGTGGGGGCGCGTCACGACGCCATCCTGAGGGTGGTGGGAGCTGGCCCAGGGCCAGGGCCAGAACTGGGTGTCAGGGCACCTAGGCTGCAGGGCGGGACTGACCTGGAGGCCAGAGACAGGGCAAGGGGGCAAGAGCAATGGGCGCAGGCCTTGGGAGAGCTTAGGGACTGTAGGGAAGGGGAGGGCCCTGCCTAGGGGAGGGGGAGTGGCGTGGCAGGGCCCGGGTGACCCCAGCGAGCTTCAGTTCTGGGAAAGGGGAAGCTGCCTGTGGCCTGGGCTGGTGGCACAGCTTCCTCTTTCTCTGAGGCCTCCAGGCTGCACCTCCCTGGGGCTCCACCATCTGTGGCCTCAATCGTGGTCTGGGGCCCTCAGCTTGGGGGTCTGGCCGTGGCCTTTGCTAGTTGGCTTTTCTCCAGGGAATTTCTGGTTCTCATTGTTCGGGCATTTTTTTGGAGAGCTGAGTCTGAGGAAACCCTCCCCGCCTCGTGAGCCTGCTTGGAGGCCTCCCGCTTCAGACATGGGGCTGGGTGTGGAGTTTTGTGGCAAATAAAACAGACGTCCCTGCCCTCACCACTGTCTGGTGGGGGAGCAAGGAATAAACAAGTAAGCAAACAAATACTTAATCACAGCCCTCTGCCAGCAGGGCAGAGGAGAAGGGCTGTGGAGAAGGAAATCCCATGACCTACTTTAGCTTCATTACCTCCTTTAAACCCCATGACTGGCTGGGCACAGCGGCTCACACCTGGAATCCCAGTACTTTGGGAGGCCAAGGCGAGAGGATCGCTTGAGCCCAAGAGTTGGAGACCAGCCAGGGCAACATAATGAGACCCCGTCTCTACAGAAAATAAATTTAAAAATTTAGCCAGGCATGGTGGGGCATGCCTGCAGTCCTAGTTACTCAGGAGGCTGAAGCAGGAGGATCACTTAAAAGTTCAAAGTTGCAGTGAGCTGTGATCGTGCTACTGCAGTCCATCCTGGATGGCAGAGTGAGACACTGTCTCAGAAAAAACAAAACAGAAATTCCCCAAAAACTTCGCGACAGCCATGCCAGCAAGATGAACGTCCCCATCTCTGTAGATGAGAAAACTGAGACCCAGTGATGTGAAGGTCCCAAAGGGAGTTGGTGGCAGTGGAGACTGGGCCCCAGGCTAGGAGACATGGGAGGAGTGGCCTCTAAGCCAAGTTCCTTCTCTGCTACCCCCCTGGGGCCCCTCCTCCCCATCCAGTGTGGCTGGGTGTGGCTCTCCTCTGTCAGGCATCGGAGGCTCTGGGGCCTCACTGACTGCCCAGCCTTTAGGATGAGGCAGAGACGGATATGGGACCTTCAGATATCCCCTCCCAGCCGAGGGGGCTTCCATCTAACTGTTTTTTTGGTCACGGTTCCAGGGCCGTTTTAGACAGTGGAGGCCTTGTGGGGCAGGGTGTGAGGGGTGCTGAGCAGCAGGTGTGGACATGTGTGTGCACCAGGCCTTTCTACCTGACCGGGCAAGTCCAGTGGGGGCTCAGTCTGGGCTGAGTGTGGGGGCCGGGCAGCCAGACTGGAGTAAGTGCTGGTTTGGGGTAATGAGAAGGTGCGTAATTAGAAGGTGCAAGGCCCTAGGTGGCAGTGTCTATGCGTGTGCTGGAGTGGGCCCTCGTTGGCTTTGAGTCTGGGCCTTTGGACCCCGCTTTCTTCCTGGAAGGTTCTAGATCACACAGCTCTGCGTCTGTCTGCAGATGAGCAGCTGCACAGCTGCTCCCTGTGGGCTCAGGTCACCTAGCAGGTGCCACCCAGGGTTGGGGTGGTTCTAGGGCTCTCTGCTGTGGTTGCTTGGCCTCTTTTCACCCCCGCATCAGCCCTCTGGGCCTACCTTGGGGACATGGAGGGCTGCTAGAGCTGGGGGCTGGGCTGTTGGGTTGGTCACGGTTCCCCCTGGCTTTGTCTTTTTTTTTTTTTTTTGAGATGGAGTCTTGCTCTGTCGCCCAGGCTGGAGTACAGTGGCACAATCTCGGCTCACTGCAACCTCCACCTCCCAGGTTCAAGCGATTCCCCTGCCTCAGCCTCCCGAGTAGCTGGGATTACAAGTTGTACCACCACACTGGGCTAATTTTTGTATTTTTACTAGAGACGGGGTTTCAGCATCTTGGCCAGGCTGGTCTTGAACTCCTGACCTCGTGATCCACCTGCCTCTGCCTCCCAAAGTGCTGGGATTACAGGCGTGAGCCACCATGCCTGCCACAGCCTGCCCCCACCCCCAGCATCAGGCTCTGTCTTGCGTAGTCAGGCCTAGTGGGGAAGTGAAGCCTGAGGACTTGGGGCTCGTGGTCAGGTCTGTGGGTTAGATCCCTCAAAGGACAGAGGAGGGGCCATGGGGAGACAGGCTCGAGGTGGGAGCTGGGCCCTGACAAGGGCACAGGACACTTTGGGGCAGAAACTGGAAGGAAGACTTGTGACCAAATTTAAGGAGTGACAGGGGACCCTCCCCAAATAGCCTGGGGGTGCCATCTGTTGGGTGTTGACTGCCAGGTGTGGCCTCCACCCTATACTGTGGCCCTACCTTCTCCTGTCCCTGGCTTTCCCCTGAGCTGGCCTGGGACCCAGAGTGGCTGCCAGTGACCTGGAGAGTCCTGAGATGATGTAACTGCTGCCCACTCCCTCCCCTGAGTGTAACTCAAACCCTGGGCCCCTCTGAGATCTGCCAAGAGGGAGGGCGGGTGGACAGATCGGTTTCCTGGGCTGCTATTCTAGGTGGGAGGGCCGGGCTGCCTGCAGGGAGAGGACTCTGAGTGATTTGGGACTACCACAGGAGGCGCTTTTCTCACCTCACCGGCCTTGGAGTCACAGCGGGGGCCTCAGCCGCGGCGGCCCTGAGCCAGTGGCTGGGTTCCCAGGCTGCCCCTGGGCTTAAGAGGCTGCGTGTGGCCTGAAGAGCACGGCTTTCCTCAGCCTCGTGCCCCTGAAGCCAGGCCTCCAGGAAGTACACAGCGGACTTCCTTGCTCTGCCACCTGTCCCTTCTGCTGTCTGATGTGAATCCTTTGTCCTGCTGTGTCCGCCTCGTCCACTGGCCGGAGGCTTCTCCAGAGCAGGCCACCGTCTGGGCCTGGGGGCCTCAGTCTCAGACCGGTGGGCCGTGACGCCACCATGGATATTTCTCTGAAGTATCACACACTGCACTCCCACTCTGCTTTATTTCGTTTCTTGGCACTTACCACCAAATGGCAGGGGCACCTCTCTGTTTGCAGTTGGGTCTCCCCTGGGATGGAGCTCCCTGCAGACAGGGACCTTGTCTGTCTTGTTCATACCGATTTCTCCAGTGCCCGCACGCAGTAGGTGCTGGAGAGATGACAAAGACAGAGCACTGGCTGCCGTGACCACCCCAGCCCCATAGGTCTGCCAGGGGAAGAGCTGTGGCCAGACATGTTCCAGCCTCAAGGGAGGAGTCAGCCTCCCTGGAAGAGGTGTGGACAGTGGCCATGCAGAAGGACCAGGACCTAGATGGGGTGGGGAGCTGTGGGAGCCAGACCCACTTTGGGGAAAGCTTCTAGAGAAGCTTCTGGAAAGAGAGGCCTTCGTGTTGAGCTTTGAAGGGTAAAGGAAAAGGCCTTCCTTGGACCAGAACCAGCAGGAGTGAAGGCAGAGGCCGGGCATGCTTGCAGACCTGTGAGGAGGAGGCGGGGGGAGCCTGAGCCTGGAGCGCTGGGCTGGAGTGTGGAGGCCGGGCTGGGGTGTTGGGTGTTGGTTGCAACCCTGTCATCACGGACACAGGCCGCCACACGCGCTTCCTTCCCCTGCTGATGCCTCGGGGCACCTGGCAGTTTAAGGAAGGGGAAGGAAGCCCTTCCTCCTCTGGGAAGCCTCCCAGCCTGCAGAGCCTTCTTCCTGCCTTCCTGCCTGTGCTGCCCCGTGAGGCCGGCTCCCAGGCAGGGCAGCCCCCTCTGCTTGGGCCTGTGCTTGCGGGTGTGGAGCCGGCCTCCCCGGGCTCTGCCTGCCCAGCAGCACCTTGCCTGCTCCCCATGAGTCCTGTCATCCTGGAAGTGGTGCTGAGGGGACAGCAGCTGCCTGCCTGTCCCTGCCGCTCTGCCGAGCCTCCTCTCCATCTGCCCTAGGCCGGCGACCACCAGGGGCCTGAGGATGAAGCCAAGTCTGCTGTGCCGGCCCCTGTCCTGCTTCCTTATGGTGAGCTGGGGATGGGCCCTGGGAAGGAGAAAAGCCGCACCCTCAGCCCTGCAGCCCTCCAGCAAGAGGGTGCAGACACTCCCGGGGAACCCCCTGCTGGGCAGGGCTCAGTTACTCAGCTCGTCAAGAATCTGAGGCAGCTGGACCCTAGGAAGCACCTCTGGGCCCACCCAGGCTTGTCAGGGAGATGGAGAATGAAGGGCTTGCTGGCATTTATGGGCAAGGCAGGCATGGCTGAGGGCAAGATGCCCATTGGCACGCAGGCATGAGAACGGAGCCCAGCCCAGAGGGTATGCTGGGCACCAAGAGGAAACTGGGCAAAAGAGGCCTGGGATTTGGACCCTGAGAGCCATAGCACCTCAGGTGCTGGGGTTCAAGATCTGTATTGGTCTGGGGGATCCCAGATTCCAGGTCCCAGGATCACAGGATCAGGCCAGCTGCCCGGAGCTGCAGGCAAGTCCACATTACAGACTTGCAGCATCTTGGGGTCTGCCCTGGGGCCCATCTTTCTGCTGTGACGCTAGAAGCTCAGGGAGGGTGAGACTTGGCCTTGGGCCTTGCTAAGGGTTGCTCCATGTACAGGAGGCCTTCCAGCCTTAGCAGGTGCTGGGAGCCGCTCTGGGGTCTGAGGAGATCCCTATTCCATCTCCAGGGCAGCTGATGGTAGCCTCATCCAGCCTAGGCCAAATTGGGGGACTCTAGGAGGGATTCAGGAGAGACAGTTCATTCCTAAGAATGGGAAGCAGAGAGAACTCCTAGTGAAATGGGCTGGGGACACACACTGAGAAGATGGAGCTTTCTTTTGGGATGCGTCTCCCTGTTTGGGTGTGTGGGTGTGAATGGGGTAGCCTCGCCTTGAGGGAAGATTGCAGAGGAGGATGTGGTCCTGGAGACTTTCGCTGAAGGGAGAGCCCAGAATAGGAAGCGCCACCTGCAGACTTGGCTCCAGGGATTATAAATGAGGCTGGTTAATGATATGCCCAGCTGTGATGGGGCCAGGGATGGACCCAAAGTAGGAGGAAGTGGGGGCAGAATACGAGAGAGGATTCGGAAGCATTTCCTCCTCATCGTTCTGGTTAGCTGGAAGGGCTTGAGATCCTGATGTGGCCTTATCTGGGGCTTTCCAGCACTTTCCAGAGCCAGATGTGGCTCTCTCCTTGCCCAGGTACTGGTCTTGCAGCAGGTCTGGGACAGGACAGGTTTTCCTCAGTGTGAGGGATTGAGGTTAGAAGAGTGTGTCCCTGAAGCCCGGGTGGGGTAGTCAGTGGTCCCTACCACTGGGGTTTCAGGAAATAGGTGGGGGATAGATGACCCCAGAGACCCCACACCCAGCACTTTCTGCCTCTTTCAATGCCTACTGTTCTTCTAGCTGCTGCCCTGGCCTCTCGCCACCCTGACATCAACAACCCTTTGGCAGTGCCCACCTGGGGAGGAGCCCGACCTGGTGAGCATTGCCCTGCTCTCCTGCCTGTCCTGGGAGGGCCCTGAGGGCCAGGGGCAGAGTCCTGTGCCTGGCCCCCAAGGGTCCTCAGGCTTGGCTCCTGGCCATGCTCTCACCCTTTACCTCCCACAGGACCCAGGGCAGGGCACATTATGCAGGCCCTGCCCCCCAGGCACCTTCTCAGCTGCATGGGGCTCCAGCCCATGCCAGCCCCATGCCCGTTGCAGCCTTTGGAGGAGGCTGGAGGCCCAGGTGGGCATGGCAACTCGAGATACACTCTGTGGAGACTGCTGGCCTGGGTAAGCCAAAGGGAGTGCGGGGAGGGCTCCTGGCTGGGTGACCAGGACTCTGGATCCTGGGGCCCCAGCCTTATTGTACCCTGAGCAGGCCTCATTCTTCCCATCTGTGAAATGGGATGGGGCAGGACCACGGAGGGTGCCTGGTAGGAAGGAATCCAGCCTCTCCTAAGGATAGTGTTTGGGGAAACTTCTGGGCCTCAGTGGTATCTTCCCTCCTCGCAGGTGGTTTGGGCCTTGGGGGGTTCCCCGCGTTCCATGTCAACCATGTTCCTGGGCACCTCTGGGTACTCATGGCTGTGATGGTGAGTGGCAGACTGGGGCTAGGACTGGTGCAGGGGTATGTGCGGGAGGGGCCAGTGAGTTGGAGCCCAGCAGCCTCTGCAGTGTTCATGTGGGGGCAGTGGGGTCCTTCTTCCAGCCCAGGGCAGGGCGTGCAGCCAAAGGGTCTCCAGCAGGGCACAGTCAGCCGCTCCCCTGGCTGTTTCTGCCCACCATGCTTCCGAGTGGCAGAGAGTGTCCTGCAGATGGCAGCCACAGCTGGGGGCTGGGGACTCACATACTGACCTGTCCCCTGTCCCCATCCCTTCAAAGAGATTCATGCCAGCCAAGTGCAGTGGCTCATGCCTGTAATCTCAGCACTTTGGGAGGCCAAGGCAGGAGGATCACTTTGAGACCAGCTTGGGCAACATAGCAAGACCCTGTCTGCAAAAAATAAAAATAAAAAATTAGCCGGGCGTGGTGGTGCTACTCGGGAGGCTGAGGCGGGAGGATTGCTTGAGTCCATGATTTTCATGCTGCAGTGAGCTGTGATCGCCCCACTGCACTCCAGCCTGGGCAACAAGTGAGACCCTGCCTAAAAAAACCCATGCAGATGAGTGTGCGCATGCAAACACTCACATACCCACACGCACCTCCTCCCGCCACTGAGTCAGTCACCCCCTGAGGCACTAGATTCATGGCCAGGCCACAGGGAGGCAGATCCCACGTCCCTGTGCCCAGACATGTGTCCTGTGTGCCATCTCTTCACCCCCTGACCCCAGCGTGAGGGGAGGGTGGGGCTGGGTGTCTGGCCGTCCTGAGGAGGCCTTGTTCAGGACAATGCTTCGATGGCCAGAAGGGAAAACAGGAGGGCAGTGGGTTGACCTTTGCATCCCCAGCATGGCGGGGAGTGGGCTCCCCTGGGCACATTGGCTCTCCTGCAGCCCCCACTGACTCGGGCCCTGGGCCCCTGTCTCTCTGTGTTTGTGTCACTCTGCTTTTGTCCTGCCTCCATCGTCTGTGATGCTCAGAGTGGGGGCGGCGGGCCCGACGTGGCGTGGAGGTGGCAGCAGGGGCCAGCAGCGGTGGTGAGACACGGCAGCCTGGGAACGGCACCCGGGCAGGTGGCCCAGAGGAGACAGCCGCCCAGTACGCGGTCATCGCCATCGTCCCTGTCTTCTGCCTCATGGGGCTGTTGGGCATCCTGGTGTGCAACCTCCTCAAGCGGAAGGGCTACCACTGCACGGCGCACAAGGAGGTCGGGCCCGGCCCTGGAGGTGGAGGCAGTGGTGAGGCCCAGCTGGGGTCCAGGTGGGAAGGACGGGGGCACGAGCCCAGCCCCAGCTCCACTTGGGGGCTGCCAGCGGAATCCTGCCTGGCCTCTGGGGTCTGAGAGGGAGAGGCTTGGGAGGTGATAGCTGCAGACTGACAACATGGGAGGAAAGGTAAGGGGACGAAGGTGTGGCCGTGGGGGCAGAGCAGAGGTGGCACAGCTGGTCAAGTGGCTTCAGTGGATCCTACCCTGGGTGAAGCCTTGCCCAGATGTGGGGATCTGGACTCTTTGGAGGCCACAGTTGTGTGTATGGTTCCAGGGTCGGATGGTGGCCTTGGAGTTACTCAAGGTGACCTCTGACCTCTGGCCTGGAGTAGCAGGAGTGCCCTGTGGCAGGAGGGCTGGCAGGGCAGCTGTCCTGTCCTGGGCAGGCACCATAAGGGGCTCGGGTTTTGGTTCCAGGCTGTAGTTTGAGTTACAAGGCCTGGAACCGGAGGGACAGGCATGCGCCACCACCTTCACCCCCAGGGCCCCGGGCCCCTTTCCTTCTTCCCCACACCACTACTCCCCTGCAGGGCAGGGGCCCACTCGCACACACCCTGCCCTGGGCCCATGGGAGCCTGTGGCTACCTCAAGAGTGAAATGGCATCTCCCATGCTAGCACCCTCGGCTGTCTGGGGCTGGCATGGGAGCCAGAGACCCTTCTAAGTCCTGACACTGAAGTCTGGCGGGGGCAGGAAGCGGACAGGAGCAGTAAGCCGGCAGGAGGAAACGTGGTGACTCAGGGCCATTTTGCCTGGGACTGTGCTTGTTTTCCTAGAGACTTCCCTTTAACTGCTGGATGCTGCCTGGGTGCAAGTCCTGGGAGCTCTGTTTGCTGCTGGGCCCAGGGCTGATCATCGTGGCCCATTCTCACACCCTTGAGATTTGGGCCCAAAGCTGACTAGGGGCACTCAGTTAAATTGTTACATAGGGCACAGTAGAGAGGCCATGGAATAGCAGTTTGCTGTAGATTTGGGGAGTTCTGGGTAGGGTGGCAGCCCACAGCTCCTTGAGGCTGAGGAGGAGACAGTGCAGACCCAGAAGACGCTGACGCACCGCCCCCTCGCCCGCCCAATTCAATGACTGGAGTTCACGTGGCCCTGAAGCCTCTATGCACCCGGGCTGTTGGGTGCAGGAAGCACTGGTGTTGAATCATGAAGGTGATATGGGCTTCTCTGAGCCTGGATCCCACATTTGCAGGGCTCTGGGAGGCTTGTCACCTAAATGCACATGCTCAGGGCCCTTAAGAAGGCCAGGGTTGCCCTCTGCTGGCAGATCATGGTTTAGCTCAGGAGTGCGGCTTCCCCCTCTTCCCCAGGATCAGGGCCCTTCTCTTCCCCAGGAATCAACCCTGCCTACCGGACTGAGGATGCCAATGAGGACACCATTGGGGTCCTGGTGCGCTTGATCACAGAGAAGAAAGGTGAGGAGAAGGTCTGACCCCATCCCAGTGCCCAGGAGAGGAGGGTTTCCTCCAGGAGCCTGTGAGGCAGCCGCGGTGGGCAGAGTCTTGCCCTGCTCTGCCTTCCCTGCCAGGGTGCCTCAAGCAGCCTGGTGCTCTCTGACCCAGGAGTGCACACCTCTGCCTCCCATTCTTGCCTGATGAAGTGGGAGGAAAAGGCGCACAGCCCAGGCTGGGAGTGGTGGTATGGAGGGTAGGTGGGGGGTTCTCTGCTGGGGCAGGGGGTGGGAGGTGTGTCCCATATGGCCACAGTGAGGGTCTGACTGCAGCTACCCACAGAGAATGCTGCGGCCCTGGAGGAGCTGCTGAAAGAGTACCACAGCAAACAGCTGGTGCAGACGAGCCACAGGCCTGTGTCCAAGTGAGTGGGCTGGTGGGAGATAACGGGGCCAAAACCTACATTAACCAGCCTGCCTCCTGGGGATCTCCCACTTGGGTCTCCCTCAAGTCACCCTGTTCCCTGCTGGGGTCTCCTGCCCCTGGCCTGGCCTATGGCCACTTCTGCCTGTGCCCCCTGCAGGCTGCCGCCAGCGCCCCCGAACGTGCCACACATCTGCCCGCACCGCCACCATCTCCACACCGTGCAGGGCCTGGCCTCGCTCTCTGGCCCCTGCTGCTCCCGCTGTAGCCAGAAGAAGTGGCCCGAGGTGCTGCTGTCCCCTGAGGCTGTAGCCGCCACTACTCCTGTTCCCAGCCTTCTGCCTAACCCGACCAGGGTTCCCAAGGCCGGGGCCAAGGCAGGGCGTCAGGGCGAGATCACCATCTTGTCTGTGGGCAGGTGAGATGGGCACAGATGCAGCAGGGGCAGGTAAAGACGTGACAGCCTGGGGGCCGGGAGGGGGAGGCAGGGCCCCAGCTTGGGCCCTGAGCACCCTGCTCAATGGGAGCCCTGCCCTTATTGGGCCTCTCTGGGCAGTGGAGGCGGCCAGAGAGATCAGGACTTTCCGGTTATGTTGTGTCTCACATGGAGCCCTTGCATCCCTAGGGCAGCATCTTGGCCCCCATGGCACCCGGGCCTCTCAGGCTAAGGCTCTGGTCCATGAACTTGCTGTGTGACCCCGGGCACGTGCTGCCTTCTCTGTGCCCCGGGATCCCCGCTAACGGGGATGATTGCCCCACTCTCCTCACAGGTTCCGCGTGGCTCGAATTCCTGAGCAGCGGACAAGTTCAATGGTGTCTGAGGTGAAGACCATCACGGAGGCTGGGCCCTCGTGGGGTGATCTCCCTGACTCCCCACAGCCTGGCCTCCCCCCTGAGCAGCAGGCCCTGCTAGGAAGTGGCGGAAGCCGTACAAAGTGGCTGAAGCCCCCAGCAGAGAACAAGGCCGAGGTGAGAGTCAAGGAGAAAGGCATCTGTTGGCACCTGGGCCAACCCTGACCGAAGACGGGGCAGGGGTGGAAGTGCAGCGGGCCCTAGGCAGGGGCCACTTTCCTGGAGCCAGAAGCCAGCCCCTGACTCAGCTCTGACCCCTCACCCCTGCCCACCAGGAGAACCGCTATGTGGTCCGGCTAAGTGAGAGCAACCTGGTCATCTGAGGGGCGGTCTAGTCTAAGGACACTGCGGCCCTGCCCTGGGAGGTTCCGAAGGCTTCCTGGAGGAGGTGGAGCTGCAGCTGGGACTGTGAGGACCGAGAAGCAATGGCCCAGCAGACGAGACAGCAAAGACCAAGGCCTGGAGGTGGGAGCGTCTGCCCCAGTGAGGAGGCAGGTGGCCGGCGGGCACTGTGTACAGGAGCAGGCTGAGCCCCGCCCCTGGCCCTGCTGCCATGTTGCTCCCCTGAAGGATGCCCCGACCCCCGTGCCTGCCCTGGCTGGATCCTAGGAGCCCACGGGATTCTCTGTATCATCAGAGGCTGGGCTTGGCAGAGGGGAGGGGCCTGTGCCCGTCACCCCTGGCCCCATTCCTTGGTAATTAGCCACACCCTTGCCTCTGTACAGGGCCCTAGAGCAGATGTGCGTCCCCCTCCTCTTCCAGCAGGTCTATAAAGGGAAGGGGTAGCAGAAAGTCCTGGGCTAGGAGAGTGAGTCCCTGGGTTCTAATCTTGGGCACATCTGTGGCCATCGCTGGGTCCATTTTTCTGACTGTGAAGTAAGGAGAGACGTCTCAGTACCCAGGGCCTCTTCAGCTCTTTGTAGGTTCTGGGCTGGGTTGTGGGGGACTGGGGAGCTGGGCTCTACCATCCCTCCCATTAGTAGCTTTATCCAGCCCCGTTTTTGCTGCTTCCAGGGCCTCTGCCTTCAAGGCCCCCATGGGGCTGTCCATCCATGGCTCTGCCTACGGAAGGGGCTTAATGCATGTGCCTGCCCCTCCCCCAGCTGTTTTTAATGAAACTGAAAAAATAGACTTGATCCCGGCAGGACTGTGATACAGAGCCCTAGCCTGCCCAGCCAGCCCCAAGATCTCAGGAGCTTTAGGGAGAAGACTTGGTGGGGCTGGAGCACACCTTGGGCCTCAGTGGTTTCTGTGTCCCTGTGGTGCCAGTGCTTCTGGGCAGTGCAGGCGGCTGCCAGGCCCAGCCCTGACTTCCACTCTGGCTCAGCAACCTGGTTATTTATGTGGGGCCGTGCAGGCATGGGCCCACTGCCTGTCCATCCTGTTTCTCTTATTTATTGAAACTCACCATTGCCCTATCCTTGTGTCTCCACCCCCTTCCATGTGTTGAATAATAAAAGGTGGGAAAGTGCTGTCACGAGGAGCTCCTTTTCTCTGTGCCCTTCCCAGCTTATCCGCCTGTTCCACTTGTACCTGTCCAGCCCTGCCCTGTGTTGGGCACCGTGACAGGCTGCCCTCCCCTCACAGTTCCTGCACCTCAGCAGCCAGGGAAGCAGGGCCCAGAGGAGACCCATCAACTCATCTGGTTCTCACCAAAGCCCCTAGCTAGAGGCAGGGCTGTCCCACAGAAATAGTGTGAGCCACATATGTGACTTTAAATTTTCTGACAGTCACATTTCAAAAAGTAAAAAGAAGCAGGTGAACTTAATTTTTTTTTAACCCAGTCTATCCAAAATATTTTCATTTCAATATAAAATCAGTATAAAAAGTGTGAATGAGCTGTTTTTGCTTTTGCTTTGAAATCTGGAGTGTATCTTACACATCTTGATTGGAACTCAAATATTTCAAGGGCTCCATAGCCACGTGGCCAGCAGCTACCACACTGGTCAGCGCAGCACCTGAGGAAATGCACTGTGTGGAGCCCGGGAGGTAATTGGGGGTGAGGAAGATGTGCGGGCCAGGGAATGTGTTCCACAGAGAGGGACAGCATGTGCAAAGGCTGAGCACCAACACATAGTGGTCACCTGGGCCTTATGCCCAGGGAGCCTCCAAAGCATTCAGCTCCTGCTTGGCCAGTGTGGAGAGGAAAGGAGCCACAGGAGCGGGTGCTACACCCGGCAAGACAGAGCGTCTCCATCTAAAATTCCTAGGGCAAGCTTCCAACCCGGCCCAAGGGCCGCATGTGGCCCAGGATATGGCTTTGAATGGGGCCTAACACAAATTCATAAACTTTCTTAAAACATTGAGATGTTTTTGCTTTTTTCTTTTCTTTTTAGTTCTTCAGCTATTGTTAGTGTTAATATGCGGCCCAAGAAAATTCTTCCAATGTGGCCCAGAGAAACCAAAAGATTGGACACCCCTGTGCTAGGGTTTGGTAA
Organism: Homo sapiens; assembly: GCF_000001405.40. NCBI lineage: Eukaryota > Metazoa > Chordata > Mammalia > Primates > Hominidae > Homo > Homo sapiens. Next base: position 73,397,607 of record NC_000011.10, read on the forward strand.
TGGGAAATGGGTCGGGGGCTTAGGGCCAGCTGGGTGGGGCAACAGGAGCAGTCCTGGGGGCACCTGTGACACAGCCATGGAGGATGTCCCATGCCATCCAGATGTGAAGGCCCAGAGCTCTCAGGAGACAGACCTGGAGACAAGAAGACCTACAGGCACTCAGGTGGGTGTTTAGGCCAGGACTGGGCTGGGAGGAAATGTCCTGGGGACGATGCCTGGGCTGCTCCAGGGCACCACAGAGAAGGCACTGCTAGGGAGGCAGGAAAGAAACCAGGGAGGGCAACGTCCGTGGCAGTGTCCTGGCAGCCAGGGGAGGGGTGGGCGCAGGGTGGGCTGCAAGGCCAGGTGCTGCTGGGGGGTGAGGAGGACTGCTCTGTGCCCTGGTGAGTGGCACAGGAACTTGGTGGGATTCGCCTAAAGGGAGAGGGGAGACCAGGGCCAGGGCCAGGTGGATTGAGGGAGACAGCTCCCTGCCGAAGCCTGGCAGGCCATAGCTGGGTGGGGCCTCAGGCTCTGGGGAGAGACAATTTTCAGTTAATTTAGGGTTTTATTGTTTGTTATGTTGTCTAAAGACGGGAGAGAGGGACACATTTAAACTAACGGCCTCAGAGAGAGGCTGAAGAACAAGAGTGACACCTGATGGAACCTGGGGAGGTGTGGAGAGGACCAGCCTGTGGGAGTCCCCGGCCTGTCTGCAGCAGGCACAGGGCAGCTATGGGGCGGCCATGCTGGGGCTGTCGGGAGGCCTGGCTTCACAGGGGGCAGGGGCCTTTCTCCTGAGCAGAAGCCAAGCTGGGGGCCTCCTCCTACCCTGGGCAGATGTGCTTTGGGATTTGACTCTCCTTGGGTACCTAGGGCACAGGTGTCTCTCTCCAGGGCTTTTCAGGTGGGCAGGAAGGGGAGGGACACCTCTGAAGATCCAGGAGATGTTTCACCTGCACCAGAAGAGGGGAAGGAAACAGAGGCTGGACATCAGGAGGGATGTTCTGGAGCAGAAAAGGATGCCAAAGTGTAGGACAGGGTGTCCATTGTAGGGGACTAGCAGGCATCACCAGTGTACCCAAATAAGTATTTCCTGCGGCTGCCAGAGTGTGTTTGGAGTCCCTATTTGCCAGCTGCTCAGCTGCATCTCAGGGTCTGGCCTCTCCACCTTGACTGGCCCTCAGCCTCCTTCCCCAGGGGAAGGCTGGGCTGTGGGGTCTAGATGCCCTCTCCACAGCCTGCCTGTCTCGCCTGGGCAGAGGTACATACACATGCAAGCCAGGGTGCACCAAGGCTGGGTGCAGGCTTCCAGGCCAGGGCTGAGCGCCCCCTCACAGTAAGCACTGTGCTCTCCTCCAGACTCCCCCTCCCCAATTTCTGCTTGCTGAAAGGTGTGGCCCTGGCCTGTTTCTTCACCTGTCCCTTGGGGTATTGAGGCTAGCTTGCAAGAGTGGGATGAAGAGCTGAGGGCTCAAGTAGGAGTGTGTCTGATGCCCTTGGTCTTCAGGGTCCTTACCCTCACCTGGAAGCTTTTCTGGCTTGTTCCATCTAAATCCCTGAAGCTTTGTCAGCGCTTGAGTTCAAGAGGCCCACGCGGAGGTGGGAGCTGGAGGACAGGGTGGGGTTCTGGGCTGACCACTGAGGGGAAGAGTTCTGAGCTTGACCTCTGTGCTCCACCCCTCTTCCCTATGGGCCAGAATGGTAGGGGCTGGGACCCAAGTCTCCACCTCCCCTCCTGCTCCTGGCCCTCAGCTCTGCCACTGTGACCTGGAGCTGAGCCTCCCTCTGGGAGAAAATCCCTTCCTGCACCGGAGAAACTGACTATGGTGACTCAGCCCCAACAATGCCTGTGGCCAGAGGTGCCCCCTCGGACACTGGGGGTGGGTTTCATATTGGATCAAGGACAGGAAGGGAGGCTGGGTGGAGGCACACGGTGAGATTTGGTGAGAGGCATTAGAGAGTAAGGAGGCCTAAAAGTTTTCATTTCAGCTGCAGTGTGAGCCAAGCTACTTGGCCTCTTTTGGCCTGTTTCCTTTCCAGGTGAGGAGGCTGAGTTCTTGGAGGTATAGCTATGGGGATGTGGAGCATGAACTGTAGGGGCCCGGCCCTGGGAAGGAATGGTGGACAGATAACCCAGTAAGAGAAGCCTGGGCCTGGGCTAGGGCAGTGGCTTCACCCAGAGGGGAGATAAGAGATTCAGATGATGTTTAGGAGGCAAAACTGATAGCACTTGATGGGACTGCTTTGGATGAAGGCGCCAGAGCCTCCCTCAGCTGTCCTTTTTCTGTAACCACAAACCACCAAGTGCCCCTTGGTTTCCCATCTGACAAATCCATCTTTTAAGAAAGCTCAGGGCGCTGGGTTCAGTGGCTCACACTTGTAATCCCAGCACTTTGGGAGGCTGAAGCAGGCAGATCGCTTGAGCCCAAGAGTTCAAGACCAGCTTGGGCAACATGGTGAAAGCCCGCCTCTACAAAAAAATACAAAAATTAGCTGGGAGTGGTGGTGTGCGCCTGTAGTCCCAGCTACTCAGGAGGCTAAGGTGGGAGGATCACTTGAGCCCAGGAGGTGGAGGTTGCAGTGAGCTGAGATTGCGCCACTGCACTCCAGCTGGGTGAGAGACTGTCTCAAAAACAAAAACAAACAAAAACAAAACAAAACAAACTCGGGCCTTGCTTGCTCTGAGATGGGCAGAACATGGGGCTTGGTGCGTGGGCTATGGAGCCAGAACAAGTGCCAAATGTGAGTTCTAACTCTGCCTCTCACCAGCTCTGTACCATCGGCCAAGGTACTTACCCTCCTCAGCTTCCCCATCTAAGATGGTGCTAACAACAGGGCTCACCTCACGTGTGCTGTGAGGACCGAATGCCTTAACAAACATGAGCAGCAGGCACCAGCCACACAATAGATGTCAGCTTTATTGCGCGGATGGCTCAATGGATTTCAACTCTGAATGGCCTCACTGTGCTCCCACATCACACACTTAGGGTGGGTGCTGAAGTTGCCACTTAAAGCTCCCCAGCAGCTGTGAGACCCTTAGGGCAGACCCCTGTCAGATCAGCTGTAAGATGTACCATAGGTTTTTCTTGACTACTGAGAACAAATTTAGCATCAACTTGGGGAGACGCCCAAGGGACTCACTGGCCCAGGACAGTCCTCTGTGCCTCCCTCCCCAAGAACCACTCAGTCTAGTCACCTAAGACTTTTTTTTGGGGGGGAATTTTTTTTTTTAATAGTTATTGAGTGTTCTACAGCTTACAGTAAATACCATAGTTACAAATTCTTGGCTTCAATCTTTCAGAGTGATCACTGTCTGATCTTCAAAACAAAACAAAAACCCAAAAGAATCCAAAACAACAAAACAAAACCAGATTTACACTTCATACACACAGGCAAGGCCATGGGGCTTTCCAATCTTTACACTCCGGACTGTGTTTTGAAAACACCTATAAATTCTTTGATCAAACTACTTGGAAGACACTGGTCAAAGGTTTATTATTATTATTATTATTATTATTATTATTTTAAATTTTATTTCTTTTTAAAATGTGAGTTCCAATAAAATTTAAAAATTAGATTCCAACCTGTAGATTAAAATGAATTAAAAAATACAAAATCATATACAACGCTCTCTTCACAGGGATGTTACATGCCATGAGAACAGGTTTCTCTGTCATGTGATATGAAACAGGGAAGCAGATGCCTTTAAGTCAGGATGGGGACAGGCCCTTGGGCCTTTCAAGATTATTACAGACAACTCCAAGTAGCTAGAGGCCTGGCCTTACCCCCCCTGGGTAAGGAGGAGCTTGAGTCACACCATAGATCCAGACTATCTGGCTGACCCGAGGAGAAGGTCTCTGGGACAGTCTCCTCTCTTTCCCTGACTCTCTTAGGCCTGAGGAGAAAGGCTGGGGTCTGGAGATGCTGGTCTTGCTGGGGTCAGGCCCAAAGCTGATCTCACCCATTTGATTCCTATGGGCCGGTACTTTGCAAAGCTGTTACATCTGTTCTCCTTAGGAAGGAAAATCCCCCTGCTATCAGTGGCTGGAATGGGTAGAGGACCTCTACCACAGCAAGGATATCCAGGGACTATCCATGTGGCCATAGGGAAGCAAGTGCTGTTTTGTCCCTTTCTAGCTTTGTGGCAGCCAGTCCCAACTCCTGTGTGCCTCGGTTGGCCTTTGGGTTGGACTCAACAGCATGCACCACAGAAGATATCCACTGGAGAGACTGAGGGACTGGGACCCAAGTCTGGCTTAGGCAGGGCTGGCCATGGAATGTTGAAGCTGGCCTGCCAGGAATTTTGAAGGCTGGGTCCTGGAACCATATAATGCCTAATTTCAGAAACGAGGAGTTTTCTAGGAAAGGGGCAGATAAGTAAAGGACAAACCCTGCAGCCCCCTTGGCATGCCTGCCTGTGCGCTCAGAGGCTCCGGTGTGGAATCCCATCAGTTAGTCTGGCGTGTTTCTTCAGCTCTGCGGGTGGGTCCCAACTGGCCCACTCTACTACTGCCCCTCTCTGGATTCCCAAGCTTGGCAAGCAGCGGGGGCCGCACAGCCAGTAGTGATGTGGGAGAATACAGGATGGAAAAGCAGACTTCCACGTATTTTCACTTAACTGCAATTGAGGAGGAATTCTGATACAGATGGTGATATATAAGACAAAGTTCACAGGGCCCAGAATGGGGCCCACCCCCTCTGGGCACAGAACAAAGCTGAGGAATTTGATATGGAAGCTCTGAGCCTCGCTTAGTCAGTGCCTCGCTGGGAACCTGGATGAGTCCTATCTGTATGAGGAGCCAAAACTTGGTGACCAAGGGGCCTGTCCTTTTATACTTCATGTGATTCCTTTCTGAAGGCCATCAGAACAAAGCAAGCCCTCCAAAGAAGGACCCCCAGATCTCTGGGAACGGGGTACCTCAAACTTGGAACAATTCGGGTGGCCAGGGGTAAGGATGCTCAGAGTCTGGTTCTGGTCCTCACCCATGGGAAAAGCAAGCCCAGGGACTTCAGTCTGTACGTTTTGTACCAACTCACTGGATCTGGACAGTGGGCAGGCTCTCAGGGATTAGGAAGCCAGGTGTGCAGGCTTACCAAGGACATGGGTCTCCCAATAGAAAGATGCCTCGTGCTGTCCTTGAACATGTCTTCGGTCCTGGGCATTGTGACCCCAAAGTGTTTTGTCCAAGTGAGGCCTTTAGTTGCAAATTCTCATCCTCCTTGTGCTGCCAGTTAGATGTGCCTCTGGGTCCCTCCCCAGGGCTCATTACAGGTCCTGGCCCAAAGCAGTTCATACAAATCTGCTCAGCTCAGAGACTGGGCTTCCCAGCTCTATAAAGTACAGTTAGCCCCTCCCTCCATGCTTGCCAAGAGACCCAGCAGGTGGCAGCAGAAAGAGCAGAGGATTTGAAGAATCACTTCCAAGCTGTGTGACCTTTTAGCAAGTCTCAAGCCTCCTGAGCCTTAGTTTTTTCATCTATAAAATGGAGGACTTTGGCAACCAATGTCAAAGTACTTTGCATACCAAAAACGCTCTGGACAGGTGTGTGTGTCTCTGCTAAATATTCAGGAAAGAGGATATACATTTTAGGGTCATTGCCAGGTAAGAAAGAACAGCAACTGTCCTATCTCATGAGGAAGAAATTAAATATGCATTTTTTTTCAAAACATGGCAAACCATTATGTTTCAGGCTTTCACTATTTGCAGGCAATCCAGCTCCCAGACTCAAACTTCTTGACCCCAGGCCAGTGAGGAGAGGGGGTCAGGTAGAAGTAGAAGAATTCAAAAGGGTTGGCTGGTAACGAGCCATCTGTACCCCTGATCCTGGCCATAGGTGTTGCACTTGGGGAGAGGCAGTGGCATGAGGAGGAGAGAGGGGTTTGCATCCTGGGGCCAGTGCTGTAGCTCACTGTCAGGCGGCTACATCCCTTGTCCTCTCTTGCTTGCCTGCCTTCAATGAGACGGCCCTTCCAGCTCTGACTTTTTGTCTAGCTTGACCACCGTGCCATCTAGAATCTTTGGAGGTATCTACCTATGGTACCTCCCACTAGATCTCTGTGACCTTACCAGTAACTGTGCCCATCCTACCAGAGGCACATGACTGTCCCCGCTCTCCTGGGCTCAGTCCTTTTGCAGTGACTCCCCAAGCTTGGCTAGGCTTGTGGATCTCCATCACAGCAAGAGGCTGAGGCCGGCTGAACTGGGGCTCATACTGAAAAAGGGGTGCTGGACCTGGGCTCTTCCAGACCACAGCCTTTCAGTGCCTTATTTTCACCTTGGGGCCCCCCTTTGCTCTTGAATTACATAGTAGGTGCTAAGATAGGGCACAGAGCACAGATGCTTCAGTACGTGAGCCTGTGTGGGGATCAGATGGAGGGGAACGAGACAGCAGACAGCCTGGGATTCGAGTGGCTCTGTCACTTATTAGCAAGTCACTTGACTTTTCCAAGCCTTGATTTCCTTATGGATCAAATAGGAGAAATAACCTCTATTTCATCGGGTTAAACCAGATAATTTATGTTCAACTGTTCTGTGAACTGTGAGGTCCAGCTGTTAGTTTTACTTACTGGTGTTGAAAGAACAAAAGTTACAAGGTCATTCCTAGGTCTCCTCTTCTTCCTTTCTCCTCTCTGTGGTTCCACCCCAGCCCACATGGAGGCAGCAGGGTTCTGGGAAGCCTAGCGGATACCAGCATGCTGCTCACTGTGGGCCTGTTCCCTTCCATAACCTGTTTCCTCATTTGTCAATTGACTGTAATAACTCTAACCCTGTCCCTCTCAGGGCGAGTACATGAAAGGCCGTGAAGTGCTTTGACCTCTGTGATGCACCTGACAAATCCAAAGGTTTCTATTATTATTATCATTATTATTATTTTGGCATTTTTCAAACACGTATGACATAATCTAGAACAACCTTCACCCACCTTTACAAAACCAAAGAGGGTGGAAGGAGGTATTTGCAAAAAGTGAATTAACACTGGAAAACTTTCTATTGTTTTAAAGTGAAACCTCATCAGCACCCAGAACAGATAATTTAGAACAGCTGAATTTTTTCTTACTGGTCCTAAAGTTCCTTGGAAGCCCAGGAAGGTGGGCCCCCAAACTCCTGGCTCTAGGCCAAGGAGGCTGATGGGCTTTACCCTCCTGGGAATGGCTAGACAGCTTCTGAGCTCCTTCCAACCCAAGGGTTTCCTGATTTTTCCCTCCCTTAGGGAGACATGGGAGGTTGGGGTAAGGATATGTCCAAGTTTGCATGAATTTTAAATGAAAGCAGTTTTTTAAAGTCCCAAATGTTGTCAATGATCCCATTTTTTACAATAAAATGTTCGTGCCCCACCCCCAGAGGGGCTGCTGGCCCAGCCAAGCGCTGGGTGCCGGAGGCTGCTGCTGGGCAATCCAGGCTCCTGGCTGAGACTAGCAGGGACCTCCTCGTCCCAGGGGTCCCTCTTCTCCCAGATGAGCCTGTCTCCTGGGCCTCATCCTCATTCTCCTCTCCTGATGACTCCCACTGTCTTCCTCCTCTTCCTCTCCTCTCGGGATGAGGGGCTACTGTCCTAAAAGCATGGCCTCTCCTTTTCGGCCAGTCCACCTGCTCCTTCTCCTGGAGGTGGAGTCAGGTACAGGACGGAAGTTCCAGATGTCTTCACAGAATTTCCAAATGCTATTTCTTCATTTGCAATTTCTGTTCCTGCCATCCGCCCCCATGTAGCCTCTGCCCAGTCTTCAACCCCCGCCTTTGGAGTCCGTGGAGGAAAAGAGCAGAAACAGGAGCCCAGAGACCATTCCAGACTCACCAGGTATGGGCGCTGCCGACTTAATTTTTACAAAACCAAGCCAATCCGTCCCTAGGTAAATTTTTGTAAGCAAGGTGCCCACTAGGTAGGAAGGCTGCATTTAATGCTAATTTACTGTAAGGTCTAGGGAAGTCCTTTCCGCTTCTCTGGGCCTCAGTTTCCTCATCTGCCAAATAGGGAAATGGATGAGATGATTGCTAAGGTCCCTTCAGTTCCATGAGTCTATGAAATGTTTATTGCTATTGCTTTTCCTTCACTATCCTCACCTTCAGAGCTGCCAGCACCCACCTGGAATGTGGTTCCTTCACTTGGGCCATGAATGGCACAGGTAACCAAGAGCTTGGCCTGCCTGCAAGCTCTATGGTCAGACAGGTGAGTCCTGGCACTGGGAAGGGCAAAAGAAAAGGGAGAGAAATGCCCTAGGTTCCCACTCCAATCAGGAGGAAGCTCCTCATCAGAGTGGGTCCATGACAGCTCAGAGGCTGAAGTCTGGATGACACAGGGCATCCGGCCTTCCAAGGCCTCGGGATGCTGGGATCCTACCACCCTGCAGCCGCTTGGCAGGTCTAAGGACAAAATCACCTTTTGAGGAAGTGCCAGGTCAGTTAACATCACTGTGCAAATCAGAAGGTCCAGGGCCAGATGCTTTGGCCAGAGACCTTTCAAACCAAAGCCATGAGGCAAGCACCGCTCCTCCCTTCTTCCCTCTCCTTCCCCACAATGCCCTCCCTCCCCCCACCCTCCCCCAAATTCTAAAGACTTTTTTCCCCAGGTTCTCAGCCTGGGGTATTAAGCTGCTAATAACACGCCTACATACTCAGGTGGTTTTGTTCTTGGTCTGTTGCAATGGTTCTCAGGAGACATTTCATTTGTGTCTGGGACATGGGAATGTCCTGAACTAATCTTGCTTAAGAAAAAACAACCAGAACACTCCCCTAGAGATGTAGCCTGCTCAACAGCTCTGAGTTCCTACCCTGGACCACATCTGTTTATGCTCTTCAAATGGAATCCAGCCTTCAGATGAACCACTGCAATAAACCCTACTCTCTGCTTGCCTCTAGACTGGGATCCCCAGGGACAGGACACTTAGGGAAGAGCAGAGAGGACATGGCCTGGTCAGGTAGGAGGAAGGGGATAGAGCTGGAAGGGCAGGGGCTAAGAGGGGGACAGTTGGGGAGAGGCAGGAGATTAGAAAAAGCAGCTTTTACAAAAACCAAAAATAAAAATCAAAACCATTAAAGATGCATAAAGTGACCCTTGCACTTCCGTTGTCTCTTCTTGCAAATAGAGGTGGTGCTGCTAGGGAACTGCTCCAGCACCGGTGTAAGACTTGAGTAGTTGCATACAATGTGTGACTCCAGATCTGCAGAGGGAAAGGGGAAAGAAACAGTGTCAGTGATATTCAGGAGGCTTCTCCCCTCAACTCGGGAGCCCGCTGTGCCTTCCTAGTGAAGCTGCCTGCCTCCCGCCTGTGGAAGTTGTTGTGCTCTGGTGCCAAGAGCCCTGGAGGAGATGGGGGAGGCCAGATGATGTGGGGGGCCAGAGGATTTCAAAGTGACATCCCTGGAGCCCTATGGTTCACTGTCACTGCCTCAGGAGCTGCTGAGGGGACCAAGGAAGCCAGAGGTCTGGGTCAGCCCAAAGCCTCCAAATAGCTCCAACCAAAGCTCTTAACATATGATCTGGGCAAGAGTTCATTTGAAGAATGGGGCCCATAGTTAAAAGAAGTCCGAAGACCATAAGGTAAATGGCACAGAATTTAGTACTAGAGAACTGAAGTTTAAGCCCTAGCTTAATTTTTACTGGCTAAGTGATATTTAACTACATATTTATCTGTAAAATAGAGCTAATGATCCTTATTTCACAGAGCAACTATAAGGATTATGAGATAACATAAGCAAAGGGATAGCTATTATTATTTCTGTTATTATTTAGATTTCAACAAGCAGTCAACAGAAGTGATAGCTATTATTAAGAGTGATATTATGGACCTTGGAGCAGGAAAGCAACTGGTAACTTGACAGCTGTTACCTGCCCTAGCTGACACCTGTGCTCCAGACCCAAACCAGGGACTTTGAGGCAGTTCCTGTATGTATCCCCCTCCCACTTCTCTCACCCTGGCCACACTCACTTGGATGGGCTGCAGGCTTTACCAGTGTGGGGGCACGTAGCTGTACGCAGGGGTTCCTTGGGCCCTATATGTTGGCATGGAGACAGGGTGTGCCCCAATCGCCGTGTGCTGGGGTGTAGTCAGCAGGGTACCTGAGCATCCAGAGAGAGAAGAGTAACCTGACGAGGCTGCACCAGACACAGGAATGAAGAGGATGAAGCTACAGTCTTTCACATGGCTGCTCCCTCTGCCCAAATCCCCCATCTCCCTCGCCTTCCTGATGACCTGTTTTCTGCCCTTCTCCACCTCACCAGGCTTCACCTCCTTAGGGGAATTTTTTCTGATGCTTGAGGACAGAATCAATGACTATTCTAAGTCCTCCTTTTCCTTTTTTCTTTGAGACGGAGTCTCGCTCTGTCGCCCAGGCTGGAGTGCAATGGCGCGATCTCAGCTCACTGCAGCCTCTGCCTCCTGAGTTCAAGCGATTCTCCCGCGTCAGCCTCCTGGGCAGCTGGGATTACAGGTGCCCATCACCACACTCGGCTGATTTTTTATTTTTACTAGAGATGGGGTTTCACCATGTTGGCCAGGCTGGTCTCGAACTCCTGACCTCAAGTGATCCGCCCACCTCGGCCTCCCAAAATGCTGGGATTACAGGCATGAGGCACCACGCCCGGCCTTCCTTTTACTTTTCTTTGTATGCTTCTCTTATTGCACAATCATACTGAGTAGTAATTGTGATGTCTGTGGCTGTGTTTCCCACACTAACCTGGGTGTTCCTTAAGGACAGTGTTCTGATCTGATCTATTGATATTGGGTTCCCAGGACCTGAACAAGGCTGGCACTGAGTAGATATCCAACAGTTTGCCAACTTGATCTGAGGAGTAAGAGGCCTCAACCATACCCTTACGTTAGGGACAGAATAAAATCCAAATGCTCACTCTACCCCTTGTACTTTCTTACCTCAGATGGTATCCTAGCTGGTTCTTTAAAAGTTGGGTCTCTAGGCTAGGCATAATGGCTTATATCTGTTACCCCAGTATTTGGGAGTCTGAGGTGGGTGGATCCCTTGAGCCCAAGAGTTCAAGACCAGCCTGTGCAACATGGTGAAACCCTGCCTCCACAAAAAAACACAAAAATTAGCTGGGTGTAGTGGCGCATGCCTGTGGTCCCAGCTACTTGGGAGGCTGAGGTGGGAAGATCACTTGAGCCCAAGCAGATCAAGACTGCAGTAGGCCAAGATCGTGCCACTGCACTCCAGCCTGGGTGACAAAGCAAGACCCTGTCTCAAAAAAAAAAAAAAAAAACCTAACAGTCCTTGGGGACTTCTGCTTTTGTCATCCCTCATAATTATTATAATTATTGCACAGGTCCTTAAGCTCCTGCCTAATAAAGAACATTGCCCCTGTGTCTTCTTTTTTGGCGCCCCTGCTGTTACTGGAGTGCTAGCATCATCTCTCTCCCCTAAAGTACACTGACAGCCTCCTCACTGACCTACTTGCTTCCAGATCACCCCTTCTAATCCTGTCTCCACTCTGCAGCCAGAGAATGTTTAAACCTAACCACATCCCTGCCCTGCTTGACCCCCATTGTGTGCAACAGAGGTACCACAAGGTATTCAGGACTTTCCACCATCTTATCCTTGCTAGCGATCCAGCCACCTTCCAACTCCAAGCCCCTATTTCCGAAGGGCCTTGGCTCCATTCCTCCATTCTGTGAACATGCCATGTTCATGTTCTTTCTGCACCACCCTTCCCTCTTTCACTTCTCTAGTTAGCCTGTGTTCACCCTTTAAGGCCTAGCTCGATACGTCCTTCTTGGTGAAATCTTCCTCATCCCCATAGACAGATTTAGAGGCTCCTTCCTCTGGGTTCCCAAGCCCCCTGGCACAGGATCTCTTGTGCTGTGCTGCAGCCAATTCTATGACTGTGTTCTCTGCTCCGTTTTGAGTTCCTAGAGGAAAGGGATGGACACTGATGCAGATGCTGCCCTCACCTGCTGACATTGCCATGGTGGTGCCTGCCACCATGCCCATGGCCACACCGTTGGTCCTCGGGGCGGCAACAGGTGCTGGGTAGATAGCAGAGGGAATGCTGTTGGGCTGGACGACCGTGGTATGGTGGATGACATGAGGCTGGGCAGCATACACCGGCTGTGTGTAGTAGGCTCCCTGGGGGAAAGAGGCTGAGGTCACATAGGCATTTGGAGAGGTAGGTGGGATATGGAGAGAGCAGCACTGGCTGAAGGACACAAGGTCCGGACCCCAGCTGGGGCTCTGCTTGTCTTACTATGTGACTGTGGTCAGTGCAGTGCTGGGCTCAGCTTCTGGTCTGAAAAATAAGGCTCTAATCCTGTCCTGCCTTGCTCATAAGGCTGCTATGATGATCTAATGGGATAAGAGCTCTACTCCCTTAACCTTGGTTTTAGCATTTTAAAATGTTTTATCTTACTGCAATGAACTTTTATAAGCTGCCTAAAATTTAAAGTTAGGAATAACAATCAATCAGTTACCAAGCATGTGAACAGGGCTGGTAAACTCCAGAACACATACACAAAAGGATAATTAGTAGTAGTATCATAATGGTGTAAGTGCATGTTGTAAAAAAAAAAAGTACATGTTGAAAAAAAATGGCGGCTGGACACAGTGGCTCACGTCTGTAGTTCCAGCACTTTGGAGGCCAAGGCAGGCAGATCACTTGAGGTCAGGAGTTCGAGACCAGCCCGACCAGCATGGTGAAACCCCATCTCTACTAAAAATACAAAACAATGAGCCAGGCATGGTGGCACATGCCTGTGGTCCCAGCTACCTGGGAGGCTGAGGCAGGAGAATGGCTTGAACCCGGGAGGCGGAGGTTGCAGTGAGCTGAGATCACGCCACTGCACTCCAGCCTGGGTGACAGAGCAAGACTCCGTCTCAAGAAAAAAGAAAAAAAAAAAAAGGCATACATGGATAGCATTTTCCAGGATGTCTCTTAACTAGCTATTTCCCTTTAGGTAAAAAGGTAAGGATGAAGAAGACAGTGGTCCAAGGTGACTCCCAATGCCTGAATCACATGGCTGCTTCCTGCTGCCACAATCCACTGGCCCACTGACTTGTAGGGGAAGTAAACAGGAGCCCCTGAGATCATCTTAATTCAGAAATCTTCAAATGTTTCTACTAAATGAGATTAAAAAAAATAAAACAAGAGGCTTGAGATCAATTTAAGTTTTGTCTTCTACTCTAAAATATAGCTGTTTTTTAAACTAAAAAAGTATTCTCCTCACCACTTATGTTTCCTATAGAGTCACTCCAGAAGAATGTGTCATGGGTGTGCTAGAGCCCCATATGGTCCCCTCTCTCATACCAATCCTGGAATGCATACATCTTCTAGCTGAAGGAGCCCAGAAAGGCCCATCAGGCACAGAAAGAGAGGGTAACTTGTCCAAGGTCACAGAGGATACTGGTGGCAGGGCCTGTGTACTTTCCTCCTCCCCACTCAGCTCACAGACTGAGGAAGGGTAGATGTGGGGGTTAGGGAGAAAAGACTAAGACGTTGGGGTCTCACCTTGACCAACCAATAGCTCGTGGTGTAACCTTGGACAAGTCATTCCCCTCTTTGGGTCTCAGTTTCCTCACTTGTTTAACAAAGGAGTTGAGCTAGAAAATCTCTGAGGGCCTTTGTCCTCTGACATTCTGGGCTCTGTTAATCTAAATGACTTCATGCCTACCCCCTCTAGGGGCTGAGGTGGAGTGAGGGAGTAAGCAGACTGCAGGGATATTGCTTCAGTGATACAACAAGGACGGCTAGCCAGAGCCACAAACCATCCTCTCCTTCCCTCACTTCCTCACCCTACCCCACCACACTGCACCCAGGCTGAAGGCTCCTCTACCTGCAGAAGAGGTGGCTTTGACATGTACCTACCTGGGCATACAGATTCTGCTGGGGGTAGGCACTTCTGATTGGATACATGGCCGTCTGATAGGGGTTGGGTGATGGGGAGTAGGGGGGTGGAGCAGTGTTACTCTGGGTCGGTGGGACCTTGTATGGTGTCCCCGCAGTATATCCTGTACCAAGGCAATAAGAGAGACTTCCAGTTAGTTGGCAGAAAAGCATTGCTAGAAGGCAGCAGGTCCCAGTCACGACTCCCCAGACAAAGATGGGCTGAATCCAGGCTGGAAACAGAGATGAGAACAAACAGAGAACAGGGCTCCACCCAGAAAGCCCTGGCCCCAGAGGCAGCTCCCTCAGTCCTGGTGCACAGGGCTGCATGGATGATTCTGGGCATCTTTTCTTTCTCTGGGTCTCAGGGCTCTCATCTATAAAATAAGAGGCTAGAACCACATGGTCCCTTTTAGCTCTGACAGCCTGGGATTTGGAGCTGTCTGTGTGAAATGGGCAGGTGCACAGAGATGGAAACCCTCAACTCACTTGCTCTTTATTGCTACTCTACTTGCTTTTCTGTCTTCTCACACAGAATCCAGGGTATCTTTTTGCTGCTGTTTCTGTCTTTCTCTCTTTTGCTCTATTTCTTTTTCTCCTTATCTCTCTCTCTCTCACTCTCTTCTTGGACTTCCCTCCATCATGTTCCCTCCCCTCCCCACCAAGTTTGAAGGTGAAAACCCCATACAAAACACCATTCGGAGACCCTCATCTTCTGGGATGCTGACCATACAAAACACCATTCGGAGACCCTCATCTTCTGGGATGCTGACCATACAAAACACCATTCAGAGATCGTCATCTTCTAGGATGCTGAAAAACTTTGCTCTGCAGAGTTGGCTCCTCCTTCTCTCCTGGGCTCTAGGGGAAGGCCACCTCTGCCTGAAAATACCTGAAGTCAGGGATCACAAAGATTCACATCAACCTGGAACCTGGGCCATGTCTGTCCCTCAGCAGGATGGACAAAAGCTGGAGCTAAGAATGGGGCTGAGAAGTCAGGCCCCAAGAAGCTCACAATTGCCCATGTAAATAAACTGTGCTGCCTTTTAATCCTCCGGAAAAGAGTGACAGATCCTTTGTTCACAGAAAAAAACTTGAAACATGAGTCATTCAGGAACAACACTGTCTCCTTTTAGAATCACAAAATGGAATCGTTCTACGGAACCCAAGTGATCATCAAGGGACTCCAATCCTTGGACTTTACACAAGGGGATCCTGGGCTCAGAAAAGGCAAGTCTTTTTAATAACTTCTCCTAAAGACTCTAAACTCTTCTAAGTTGAAGGGACAGTGCCTGAGGACCTAGGCTTTGAAGCCCTGCTGGGGAGGTGCTGAGGTGGCTTCTTTCCTGTGGTTCCATCTTGGGTAAGTCTAGCAGACCTCACTGAACCTCTCTGGGCTTCAGCTCTTTCACCTATAAGATGCTCACCAAGGACCCTTTCAGCTCCGAGGTGCTGTTTCTATCATATAATAAGGGACTAGGGGCAGAGTGGAGGGAGTGCTTTATTGGAAGAGAAGACATCTAGTCTTCAGTCCTGGCTTTCCCCCTAATTTTTCATGACAATTGTCAAGTCTTTGGGCCTTAGTTTCTTATTTTGTAAAATCAGGTGGCTAAGAATGAAGATCTCTTCCTAAACAAAAATTCCATGGTTCTAAAGATCCTGGGTCTCTTCTACCTTAACCCCAAGTAAAAGCAAACTACCACATGGTCACAAATCTTTCTCAGTCCACATCACACCTCTTTGGCTTAGCACCCCCCTGCCCCTGATGACTCAGGAGGATAGGAGAGCTGCTGCACAGCTGCCACAAAAGTCAGCCTGTTCCTGGATTCACGTCATTTATTTTTTCACCTGCAGATCCATAGTTTTTTCCATAGTTTTGTGATCAAATATGCTTGGGAAATAAGTAACAATGAGGATAGAATGGAAAGTACATATGAAAGAGAGGGAAGCATGTTAAAGAGAAGTAGAAACTAACTGGAAGTGCAACTATGAGCTGAGTGAGAAGTCTAGAGCAGATTTCTCAAAGTTTCTAGATTATGGAGCTAATGATGAAATGTGGTCATAGGAGGAGAAGCAGATACTGTGGGGGAAGACAGGGAGACTAGCTTTGCAGATGTCTAGAAGGAACCATCTGATGTGTACGGAGACACAATTTACTTATCTATAAAATAAAGGGGTTTTATAGATAAACCAGAGATAGACATTTCCCAAATGTGGACAACGTACTATAGATCCCAAGGGATCTTAATAGTTGTTTTTGCCAAAGAAAAGGAAACAAAAGAGTTCTATAGTCCCATATGTAAAATAGAGATAAACAGTTAAGATTTTGTTTTTATTCCATGACCCTGAGAAGTTTTTAAAACAATAGGATGGGCTGGATGTGATGGCTCTCACCTATAATCCCAGCACTTTGGGAGGCCAAGGCAGGAGAAGCACTTGAGACCAGGAGTTTAACACCAGCCTGGGTAACACAGACAGACTACATCTCTAAAAAAAGAAAAAAACTTAGCCAGGCATGGTGGCTGGTGTAGTCCCCAGCTACTTGGGAGGCTGAGGCATGAGGATGGCTTGAGCCCAGGAGTCTAAGGCTGTTGTGAGCCATGATCACAACACTGTACTTCAGCCTGGGTGACAGAGCAGGACCCTGTCTCTTAAAGAAGGTGGGGAGGTGAACTGTGAATCTCTAAGATGGGAGTATGTACAAGACTGTATTTTCCAAATTAATTTTACCACAGAATCTTTTATTCATACTATAAACATTTAAAACAATTAAATTTCAGCCATGTTTTTTGTAATTGAAGCTAGTTTTGGTAAACAAAGTTATATTGTAACACATCCACATCCATTCATTTACATATTGACTAAGGCTACTTTCCTGCTACAATGGTAGTCACTGACAGAGAGCATATGGCCTTTTTAAAAGCCTAAATATTTGGCCCTTTACAGGAATGTTTGCTGACCCCTAATTTAAAGGAATATATCAAGGTGTAGAGAAACCTAGCAGAGCTGAAAGCATCCCTTTTCTATGCAGGAGAGTAGGACACCCCTGAATCAGAAGGTGCCTGTTTCTGAAAGCTCTGTAGCACAGAGCCATGGTTATGAGCAGTCTGGAGACAGACTGACTGCCTGGGTCCAAACCCCCAGCTCTGAGACTTAATAGCTATAGGATACATCAGTCTCGCGTGTGATATGGGAACAGTAATGGTACCTACTTCATTGTGATAAATACATTAACTGTTAAGTAAAAAGCACTTAGAACAGTACCTGACATATTAGAAGCACTTTATAAAGATCAGCTATTATTATTTTCTCTCTCACTTTATAGGGACAGTAAGCTTCTGTCCTAAGGGTATGCAGGCAGAGCCTGGTCTGAGAGACTAAAGCTAATCTATGACTACTATGGTCTGTCCCAGCTTGGAACACAGACTCCAGGATTCTAAGATTCTAAAATGTTATGGCTTAAAATGCCATGATTTTATGATTCTTTAAAGTTAACAGGCCAAAGATGCTGATGACTTTCCTTTATGCTCCTGGAGAATGTGCTCTGGAATTTTTCTCTTCCCTGGGGAAGCTGGATTACCCACTGTATGCCACAAGGACAGCCATATTACAAAGTGGTGAGACTATCCCTCTGAGGAAAATCAAAAAGCTCCAAGAGACTGCAGTAGAATTTGGTTCCCACATCTAAGAATAACCTTGTCTGAGAATGTTTCCCTTTCTTCATGTTATGAAATGAGACACACACATACTCAGAATACAAATCAGTAGCCAAAACACCCTTGGCAGCCAAAGAGATGATGCTGCAGAAGAAGGCCTTGCTTGTTTGTCCAGACAGTCTGAGATAGAAGCAGAACTGCAGAGCTAGAAGACTCAGAGATCATTAAGACCAACGTAAACATTTCACAGATGAGATAATGAGTAGTTGCTGAAAGAGAGAGCTGTTTGTGGGGATCTAAGACTCAGTGCTACTTCCTCTAACCACAGTGGTTCTCAAGGTTACCATTTGTCAGGAGGATCTTCATGAGGCTGGAGAAACTGCCTGGGGGCCCTCATCCTAGGTTCTGTCAGTAAGTCAGGTCAATTCCTCTCAGGGAATATCCTCATTTGGACTAGACAGTATCAGAGAACTTCTCTAGTGCTGACATTCTAGGTCTCTGAGTATTTCAGAAGACTTTCATGAGGAAATCATTTCAGAGGACTTTCCATAATTTACTAGTGGTCCTGTCAATACTCTTGAGGAACACTGAAAATTCCCCTGGAGCTATAGCCTGAGCTTGGGTGACACAAAAATCAGGGTTTATTACTTTATGCATCTAAGTAAAAGAAGCTGTTGGGCTTGTTGCAAAAAAGTCTCACAGATTTTGCCCAAATGAACTTAGACTCAGTTCACTCACTGGAGGCCTGGCTATCCTGAAAGGAATTCTAAGTCTGAAGGTCACAGAATTAAGACTTTGGAATGTTGTGCCTGAAGGACATTAGAGGTTTATATTCAACCTCCTCCTTTTCCGAGAAAGAACCTGGAGCCCAGAAGGACAGATTTTCCCCAAATTGTACAGCACATCAGTACACAGCTAGGCCCAAAGTTCAGGGCTCACCCTGCCCTAGGCAGAGCTCTTGCTGAGTTAAAGTCTCTGTAGTCCAATCTTGGGCATTTAATATACTGGCCTTTGTTGTCCCCATTTCACTAAAGGCAATATCATGAAAGAAAAAATGAATTAGATCACTCGAAGTCCCAGCTCTGCCTTATAAAAGAGGCTTTGTTTATGATGTCCTATTCTTTCTCTTAGGTTCCTAACCATAATTTTAGAATCAAATGGGATAATAAAAAGAGTATGTACATTAACAAGATAAAACCTTTTCAGCGCTTTCTGCAATCCTTTTTCACTGTCATAAATCTTTTTCAGTTGTAGAAGCCCTACCACCTTCAAAGGCTTGATCCTTGCATCACGGATGCCTTTTAGACTAATTGGTTTATTGATCATCAGATTTATATGTCTGGACAAAATAAAGCTCTATGTCTGAATCTTGCTTTGACCCCTAAGACTCCTTGTTGGTAGCCAAGTGAGACAGTGATGAATCAGCAGGAGACCTAATTACAAACAGGCTTAGCAAGTATCAGTGAAATTGAACTGAATTTGTCAAAGTGCCCTGAATTTTCTGTGGTACTAGAAGCCACAAAATCTGAATGCTGGGAGGAATCTTTTTGAGTATGGGAGGGCCAGTCAACCCCAACTGCATTAAAAAATGGCACAGGTTTATACATTACTTGCTTGAAACAGAGGTAGGCCAGGCATGGTAGCTGGTGGGCAGACAGCTTGAGCCCAGGAGTTCGAGACCAGCCTAGGCAATGTGGGAAAACCCCATCTCTACAAAAAATTAAAAAAATTAGCTGGGCATGGTTTTGCATGCCTGTGGTCCCAGCTACATGGGAGGCTGCGGAGGGAGGATTGCTTGAGCCTAGGAGCTTGAGACTGCAGTGTGACGTGATTGTGCCACTGGACTCCAGCCTGAGTGACAGAGCAAGACCTTGTCTCAAAAAAAAGGTGGGGGTGGGTACATTTTGGTCTTTTTCAGGGACTGTGATAGCCTGTCTGGGAGGGAACAGTGGGATGTGGCTGCTGGACACTTAATGGGATTTCAGGAAGATTTCAACATAGTAGAAGGCAAGGCCTTCTGTTACTCAGACTTCCTGTGGAAAGGGTTGCCTCTGAAGGGAATGAGTACTCCATTTTTGGAGATGGTTTGTTGGCCAGCTAAGGGCAGCTAGAGAGGTGGTCCCTGTTGGGGTGGAAGACGCTGAGTACACATCATCTTGCTGAGAGATAAGGAGTCTAATTGCAAGAAAGAACCTTGGAGATGATTTAGTTCAGTTCCCTCATTTTGCAGTTTGAAAAATCAAGGTCCAATGCATGGACATCAATTATCCAAGGTTACACAGAACCCAGTCTAGAATTCAATGCAGCTTCCACTCCAGGCTGCTTTCTGCTACACTACAGTAGGTGTGCCTATATGCGTCTATATCCAGATGTTTAGATGTAAGAGAGAACATGTATATCCCTATTTTTATATATATATAATCTTACGTATGTTCATTCATTCTACCTGAGGTATCTGGAGAAACTCCTTATGGCTGACATACCTCTCTCTCTTTTTTTTTTTTTTTTTTGAGACGGAGTCTCACTCTGTTGCCCAGGCTGTAGTGCAATGGCGCAATCTCGGCTCACTGCCAGCTCCGTCTTCTGGGTTCACACCATTCTCCTGCCTCAGCCTCCCGAGTAGCTGGGACTACAGGCACCCGCCACCATGCCTGGCTAATTTTTTGTATTTTTAGTAGAGATGGGGTTTCACCATGTTGGCCAGGATGGTCTCGATCTTCTGACCTTGTGATCCGCCCACCTCGGCCTCCCAAAGTGCTGGGATTACAGGTGTGAGCCACCGCGCCTGGCCTGACATACCTCTCTTAAAGAGTAAAATCAATCTCATGAGAAAAGTCAGTAACTGAATCTTAACCTGGGTGATACCTTTTTCCGGCTGTGCTGCTTACTAGCTGGGTGGCGTTGGACCTATTACCTTTCTAGGCCTCATCGTTCAAACTGGGATGAAAATCCACCTAAATAACTTAGTAGACTGAGTGTAATGTAGATTAAATGAAAGGGTGATTATGAGACTATATTTTACAAAAGGTGAGTTACGTTGTATAAACATAAACTGATGTTGACATCTAGGGGCAATGAAAACTTGAGAAAATGACATTGGATGTTGATATGGTTTAGATGTTTGTTTCCTCCAAATGTCATGCTGAAATGTAACCTCCAGTGTTGGAAATGGGGCCTGCTGGGAGGTACTGGATCACAGAGGTAGATCCCTCATGATGGCTTAGCACCATCCCCTTGCTGATGAGTGAGCTCTGATTATTTAGAGTGTGGCACCTTCCCAGCCCCTTGCTCCCTCTCTCACCATGTGATATGCTGGCTTCCTCTTTTGCCTTCCGCCATGACTGTAAGCTTCCTGAGGCCCTCACCAGAAGCTAAGCAGGGGTTGGTACCATGCTTGTGCAGCCTGCAGAACCGTAAGCCAATTAAACCTCTTTTCTTTATGAATTACCCAGCCTCAGGTATTTCTTTATAACAACACAAGAACAGACTAACACAGATGTTTTAAAGAAAAGAAAAAAATACAATGAATTCTTCTAGTCTACTTACTTAGTAGATTAATAATTTGTGGAACCACACACTATCAGGCCTTGCCTGGAATATCCCTTTGAGGGCTTATCCAGCCCTCACAACTTAAGAGAGAAGTTCTCACCACATCCAAAGTCAGTCATTCCTCTATTGAACAGCTCCAACAAGACACAAAGTTCTTCCTTATATGGAGTCAAAATGCCACTCAGTAATTTCATTTTTTTTTTTTTTTTTGAGACGGAGTCTTGTTCTGTCGCCCAGGCTGGAGTGCAGTGGCGTGATCTTGGCTCACTGCAAGCTCCGCCTCCCGGGTTCATGCCATTCTCCTGCCTCAGCCTCCTGAGTAGCTGGGACTACAGGCGCCCACCACCATGCCCGGCTAATTTTTTTTGTATTTTTAGTGGAGACAGGGTTTCACCGTGTTAGCCAGGATGGTCTCAATCTCCTGACCTCGTGATCCGCCCACCTTGGCCTCCCAAAGTGCTGGGATTACAGGCATGAGCCACCGCGCCCGGCTGCCACTCAGTAATTTCTAAACATTGGTCCTCATTTCCCCAGTGGAACCACTTTGTGTTAAAAATTAGATGTGACGGTGACAACATCAGTTACCCTACTGAGCCTCAGGATGAATATGACCAGTCTGACTGGCTAGCTGGTTTCTGGCCTCCCTGAAGACTCCTCATACACACCTTGGTCCCACAGTGCAGCTTGCACTAGGGCAGTGTTTCTCATACAGAGGGCAATTTTGCCCCATAAGGGACACTTAGCAATGTTTAGAAACATTTTTGGTTGTCACAATGAGGCTTTCCTACTGGCATGTAGGGTAGAGGCCAGGGATGCTGTTAAACATCCTATAATGCACAGGACAGCGCCCCCACAACAAAGAATTATTTGGCCTAGATGTCAATAGTGCTGAGATTAAGAAGCCCTGTGCTAGAGGGGGGAGCCCTCTCTGTCCAAAGACCCACAGACCTTCAAAATGTGCCCTCTGTCCTTTCCCCCTAAAATGCAGTAACAGTCCTTCCCCAATCAACTTGTTGGCCAGGTGAGTATTTCCTTCTCCTTCCCTCAGTGCTTTGTGTTTCCCCAAAGCTGAGTGCATGATCAAAGAGAATGACCTTTCCTGAATAAGGAGGGGTAATTTTTTGCCTGGGTAAAAGAACCTCTTAAAACATTATTTATCTCATAAATGTCATTTTAAAAAGCTCCCTTTCCTTTCTTCCTAAGAAACAAATCAGTCCCAACCAAGGGGAACAAGGAAATGAGACAGGCTGTATTTACTGAAAGCCGCAGAGGATGCTTGGTAAGTTCGGTTCTCGGTCCCGGTGTCCACTGGGAGGTGGAAGGTGCCTTCAGTGCCACAGGAAGACGAGTTCTGTGGCCAGGCCTGTTTCATCAGCAGAGTTGCTTAAGGGAAGACACAAGAATGGCATTAGACAGAAATAAGAAGTGGCCACCACCAATCACAGACACAAAGCAAGGGTCTTGTGCTGGACAGAAACATACAACCCAAGGGGCCTGTTCAGACACATGGGATGGTCAGCCTTTCTGAGATGGTTGAGTGGGTTAGGAGGAGTGCTGAAGTATGTTTCCAAATGATTTGAAATCAAGGAAATCTGAACTTACACTAAAAGAGTCAGGACTTTCTACCTACTACTAAAACCACAAAGATGCCCATGAATAACCATCTCCTACTACCTGACACTGTGGCCTAGGGCTCTGGTATATTCCTCAGCCACTTTCTCATTAATGTGTAACAACTTGGGAGCCTTTGTGTGTCACCAGATCAACTGAGCACTCTTTGTTGTCTGAAATATCATCTGGAGGTATATTTATAAGCTGCTTTCAAAGACAGGCCCACAAATAATGACCACATTACATGAACCTTGCTGGACTACCATCTCTTCTGAAGGGACTGAGCTGTGGCCATGGTAGCTTAAAAGGCACTGGGCACTGTGCCACACCGAACCTAGTTAGCCAGTGGGGCACTCCTTGCTAATAACTCCTTCTCCTGTACACCCAGCTGAGGCCAGACAGACATACTTCTTGCATACCCCTGAATATCTCCTACTGAGGTGTTACTGGGTGCCCCACCTGGGATATTTCCTCATGAATTAGAGGTGGTCCTTTGGGCCATTAAGAAAGCACATATGAAATTTGGGGTAGGTAGGAAATATAGATGAGGCCCAGTTTAAGATCTGCAAAGACTTCCCAGGCTGACTCAAAGCTCAGCTCGAGACATCTGAAGGATGATACTTCATATGTTTTAGAAATGGGGAGTGACTCAAAAAACTTACCTTCATGGTGTCCTGAGGGAAGGAGAAGAGAAACAGAGTTCTGAAGTGGGACTTGCCTAACTTTTTAGACATTTTCCTTATTATAATTTCAAACACTAGAGAGGAAACATTCTTGACTCAAATTACTGTTTATGGTAAAACGAAGAATTTTAGCAACATATTTTCCACTCAAATAAAGTCTTGGGGGGGGGGTCATGGATATGGGGTGCTATATAGTATATTAGCAGAAGGTGGGGCTGCATTGGCAATACTTAAAACATTTAAATAAGAGGCTAAGACAGGGTGTTATGAGAATAAAGTATGCCTATACACTCTCTAATTCCACCAGGACAAGGACATTCTACCTCTAGAGAGATCCCGTAACCCCCTCTGCCCATTCAGGTAACAGGTAATGCCTCTGGTTCCTTCGATCCCAGAAGTACTGGGGCCAGAGAAGGTCAGGGACTGTGCTGTTTTTGTTGAACCAAGGCTAGAATTATGGCTATTGTAGGCTGACTCTGCATTTGCATTAATGGCCAGCAATATATACAGCAGATGCTGAGAAATGAGAAGGAAATCATGGGCAGGAAAGTCACACTAAAAGGAGAATTCTGATAAGAGAAATGGAGACCCAGCAGTACTCCATGTAGAGCCCAGGGCCTTTCCTGGACATGAAGACATGGCTCTGCAGACAATGCAGGAGGAGGAGAGTCTGTTTTAAACAATCATTTTGCGTTTCTTTTCTTTGGGGGGGTGGGAAACAGGAAAGGGATAAAGAATCCAATTAGTGTTAACAAATCTTATCAACATGTCTCCAAATTTAGACTCTGCCACACATGTGGCTGGAAAGCAGTGGCCACCCAAAACAACTCTCTAAAAAGTAAAACATGTAGCTCTGAAAAGTCAGATAAAGCAAACCCATGCCCTCAAGACCCCGCAGGAATGCCATTAGGGGGCAGGAGGCCTGAATTTGGCTGTAGGAATTTAGAGAATTTGGAGGTTCTCTTCCATTCAAATTTTTTCCTCCAAGTGGTATATACTTTACCATAATTTTCATCATAAGCCAAAAGTCTGACATTAGCCTGAAGGACTGTGTGACCATTAAAGTTAGTAAATTAAACTAACTTATTCTTTACAAAAGAGTAAATCATTCTTTTATCCAAAGAGTGACTGAGGTCTACACTGCACTCAGCACTGAGGGGAGCGCCACGGTGGAAGGGAACACACGTGGGTCACAGTCACCGCACACAAGGTACTTATGGTCTAGCTGGGGATGCAACACAGCCACACGCCAACCAGGGAGTGAACAAGACAGCATGATACATAGTAAAATAATGTTCCAGGTTAACCAGGAAAGAAGCAAGTGCGACTGTGCCTTTGGTTACTATGTCTTTTCCAACTGATGACATGAACTATACTGTATATTTTTCTGAATAAAAATATTTTTCTTTATTTTCTTCTGGTTTCTTTACAAAGAAAATGAATTAGTGTTTTCCGTACGCCTCTGTATATTTGAATCCTTATAATTTACATAACTAGATAAATGTGAAAACACATCAAAAAAACAAATATTAGCTGTCAACTTGACCTCCCCATTAGTTAGTTGTACCATGTGATCCAGCTCCTCCATATAACGATTCTAAAGTCACCCATTCTATTGGTGGGAGCGATTCAGAGCTCAGTTGTGGGATGAAGACAATCCCAACTGAAGCTTTTAGAGGCATGGTCACAGAGGAGGCTGCTCTGAATGGCATGCCTGCCTTTGGGTGCTTGAAAAGTACCACTTCCTAGAGATGTTTTGTATTTTGAACTAAGTGGTAGTTAAATATAGGCATATACATATGTAAAGACATTATTAAGCTGTACACTTAAGTGTACTTTATATACTTTGCCGTCTATATGTTATCCCTCAATTAAACGAGAGAGAGAGAGAGAAAGAACCCTTGGCAGTGAAGGGCCATGGGCCCAGTCACAGCATGCTGCCCACATCCAGGTGCTGGGTTGTTCACTTCCCTGGATACGGGGCCCTCACGCCCTCTGACAGTTGAACAATCTGTTTAGCACACTTACAAGGAGACGAGGCAGCAAGGGACCATCATCCTGAACAATGTACTGAGTCAGGAAATCTGAGTTGTAGCCTGGGCTCTGCCACTTATTAGCTATGGGACCTTGGGCAAGTTACTTAACCTTTCTAAACTTCAGTTTTGTTGTCTCATAAAATGGCAATAATCATCACTCCTTGATTGCTTCATAGTACTGATGTGAGGGTCAAAAATAAAGTGTCACCCAGTCTTATAGTTTCTAGTTCTGGTTTCTGTCCCCTCTTCCATCTCCAAAGTTGTAGGCTACAGCTCTAATTGAAGCTCTCATCGTCTCTCATCTGAACTACACTACTGCAACTGCTTCCTCATGTTAAATCTGCTGCCCCCAATTTTCAAGCTGCACTCAGAGCGATATACCTAAGACCTAAACCTAATCATAAAACCCCCTTTCTTGAAAACATTCCATAGTTCTCCACTGACTCTAAGCTAAAGTTTGAACTCCTGTGTAGCATTCAATGCCCCACCATGATCATCTTGTCCCAATGACCTCTCTAGACTCTCTCATTGTTCTCAATCTCCAGCCCATACTACAGCCACAGAAACTGCTTATCATTCCCAGAATATGCCAAGGAGCTTCACATCTCCATGTTTTTGTCCACACTGCTACCTCTTCTGGCATGTATCTCCCCAAACTCCATCTGGTAATATTAATTAATCCATCAATCATGAGCTGAAGACTCACACCTACTACGAAGCCTTTCCTTCTCCCCACCCCTTAACCACAGCTCTCTCATGCATACCTATAAACTGACTATCCCAATCCCTATGATTCTTGGAAGCACCTGTACTTGATGGCATGTCTTCTCTCCACTAAACTGTGAGCTCCTTGAGAACAAGCCCCTTGTCTTACTAGTCTTCGTATTTTCAAAGGGCCAGCTTAGAGCCTGGCACAGAATTTTATAAAGTGAAGAACTGCATCCGTATTCTTTATGCAGATCTATTTCAGATGCTATAACTGGAAGGGGAAGAATGAAAGCTTCTCTAACTTTTTATGCACCCTTCTGTCCAGGTTCATATATCCTGAGGCAAACAAAAAATGACTACATGAGAAACAGGTCTGCAACTAACAAAATTGAAGTAATAAAATTATAAGAGGACAGTGTATTAGCATTTAAAGGGACCTCAGAGATCATGTGAAATTAAACAATTTATCTATGGCCTGGAGACAGTAGTAAATTGCCCAAGATCACACAGCCCACAGCAGTGGCAAGGAGAAATTTCACAGCTCATCTCCTGACAGATGCGCGACACACAAATTCAATTTCCAGCATCCAAATAATTCAAGGTTAAAAGTTGAGAAAGGGTGCAGAAATTTTACAAAAACATTTTCCTGAGCAGCCCAGGTGAGGGTGGTGAAAGTTGCAAGTCCCTCCCATGGTCCCTTCCTGTCTATGACAAAAAGGACCTAGTCAAGTTATACTGTTGGGACCCTCACAGGTGCCCAGAAGTTCCCGTGGTGCCTTGGGCCTGGAGTCCACACTGTCCAGAGAACCCAGTTCTGGTCCCTCATTTATCAGCACGCTGCCCCCCCCACCTCTCACCATCTTCTAGGAAAATGAGCCCAGAGCTCAAGTTCTGGGCTAAGGGAACATATTGTATCTAAAGTCAACCAGGTCTTCAAACATGTCAGACTGCCGATGGAGATGGAAAATCTGATCCTGGGGCAGACTAGTTTTTTGGGTTCTAATAGGCATAATCCAGGTACTCCTTCACAGAGGCTACCACAAAGCCAACTGAGGAGCTGCATACAGGCCCTGGAATTTTTATTCATTTGTTTGTTTGAATTCGGCAGCCAGGTTAGGTTGAGAGACGCCTTTTAGTGCCATGATCCTTTGCTGCTGCCCTAGGGACGGTTCATGTGTGTCTCCAACCCATGATTTTTGCACCATCAGACACGTTCCTGCATGCTTTAGGAACTGCTGCTGAGCCACCTGGGGGGAGCCCAAGCCTAGGGGATGGGATTTGGGGAGGAGAGGAGAGGGGATCTACCATTGTTACGAGAGAACACATTCATAGGCTGTAATACAGATGAGGAAAAATAGCTTTCCTACCATAAGCTGAATGCAGGAACTGAAACTCTGTTGGATAGAAATGTTAGTTGAAATTACCACTAAGAATTTGTGCAAAGTTGTATACATTGCAGTTACATAAACAGACTTTGTTTTGCAATAGCAGTTTCCCCCCAGCTTCACAAAAGCAGTAAATAAAGATGTAAAACACCTTTACCCTAGAGAGGGTGACAGACATGTCATCTGGGAAAGTCCATTCAATGCAGAGAGCCCCTCCCTGGATGCCATAGTGTCTTCCAGACAGCTGACCCAGAGCTGCCGGATGTGAACAAGCCCAAGTTCCTGCTTTTTGCTTGTCTGTTATAAGAATACATTTCAGTTCTCCCAGGAACTGCAGAGGGATTTCACATATGGCAGATGTGTTAGAGGAAGTGAAGGTTCAGAGACAATATCACCATCTTTGGCCTCTAAAGAGCTGTCTGTAAAACCTCTAAGAGATAGGACCAGTGCAGAGGCACTCCATCCCTGAAGCCTCTGGGTCACTGTGGTGCTATAGAAGGAGCACAGGTTGTAGGGTCAGACAAGTTGGGTTTGAATCCCAGCTATACTGCCTTTTTTGGAGACAGTGTCTCACTTTGTTGCCCAGGCTGGAATGCAGTGGTGCAATGATAGCTCAATGCAGCCTCCGGCTCCTGGGCTCAAGTGATCCTTCTGTCTCAGCCTCCTAAGTAACTGAGACTACAGGTGCATGCCACCAAGCCTGCCTGTTTTTTAAAATTTAATTTTTTGTAGAGACAGGGTCTTACCATGTTGCCCAGGCTGGTCTTGACCTTTGGCCTCAAGGGATCCCCCCGCCTTGCCCTCCCAAATCTACTGGTTTTTAGCTGTATAACTTTGGGCAACTTATTTAACCTGTTTGAACAAAGTTGGAGGCAAGAAGCCCCAACTCACAAGACTAAGGTAAAAATGAATGTTTGTAACATGACTTGTGCAGGGCTTGGAACAGGGCAGCTGTTCAGAAAGCACAAATTCCTTTTCCCTACCCTTCTCCAAGTTTGTTGTATGTAAAATGGGAATAATGTATTTGTACTTTATAGGGATGCAGTGAAATCAAATGAGACAATAGGGGAAAATGTTTTGTCAAAAGATTCTCATGAGGAGGTTATTTTATTTTTATCTGTATTAGTTAACCTGTTTATCCGTCCCTTCATTTATTTTCAAGCCAGATTACCATTAATAGGTCCCTCGATTCTGAAAGCCAAGTCTTGATTGGCTCCTACCTCTTGTGGGGCCAAAGAGTTCTTAAATAAGATCCCTGAAATCATTAAGAGCTTGGGAAAAAGCTCCAAATACCCACATTGCTTTCAGAACCAATGAAAAGAGTGAAATGTTTCCCTGCATCCTGGACAGATGACATCTCAGGGTATTCAGAGCTGCTAAAAATAGCTCTCTCTCAAGCAACTTCTGGGTCTCCTTAAAGCAGCTGAAAGAAATTTAAACCTAAGAGCCTGGTTCCTTCTGAAGGCACCTCTGTGCATCACAAATGGCTAGCTCTGGCAGGAAGGTGAGAGTAACCTACACTGTCCTTTCTGACCTTGAGCCAGCTTCTCCATGGTAGGAAGTCCCCCAGTCAGGAAATCTGCACTGTGAATCCAGAGGCCAGCATTCCAAAATATGCTGTGTGTGTGTGTATGTGTGTGTGTGTGTAGGATTCCAAAATATGCTGTGTGTGTGTGTGTGTGTGTGTGTGTGTGTAAGTAACTCAAAGGGAAAGGGATCTTCCCAAGGTTGCACCAAAATCAGAAGCAAAGTTAGTGCTACAATCTAGGTCTTTCAACTCCGAGTTTGGGGCCTTTAAATACAATACTCTAACGCTACCCTCTCTTATGGATTTTGTGTGTTTTTGAGAAAATAGTCTGGGTGACTTTAGTAGAAATATGTTGACTTTTAAAAACAAAATTGGGGACAATCAAGTTAGATGAGGGCTTATTTTTTGTTTGGAAATATGTTTTATTTATTTATTTTTTTTGAGATGGAGTCTCACTCTGTCGGCCCAGGATGGAGTGCAGTGGCGCAATCTTGGCTCACTGCAACCTCCGCCTCCCGGGTTCAAGCAATTCTCCTGCCTCAGCCTCCCGAGTAGCTGGGATTATGGGCACGTGCCACCACGCCTGGCTAATTTTTTGTATTTTTAGTAGAGACAGCGTTTCACGGTGTTAGCCAGGATGGTCTCTATCTCCTGACCTCGTGATCCACCCGCCTCGGCCTCCCAAAGTGCTGAGATTACAGGTGTGAGCCACTGCGCCCAGCCTGGAAATATGTTGACTTTTAAAAACAAAATTGGGGAAAATCAAGTTAGATGAGGGCTTACTTTTTGCTTGTTTTAAAATTAAAGCTGAATAACATGCCAGGATGTACTCAATCTCAATCTCTTTTTTTCCCCTACAGTTTCAGCCTCCTCCTATCTGCACTCCTTTCCCTCTTTAGCCAGTCTAACGCCTTAATTTCTCTCTGGCCCACTGATGCAACCACAATGTAGCAGTTAAGAGCTCATGCAGCACAGTGGCAGGGTGCTGGGGCTTGGATCTTTGGGCTAATTATGTAACTTCTCTAAGCTTTAGTTTTCCCATTTCGGAAATGGGGATAATAAGAGTACCAACCTCAAAAGTTTATTGCAATATGCAACAAGCTAATATAGATAAAGAACTTCAAATAGTTCCTGACACATAGAAAACATTCAATAAATAGTAGCTATTTATTCCATGTCTTTCCACTTATTGGCAAACTGATCCGAAACAATCCCACAGTCTATCACCAGAGGTGCTGAACATTATGAGAAAATAGCCCAGTGCTGGGGATGAGAGCCTGGACAAATTCACAGCCTCCACCATTCAGATGGGCCCCCCAATGTGACCCTGCTCTGTTATCTTTTGGTAGTTTCCAGTCCTACTCCTTCCTGTGAGGCTCTCACATCCTGACCTCCCTGGTTAAGAACCCTCCTTGATCTCTACTCCCCTCTGTCTCAGCAAATCAAGGTCATTAGATGAGAATTCTCCACTTTCCACTGGGCAATTTATTCTAAGCACATCTATCTGTGACCTTTCCTTTAGTCTTTCCTTTAGTTGCCCTCCTGCGTGAGGCACCCTGTCTCCACCTGCTACTCAACTTCCCAAACCAAAGAAGAGAACTGAGCTCCAGATTTCCCACCCCTACAGCAGCCTCTGTGGAGGCCCGGCTCTGATTGGCACCACCTCTCCTGTATCTCTGACTTGTCCTCTCCACTTGCACCTTCCTATCAGTACCCCACACTCATACCTGAGAAAACCTTCCTTCAACCCTACATTCACTTCTAGTCAGTGTCCTTTTGTTTTTCCTTTCCTGGTAGCTAAGCTTCTAGTAAGAATAGGCTATATATGCTAAATCTACTTCTTCACTCCTGATTCACTGCACTCTGGTTTCTAGCCTCACCACTTCACTGACAATGCTTCCAATGAGGCCACTGATGGCCTCCTGACTAGAAAGACAATGAATCTTCTTCACTCTTGATCTTACTTGACCTTTTGCAACAACTCATTTTGTTTCTAGACAGTTTACAAAGTCAATTCACAGATCTCATAGCACTTAAATTTAAGTCATTTATATATCATGATACACATGATCCTCAAAGCCATTGTAGTTAAGATAGAACTTACCAAATTTGATTATCAGAGAGAATTTCTGTAGCTTTTATTGTTTTTGCCTTCTATCATAGATCTTAGGGAAAATATTATATGTCATATTGACTAAAGGTAAATATGAAACCAGTGCTGAGATACCATTATAGAACTTTAGCCCATGTGTCACTGCTCCCTTCATAAGCTTTCCAAAGGCAATGACTACAGCTTCCTCAAGTTTGAATCATCTACAGGGTCTTCCAAAGTATCTTGGGCATAACAGAGTGGGTCAAAATGTCTGTGAAATGACACATCTATGTAAGCACCTTAGGGGATACCATAGCCTATTTACATAAAATAGCTCTTGTTTGTCCAAAAAACAGGGGCTGTCTGATAACTTCTTGGTGTGTGTGTATAATTATGACATGATTCCTACTTAGAGATGGGGGAAATGAGGTTCTGATAGGTCAGGTGACTCTAAGGTTGCGAATCTAGGAAATGACACAGTGAGGACTCAAATCTAGGTCTTCAGACAACCTGTATTCTTTTCTCCTTTAAGTAAGCCCCAAGAAAGAGAATGACAGTAGAATAAATACTAGATTGGCAGAGAAAAGCATAGGACGAGAGTCAGGAGATCTGCCAAAGATTCTAGTCCATATGTGGCTGCTGACTCACTGGGTAACTTGGGACAAAACACTGCTTTTTGATTCTCCTTTTTCAAGAGAAAAGGTTGAACTGGACGATCTCTAAGGTCTTTTGAAGCTTTCTAATTCTATAATGATAAGTGCTAAACAAGAAAATGGGCGGGTATTATCAAGACATTCAAGGCCTCTCCAAGTCAGCCCTTGTATATCTATAGTTCAGATTCATCTAGCTGCTCACAGTTTAGCCACTCCCCTACTTCTACGTTCCTCACAGTGTCATGTTCTCACATCTCTAAGCCTCTGCCCATGCTCTACTCTGCCTGGAATGCCCACTATTCCTTTGTGTGCTTAAAGAACAGCTTCTACTTCTTCAAATCTCTGTTGTTCTCCACTCTCTGAAGCTTCCCCTACACTTTCACCCCCAGGCAGACCGTTGTTCCCTCCTCCTTCCATGTATTCCTTTTTACAATACTTAGCACATTAGTACTGCAGTGAGTTTATATGCCAGGCTCCCAAATGGGAGCTACTTCAGGCAGGCAAAGATGGCATCATTTAATTTTTCTATTCCAGTATGGAAGACATTCAATACTTATTGAGTAAATGGAACTTACATAAAACCATCCACAACCCTGAGGCAGGTAGTCACATTTGAATCTTAGAGAGGTGAGGTGACTTGCCCAAGGCCTTACAACTAGTGAGTTGGGTAATCAGGATTCAAACCCAGGACTTTCTAACCACAGAGCCCATACTCTTTCTCCTGCTCTTGAGTATTAGAGCACCAGCTGAGCATGAGTGTTAAGATCAGAACTAAGACCACTGCAATGATCCAAGCCCAAAATGGAATAAACCTTTTCAACATTTTCAAACCCATTTCAACCTCAATCCGAGTGTTGGGCCTTTATTATTTTTGAAAAACAAGTAGCTTATCTCAGCTTGAAAACCATCTCTTTGCCCTCTGGTGGCAAGAGCATGTGTGTGTGTGTGTGTGTGTGTGTCCCAAGGTGTGTGTGTGTGTGTGTGTGTGTGTCCCAAGGGGTGTGTGGGTGTGTGTGTGTCCCAAGGTGTGTGTGTGTCCCAATGGCAGCCTCAGGGAAAACTGAGCAAAGAATGAATTTGGACATTGCTTGGGAGAGCAGAAAAGGTTCTATGAGGAGGATGCAGGTCTCAGACATTCCAGCATAGGACAGATGAGCCAACCTTAAGTCCCAGACAGAGTGGAGGAGATTCTATTCCCGCCCCTACCCTGAGGCTGATTGTCCCAGTTCCCAGAAGGGACTCCCAGGAAAATCCAGCCTGGAGAGGCTGCGCCCGGAGCAATTAAGAACAGGAAAAGGCCAGCAAGTGGTTTTGCTTTTCCCAAATAGAGTCCCCCTTCCCACTCCATTCGCCACTGCTGTCCCATTTCCTCCTTACCTGGAGCATAACTGGGACTATTGGTGGGGTACAGGCTGGGATTGTAGGCAGGGGCAGCTGCTGGATAGGCTGTGGGGTAACCTACAGAGAGATAAGAAAAGGCTTATTTAGTTAGGCAAAAAAAACAAAACAAAACAAAACAAAACAAAAAAACACCCAGATTTTTGAGGAAATAGAATCCAAGTCCTAGGTTTGGCGTTCAGTCTCTCCATGGGCTATTCCAGATAGTATATGTGACCAGCTTTCAGCCTCTCAAGAGAAAAGTTACCAATACCAAAATCCCAATATATGCAGACTTTTTGGTCTATTTTTTAAAAGCAATACAAGAAATATTCTATATGCTCACTATTAAAAAGAAAAAAAAAAGTAAGTGGCCAGGCACGGTGGCTCATGCCTGTAATCCCAGCACTTTGGGAGGCTGAGGCGGGTGGATCACGAGGTCAGAAGTTCAAGACCAGCCTGGCCAAGATGGTGAAACCCCGTCTCTACTAAAAATACAAAAATTAGCCAGGCGTGGTGGTGGGCGCCTGTGGTCCCAGCTGCTATGGGGACTGAGGCAGGAAAGTCACTTGAACTCGGGAGGCAGAGGTTGCAGTGAGCTGAGATCATGCCGCTGCACTCTAGCCTGGGCGACAGAGCAAGACTCCATCCGCTGCCCCCCACACCCCCCCGCCAAAAAAAATGGAAGCAACATTGAAGTTTACACTTTTTATGTTCAAGTTTACTTTCACATTCCTGCCGCACTACTCTCCTCCCCAGAAGTAACACCATTAACAGTTTGGCATCTATCTTTCCAGATGGCTTTCTACACATTTTTATATACATATATTCAGTGGTGTGCTGGTAAATATTTAACAACGGGCTCGAAGGGGTTGGAAATGAGAGCTACTTTGCAACATTTGCCAACTGCCATGGCATAAATGCTTCCACTATGACCAATTTGATGCTATCAACATCACTGAATGAGTAGTTCGGAAGAAGTGCCCACAATCAGCTCTCAAGAGTTTACACAAACCAGCTCCAGCTCACTACAGTATACTATATTCAGTTTGGGGGATTTTTTGAAATTTTTTTTATCATGGTAAAATACGTGTAATATAAAATGTGCAATTTAACCATTTTTAAATATATAATTCAGTAACATTAATGACATTTACAATGTTATGCAACTATCATCACTATTTGTTTCCAAGACATTTTCATCATCCCAAACAGAAACTCTGTAACCATTAACAATACATCCCCCAATACTCAGCCTGGTAACCTCTAATCTACTTTCTGTCTCTCTGAATTTGCCTATTTTATGTAATTATTTTATGTAAGTGGAATCATACACCATTTGTCCTTTTGTGTCTGGCTTCTTTCACTTAGCATAATGTGTTTAAGGTTCATCCATGTTGTAACATGTACCAAAACTTCCTTCTTCTTTATGGCTGAATAATATTCCACTGTGTATATGCCAGACTTTCTTTATCCGTTCATCTGTTGAGGGACGCCCAGGTTGTTTCTACCTTTTGGCTATTGTGAATAATGGTACAATAAACAATGACATGTAAGTATCTGTTTGAGTACCTGTTTTCAAATCTTTGGGATAAATACCAAGTAGTAGAATTGTTGGGTCATATGGTAATTCTATGTTTAGCTTTTTAAGGAACCACCAAACTGTTTTTCACAATGTCTGTACTATTTTACATTCCCTCCAGCAATGCATGAGAGTTCAAATTTCTCTACATCCTCAACAACCCTTGTTTTATTATTATTATTATTATTATTATAGCCATCCTATAGTAAGTGTGAAGTGGGATCTTAGTGTGGTTTTGAATTGCATTTCCCTAACGACTAACGATATTGAGCATTTTTCATGTACTTATTGGCTATCTGTATATCCTCTCTGGAGAAATGTCTATCCAAATCATTTTCCCATTTAAAAATACAATTATTTGGCCGGGCGCGGTGGCTCATGCCTGTAATCCCAGCACTTTGGGAGGCTGAGACTGGCAGATCACAAAGTCAAGAGATCGAGACCAGCCTGACAAACAAGGTGAAACCCCGTCTCTACTAAAAAAATAACAAAAATTAGCTGAGTGTGGTAGCGTGTGCCTGTACTCCCAGCTACTTGGGAGGCTGGGGCTGCAGTGAGCCGAGATGACGCCACTGCACTCCAGCCTGGTGACAGAGTGAGACTCCATCTAAAAATAATAATAAAAATAAAATAAAACAATTATTTGTTTATTTTTTAAGAGACAGGGTCTTGTTCTATTACCCAGGATGGAGTATAATGGCAGGATCATAGCTCACTGTAGCTTCCAACTCATGGGCTCAAGCAATCCTCCTGCTTCAGCTTCCTGAATAGCTAGGCCTACAGGTGCGTGCCACCACGCCCCGCCTTTTTTTTTTTTTTTTTTTTTTTTTTTTTGTAGAGACGGGGGTCTCATTATGTTGCCCACACTGGTCTCAAACTCCTGGCCTCAAGTGATTTTCCTGCCTCGGCCTCCTAAAGTGCTGGGATTACAGGGCATTTTCCCATTTTTTCATTGGGTGGTTTGTCTTTTTGCTGTTACACTGCAGAAGTTCTTTATATATTCTGAATATTAAACCATTATCAGATGTATTACTTACAAATATTTTCTCCCATTCTGTGGATTGTCTTTTTACTTTCTTTATAAAGCCTTTGATGCAAAAAAAAAAAATCAATTTTAAGTCCAATTTACCTATTTTTTTCTTTTCTTGATTATGCCTTTGAGTGTCCTATCTAAGAATCCACTGCCAAATCCAAGGTCATGAAGATTGACCCTTACGTTTTCTTCTAACAGTTTTATGGTTTTGGCTTATATTGAGATCACTGATCCATTTTGAGTTAATTTTTATATATGATATGAGGTAGGGGTATACATAGTTATATATTCTACTTTTTCACTTTAACATTATAAACAATTCCTCATGTAATTACATATTCTTCAAAAGGCTTATTTTAATATCTTTATGATATTCCGTATGTAGATACATCATTTAACCATTGCCTGTTTTAGTTGTTTGAAAATTTCATTTTTATAATAGCTAACAAACTAAAATAACCTAAGTAAATCTCTGACTGATTATTTCTTTAGGAATGAATTCTAGAAGTCAAATCTCTAGGTCAAAGGGTAGGCCCTTTTTTTTTTTTTTTTTTTTTTTTGAGATGGAGTTTCACTCTGTCGCCAGGCTGGAGTGCAGTGGCGCTGTATTGGCTCACTGCAACCTCTGCCTCCCGGGTTCAAGAGATTATCCTGCCTCAACTTCCCAAGTAGTTGGTATTACAGGCACATACCACCACACCCAGCTAATTTTTGTATTTTTGGTAGAGATGGGGTTTCACCATGTTGGCCAGGATGGTCTTGATCTCTTTATCTCGTGATCCACCTGCCTTGGCCTCCCAAAGTGCTGGGATTACAGGCGTGAGCTATCGTGCCTGGCCAGGTAGGCCTATTTTTAAAGTTTATCCATCCAACAAACAATCTGAGTATCTACTTGGTGCCAGACACTGGTTTAGGGACTTTTGTCAGTGAACAAAACAAAGATTCCTGCCCTTGTGGAGTTTATATCCTAAGAGGGTGGGAGAAGGCACCCTTGGATAAATATTAAACATAAAGTCTTCAGTGCTATGGAAAAGAGAAAATGGGCAAAGTAAAGGGAACCAGAAGTGCCAAAGTGTCGAGGGTAAGGGCACTGCAATATTAAACATGATAATCAAAGTAAGACATATTGAGAAGGTATTATTTTTGCAAAGGCTTAAAGGAAATGATAGTGTTAAGCAGATAGCTGAAGGAGTGTTTTAGACAAAACAGTCAGTGCAAAGGCCCTAAGGTGACAGCATATGGGACAATGTTGGAGGAACAGCAAAAAGGCCAGTGTGGCTGGAATGGAACAAATGAGGGGGCAGTAGTAGTAGAGTAAGTCAGAGAGGTAAAGGGCTGGCCAGTTCATGTAGGGCTTTACAGGCCACTGTGAGGACTTAGACTTCTATTCTGAGTGAAATGAGAAGACCT
The DNA here is from genome assembly GCF_000001405.40 of Homo sapiens. Classification (NCBI taxonomy): domain Eukaryota; kingdom Metazoa; phylum Chordata; class Mammalia; order Primates; family Hominidae; genus Homo; species Homo sapiens. The sequence continues at coordinate 73,434,715 of NC_000011.10, forward strand.
CATAGGGTTTTCAGCAGAAGAATAACATGCTTTGACTTATGTTTGAAAAGGGTCACTCTGATTGATGTGTTGAAAACAGACTATAAGCGGGTAGAGAAGCATAGCAATCAGCTGAGAGGCTACTGCAAGCTCCTGGCAATAGATGTGGGATTCAGGGAAATAGTGGAGGTTTGAAGAGACGTGACATCCCAAGAACCTTCACATACTTTGCCATACTGTTTTCTAGAAAGACCATCAATTTGTACTTGTTCTAGCAGTGTATAAGTGCCTGTCTCACTGCTTCCTGCAGTTGTTAAATGCTCACTGGTATTCTGACTGACAATGAAAAGCTGGTTTTAAAAGTCAAAGATTAAATCCCTAAATCCCTAAAAGCTTCTTTGGGATTTGTAAATACTGGAGCTTTAATAATGTATCTTTGTTAATATGCCTTTCCCTAAATCCTTTCCAATTCCAAAGAAAATTCATCTCTTTACCCCCTGATCATTTTCTGATTTTAGAACTGAGGTAGCTAACTTGTTGATTAATTAGCAATCTGGAGGTGTGCTACTTCTCAAGAAGAAAGTCAGGGGTCTAATCTGGGAAGCCAGGTGATCCAGTCTCATAGCCAAAATCTGTACTCAGCTTCATGTGAGAAATTGTGCAGCCACAGGTAATCACACTCCTGTTTTGTCATTTCAGATGTCTTTCACTTTAGGGGCAATTATAGGATGTTCCTTCAATGTTTCCAAGTGGAATTATTTTTAATTCACTTGAATTTGGCAGATATTATATAATGGCAGCATTACAGGGAGCTTTATTTGGTCCTCCCTCCCTCTCTTTCCTTCCTTTCTTACTTCTTTTCTTACCTTCCTTCCTTCCCTTCTTACTTTACTTATTTATTTATTTATTAATTACAGGATCTCAAGCATTGCCTGAGTCCAGGAGTTTTATAACTGTTAATACATTATGTCTGGTCAGGTATGGTGGCTCACACCTGTAATCTCAACACTCTGGGAGGCTGAAGTAGGAGGATTGCTTGAGCTCAGGATCTCTACAGTCTTGTGACACATGACTGTACACTGAGTTCTTGAAAAGACATACCGTCTCTATTTCACTCATTTCTCATACAAAAGATATTTTCGCATTTGCTTTTCATTTGAGCCTCAAATCAATCCTAATGTGATTTCTCCCATTTTATAGCTAATCAAATAGAGGTTGAGAGGTGAAGTAACTTTCTGGTTAAGATTATTCAGCAAGTCAGTGGTCGAATTGGGAAGGGAATCCCAAAAGCAATGCCTTTTCCACACCTACCAAATAATTATCACTTTGTCCTTAGAAACAAGCCTGCCCCTTTTGTATTTGTATTTTTTGAAGGTCAAGAGTGAAGAGAATAAATGGACACAAGTTAGCTTTTTTCCTTTATATCCTAAAGGCTGCAGTAGTGATCAGGTATTCTGGGATTTTGATGTGTACATTTTAATTGCTTTATAGATGTCAATACAATCTAAGCCTCTTTTCTTGTTGGTACTAGGATTAGGACTAAAGAAATGTAAAGCTATTTTTTGATTAATATGGAAATTAGAAATTACTTTCAACAGAAATCAGGGGACTATTTCTGAAAATACTTTACCTTTAGGAGCTTAAAATAGCAGAGTATCAAAAGGCCAGAGGAAGACAAACTCCCTGGCTCAGAAAGACAAAGAGGCTTACTTCTTTGTGAGCAGGAGAATACTTAGGCAATGAAGACATTTTAGGTCTGAAGCTCACAATTAAAAAGAAAACTGCCCTGCAAATGACCCCCTAGGGTGATCAAAACCAAAACAATGACCAAAAAAAAAATCTTTATTCTCTCAAGATAATAAAGAAGAGGGCAAGAGGAAGGATGTAATTTTGAATCTGTATTATGTTCTGGCCACTGTGCTAGGCACTTCTATATCTGATTTAATCTCTACCCAAAGTCAACAAAATATATTACTAGTTCCATTTTAGAGAGAGGATATTAAGACTTCTCTTACAGAGCTAATAAGTAGAGAGTGGAGACAGAACCCATTCCTACCAACCTCCCTGCCTCTCCTCAAAATGAGTCTACTCAGAGAAAATCTCTGGATTTGGCTGCCATTTACTTTGCCAAAATTCTTTTACTTTATCTTCAAAACCAAGGAAAAAAGGAAATTACTCTGGAGAGTCAATTTGGTCAAAGATGGCTGTGTTTAAGAAAAGAAATAAAACAACAACTACTGTTTCCACTCAGTGGAAAGGTCATGGTTGTGTTATTGAAAAGTATCACAGGCACTGAATTATAGAGTTGGAAGGGGTATTAGAGGTGATTGAGTCCAACTTGTCACTCAGCACAGGAATACCCTTTATAGTGGCACACATGACTGGCAGCATAGCCTCTGCCAGCATACTTTTTTTTTTTTTCCAAGACGGAGTCTTGCTCTGTCTCCAGGCTGCAGTGCAGTGGCGCTATCTCGGCTTACTGCAACCTCCGCCTCCTGGGTTCAAGCAATTCTCCTGCCTCAGCCTCCCAAGCAGCTGGGATTACAGGCACATGCCACCCCACCTGGCTAATTTTTGTATTCTTAGTAGAGATGGGGTTTCATCATGTTGGCCAAGCTGGTATTGAACTCTTGACCTCGTGATCCACCCACCTCGGCCTCCCAAAGTGCTGGGATTTACAGGTGTGAGCTACCACGCCCGGCCACTCTTTTTTTTTTTTTTTTTTTTTGAGACAGAGTCTCACTCTATCGCCCAATCTAAAGTGCAGTGGTGCGATCTCAACTCACTGTAACCTCTGCCTCCTCGGTTCAAGCAATTCTTCTGCCTCAGCCTCCCGCAGCATACTCTTCTAATGATGGTATGCTCAGAACCTCTTCAGTGAGTCAAAGCACCGACTGGAGAGCTCTGAAGTTAGAAAATTCTTCACTCTGAGCTAAAAATCTGACTTATTAAGAATCTTACCCTGAACATTTTTTCAGCCACTGGAGTGCAGAGGCTGAGGCAGGAGAACTGCTTGAACCCAAGACACAGAGGTTGCAGTGAGTCGAGATCGCACCATTGCACTCTAGTTCCTGGTCCTAGTTCTACCCTCACAGAACATGTCTGTTTCCTCTCCTCCTGGACAGCTTGCTAGAGATATGAAGATATCCATGATTCCTCCTGAATTTTCTTGTGTTCAAATCCAACAGACCCAGTTCCTTCAATCTTCCCTCATCCTGACTGCTCACCTGTGATCAGACTTCAATTTACAAATCCCCTTCCCTTAAAACAATTCAATTTTTCTTCTTGCCTCGTTGATTCCTCTGCTGATAGTTTTTCCCCAATTAAAAAAAGATAATTAAGCTGACATAACAAGACTATGGTGATTGTGGTCAGTGAAGGCCTAAAGTGACTGCATCCAGATTTCATCATCATCATCATCATCGTCATCATCATCATCATCACCATCATCATCATAGCATCTGGCAAATACTCTGTGGCAAGCAGGGTGCTAGGTTCTTTACAGAGCACTTACAGTCTAATGGGAAAATAATATAGTTATTTAAATTAATCTCTAGCAGTAATATATGTAAGATATAATCAGAGAATGCTGAAAGTGTTATCAGAATGCTGAGGAGGAAATGAAGAACATGTTTAGAATAGTTGGGAAAGGCTTCTTAGAGAAATAAACATTTTAGTTGGCTTTGAACAATGAATGGGAGGAGTTTGTCAAGGTGCGGAGGGGGCAGGAACAAAGAAATATATACTGATTCCATGCATGAAGGTATGAAAGTGCATACCACATTAGGGAAATGGCAAACAGTTAAGTACAGTTGGAATTTACTGCGTGCGGGGAAAAGTGGCAGGAAATAAAGATAAAAAGGTAGACTGGGGGACAGGCTGTGAAGGGATTTGAATGCCAGGCTAAGGGATGGAATTAATCAAAAAATAACAGGAAAACATTGGAGGGTTTTAAACTGGGGGGTTTCATATGTATGTCTTACAAAAACTACTCTGGCGGCAGAATGAAAAGGAGTTCAGAGTGGTTAAGATCAGAGAAGGAGGAACACGATAGTAAGTCACTACAGTAGCCCAAAGGAAAAGCTAAAACACTAGCAATAGGATGAAGAGAGGAGGGACTACAAAGATGTTTAGGAGGCAGAGCCTACAAAATCTGATCCTGAGCACAAAACCCCATTTTAGTCCTGTGGGCTAAGAAGCTACAAAGAATGACGGGAAACACTCTAACTGCAGGGTTTGCAAGTACTATCCCCCCGCCTCACCCCCCCTTCTTTTCTTTGATAGGCAGAAGGAAATAAAATAAATAGACCCTTGAATCTGTTAGCTCCAGAAAAATGCATGAATCTGAATTTCTCTTACTAGCTGGGAGGCTTGACTGCTGAGAGTGCTATACTGGTGAAAATGTAGGTCAGCCCAAGCAGGCAGCAGTTCTGTAGTGCTGGCTCTGAACCTGTCCACCAGACCTGAATCTAAGATAGCCTGTATATTAGATTCAAGGCCCAGCCACCCAGCCTTCCACTGGCGAGCTGCAGGGAATTGTAAAGGGTGTGAACTATAATAAATGAGGCACTGTTCTCATCTAGGGCAAGGCAGCTCCTCCTGAGGTAACAAGACAGGAGGAAATATCCAGTAATCAATTGCGCTCTGAGTTGTGCTGCATCTTCAGAGAAAGCATACCTATCCAGGTTAAAGGCCAGCAACCTCTGGGTCATTCACCTAGGCTGAGCCCTAGCACAGAAAGGCTGCTAAAACCAGATCAGCCTTAACTTCCTATGTTATTAGTGTACAAACAGTATCAACAACAAAAAAGATAAGAAAATAAGTTGCTTAGACGCTAGTAATATAACTGCTCCTACGTAAATATATAAGGCCAAGAGTGTGCTGTTGCCTCAGGACAATTTTTTTTTTAACAAATCTAAAAATATCTCTGCAGTTCCCTATCTGCTGGTATAGGAGAAATTTTAATGGGAAGCAGATGGCCTATTCTCTCAATCCCCATTCTAGGAGTGTGCTGTTGCTTCTTTTTTCTCCTACATTTATAAGGCACTTGGGAGGTACTCAACACTTTAGAGGTTGTTTGGTGTCTCTGACCTCTGTGTGTTTATCTTCTAAAACAGATCAAAGAGCAAGGTGAAATTTTGTGAATCGATAATTTGGTCCATGAATACCTTTGTCTCTCAGGTCACTTTTTTTTTTTTTTTTTTTTTTTGAGTCGGAGTTTTGCTCTTGTCGCCCAAGCTGGAGTGCAATGGTGTGATCTCTGCTCACTGCAACCTCTGCCTCCCAGGTTCAAGTGATTCTCCTGCCTCAGCCTCCTGAGTAGCTGGGATTACAGGCGCCTGCCACCGCGCCCAGCTAATTTTTGTATTTTTAGTAGAGACGGGGTTTCGCCATGTTGGCCAGGCTGGTCTTGAACTCCTGGCCTCAAGTGATCTGCCTGCCTCGACCTCCCAAAGTGCTGGGATTACAAGTGTGAGCCACTGCGCCTGGCCCACTCTTTTATTCTACTGTTCCATTTAAAGAGATTTACTGAAGGGAAAAATCTTGCTCAGATTCAACAAAATATATTAGAACACTTGTTTTCCATGTAAAATAATAAAATTAGACACCCCCACCCCACACCTCACACTTCTCCAATTCTAGAAAGACCAAAGACTTTAAAATAAAACAGGCTGGTCGTGGTGGCTCACTCCTGAAATCCCAACACTTTGGGAGGCTGAGGAAGGAGGACCGCTGCTTGAGCACAAGAGTTTGAGACTTGCCTGGGCAATGTAGCGAGACCCTGGCTCTACAAAAAGCGGTGGTGTGTGCCCACAGTCCCAGCTACAAGGGAGACTGAGGTGGGAGGATCACTTGAGCCCAGGAGATGGAGGCTGCAGTGAGCCGTGACTGCACCACTGCACTCTAGCCTGGTGACAAAGTGATACCCTGTCTCAAAAGAAGAAAAAGGAAAAAAAAGAAAAAGAAATAGGAGAATATCAGAGTCCCAGAGAATATCAGTATGACCTTGGGATTACAAAGTGTTTCTTAGATGATACCAAAAGGGAGAACCACAAAAGGGTGAAAAAATTAACTAATTAAAACATAAAGTTCTATATGTCAGAAGATGCCATAAACAAAGTTAAAAGGCAAGCACAGAGAAATAAAAGACATTTGTAACATATGTAACATTGGACTAGAGGCCAGATTAAAAAACTCATATCAATCAAGAAGAAATGAAAATAAGCCAATAGAATCTAATCAGGCAACAATTCACAAAAGAAACCATACAGCTGACTGGGGAGAAACAGAAAGATGTTCAACCACAAGAGTAATCAGCAAAATGCACAAAAAAGGAATGTTATATCATTTCATACCTATCAGACAGACTTTTTTTTTTTTTTTGAGACAGAGTCTTGCTCTGTCACCAGGCTGGAGTGCAGTGGCGCTATCTCAGTTCACCACAACCTCCGCATCCCGGGTTCAAGCGATTCCCCTGCCTCAGCCTCCCAAGTAGCTGGGATTACAGGCACATGCCACCACGCTTGGCTAATTTTTTGTATCTTAGTAGAGATGGGGTTTCACCACGTTGGCCAAGATGGTCTCGATCTCCTGACCTTGTGATCCGCCCACCTCAGCCTCCCAAAGTGCTGGGATTACAGGCGTGAGCCACCACACCCAGTCTAGGCAGGCAAAAAAATTTTAAAGTGTAACAATATCAGGTGTTGGATAGGACCCAAAACAATGCTCCTATTTTGTTCTGGGTTTCTACATTTGTATTCAAATGGGTTATTGGTCTATCTATAGTTTTCTTGTGATGTCTTTGCCTGGTTTTGGTATCAAGGTAATGTTGGCCTCATAGAACGAGTTAGAAAGTGTTCCTTTATCTTCCATTTTTTCAAAGAGTTTGTGCAGGATTGGTGATAATTCTTACTCAAATATTTGGTAGAACTCACCAATGACGCCATCTGGTCCTGGGCTTTTCTTTGCGGAAAGTTTTTTGATTACTAATTCTCTCTTATAGGTCTAGTCAGATTTTCTATTTCTTCACGAGTCGGTGTTGGCAGTTTCTTTCTTTCTAGGAATTTGTCTATTTCACCTAGGTGCCTAATTTGTTAGCATACAATTGTTCACGGTCTTACCTCATATTCCTTTTTATTTCTATTAAAAGTCTGTAGTAATGTCCTCTGTATCATTCTTGATTTTAGTAATTGGAGACTTCTCTCTTTTGTTCTTCATCAGCCTAGCTAAAGCTAAAAAGGTTTGTTGATTTTGCCAGTCTTTTAAAATAACCAACTTTTGGTTTATTGATTTTCTCTGTTTTTCTCCATTTTATTTCACTGATTTCTTTATCATGTCCTTTCCTGTACTTGATTTAGGCTTCATTTGCTCTTTTTCCCCGCAGTGTGTTAAGGTGAAAGATTCAGTTATTGAGTTGAGGTCTTTCTTCTTCTTTTTTTTTTTTTTTTTTGAGACGGAGTCTCACTCTGTCGCCCAGGCTGGAGTGCAATGGCACAATCTCGGCTCACTGCAAGCTCCACCTCCCGGATTCACGCCATTCTCCTGCCTCAGCCTCCCGAGTAGCTGAGACTACAGGCGCCCGCCACCACGCACGGCTAATTTTTTGTATTTTTTAGTAGAGATGGGGTTTCGCCGTGTTAGCCAGGATGGTCTCGATCTCCTGACCTCATGATCCGTCTGCCTCAGCCTCCCAAAGTGCTGGGATTACAGGCATGAGCCACCGCGCCCGGCCTCTTCTTTTTTAATGTAAGCACTTACAGCTATAAATTTCCCAGACATTTTGGTATGTTATGTTTCATTCATCTCAAAGTATTTTCTCATTTTCCTTGTGATTTCTTTTTTGACCCACTGGTTATTTAGGAATGTGTCATTTAATTTTCACGTAACTGTGAATTTCTCAAATTTCTTTCTGTTACTGATTTCTAATTTTGTTCCACTGCAGTCACAGAACATACTTTGGTATGAGTTCAATCCTTTATACGTACTGAGAGTTGTTTTATGGCCTAGCACACTGTCTATCCTGAAGATTGTTCCATGTATTCTTGAGAATTATATTCTATTATTGGAGTGCCCTCTAGGTGACTGTTGGGTATACGTGGTGTACAGTGTTGTTCAAGGCTTCTATTTCTTTTCTTTCTTTCTTTCTTTTTTTTTTTTTTGAGACAGAGTGAGTAAAGATGCTGACAGTAAAGGAAAGGAGAGGAAGTGACAGCTTGAGGAGACAGAAGAGTCCACAGGAATTTTCCTTTATATATACAAAGGATATATATATATATATATATATATATATATATATATATATATGCCAAGCCTTTTTTCCACCCTTAAAAATGGAGGAAATTAGGAGCACATAACTAAAGGCATCTTTGTTTACATTTACACTCAGGTTGCTAAAGTTCACTTTTATACTTATTTTATCATCCCAAAGCCTGTATCCTACAACCTTTCTTAGCCCTTTCCCAGTGCTATAATTAGTTGTAGGCTGGAAAGCCAAAAATCCATGCTTTTTAGAATTATGTATACATTAAATGTTAATACTTGAGCGACTGCCTTCAAAAATAAGCCAAGTGCACAAACTTTGGCCAATTTAACTAAATAAATACTTATTTGAGCACTTAATGTGTGCTAAGTGCTATAATGAATGCAAAAGGAAGACATAATTCTTGCCCTCCGTGAACTCACCATCTAATGAGAAAGACAAGCAAGAACATAAGTAACCCTGATATTAGGCTGCCAGGGACAAAGGCCATCACAGAGGGAGATATAAGCGTTGTGAGAGAAGAGGGAAGAAAGACGAAAAGACTTTTAATCTGGTCTGGCTTCTGGATTGGAAAGGTTGCTGCAACTCCAAGTTAGTGACAGGAGATACCTTAAATAGAGTGTTACCTGTGCTCAGGTCATGTCCCCTTCCCTACTGTTGTGGACACTGACAGCAGGTGTCAAACTGAGACAACCTGTAGTGTTATGCAACAGTGGCGCTTCATTTATAGGCAGACCTAGGTTTAAATTCCAGCTCTTTTACTTTTTAGCTCTGTGACTTTGGGCAAATCACTTCAATTTTCAAAGCCTGGGTTTTGATATTTTAAAAAATAGACACAATCAGTTAACTTACTTATTGGTAAATAATTTTTGAGTATCTATTCTATGTTAGCACCAGTGTCCTTTTTTCCTTCTCCTGTATCTGCATGTGGGCCGGCTTGGAAGGTGAGCAGGGCCAGGCCAGAGTAAGTTCAGAGCAAGCCCTAAACTTACTTCGTAGAGACCCATCTAAACATTCTTACTGTGAATCAAAAGAAGATATTTCCTCCTCTGGCTATCCTAAAGGAGCCATCATAGTCCAGTGGGAAGAACGGGGGTTCTGAAGGCAGGCAGTGTGGATTCAAAAGTCAGCTGTACCATTTACCAGACATAATATCATAGAAAAGTCCCTTTACCTAATCCTCATGAACACAAGGATATCCTATACTGCAGGCCAGAAAATTATAAAAGATGGCATGCAAAGCAACTAGCATAAATACTTGGCACAGAACAGTAAGTACTTCAGTAAATAATAGTCTCCCACCCATGCCCTTTTCATTAAAAGTTCCCTGTTGGAAACAATTGTGTTTGCCCATGGATTTTAAGATTGTTTGATGAAAAATCTTCCAGATCCTCAATCATGTGCCTTATCACCCTGCCTTTCCCTCAACTCTCACATGGCTCCAGCTGGTTAGGCCTATTATTGTTTGACCAAGCACAAGCTGGACAAAAGCAAGCTTCTAGTCAGCATGGCTTTTTGTAGAAACAGTAAACCAGTCATTCTCTGAATACAGGTAATTTTTTGTATACTGTTGTGAGTATGTGTATTTACAATCTTTTGTGCATTTTAAAACATTTTTGTCCCTCTTTAAAAAATTGTAAATGAAAGTGTCCCCACATTTTTGCCTTTTTATTTGTAATTTATTTCAGTCTATTATTTCTGCTTTATGCTACTAGCTAATAGTGAAAGTTCAAACAACCTAAATGTCTACCAACAGGGCATTAGCTGAAACAAATCTAAACCCAATCTAGAATTCCTTAAGTAAATTAAGGTGAGTTATACAACAGTACATAGCATATACTCTCATTTTTGTTGAAAAACAATGTATGTATGTTCATTTTAAAAGACCTAGAAAAACAGATATACAATTATTAGTGTTCCTCTATGTTCTTCTCATGTCAGTATTCTCTATTTTTTCTAAAATGAGCATACACTGTTTTGGAAATAAGGTAAAACAACAAGAGAAGCCATAAAATGATTATATTGGCTGGCCGCGGTGGCTCACACCTGTAATCCCAACATTTTGGGAGGCCGAGGTGGGTGGATCACCTGAGGTCGGGAGTTCAAGACCAGCCTGACCAACATGGAGAAACCCTGTCTCTACTAAAAGTACAAAATTAGCTGGGCGTGGTGGTGCATCCCTGTAATCCCAGCTACTTGGGAGGCTGAGGCAGGAGAATCGCTTGAACCTGGGAGGTAGAGGTTGCGGCAAGCCAAGATGGCGACATTGCACTCCAGCCTGGGCAACAAGAGTGAAACTCCATCTCAAAAAAAAAAAAAAGATTATATTATCGGTCGGACATTAGATATTTTCAATTAATCTCTTATTGTTAGACATGTCATCTGTTCCAAATAACTGCCACTCATACTTCTGGCAGAGCCAGAACTAGAATACAAACACCCAGTAGATATATGTAAAAATGTCTCTTTTTTTTTTTTTTTTTTTTTTTTTTTTTTGGTAGAGACAGGGTCTCAATATGTTACCCAGGCTGGTCTCTCCTGGCTTCAAGTGATCCTCCCTCCTCAGCATCCCAAAGTGCTGGGATTACAGGAATGAGCCTCAGGTCCAGCCTTTAAAAACTCTTATTGGGCCCTAAAAATTTAAAGGGTTGTTGTTTCCAGAGACTTTGTCAACAGGCTGGTGAGGTCCTAAAGGAAGTAGGTGGGAAATGTGTGCAACATGCACACCAGGACAGGATTTTCAAATAAAGTGAAATGGAACATGTCTTAGGTCAATGATCTCTAGAAAATACTACCATTTCAACACCTTTTTGTTTAGAGCTACCATTAGGTTACTATATGACCTGGGCAAGACACTTACAGCCCTTATCAAATATTCTATCTCTGTTTCCTCATCTGCAAGATAGTAACAACAGCTACTATTAAATGAACATCTCCCATAATGTTTTACAAGTGGGAAAACTGGGGCTCTAAGAGGTTAAGTAATTTGCTCATGGTTATGTAAGTGACAGTTAAGATTGAAACCAGATCTGACAAAAGAGAATGAAGGTAGGGAAATATCTGGCTCTATTTCTATGAGCTATTTTATTTTTTCCTTTTAACATTAAGGAGGTATCAGCAGAACTTTCTTTGTACAATGCAAATGACACTGTGTACTCTGTGGGATTGAATTAGAAGGTACATTGAATTACAATTAACTCAGGCCTCATCTTAACAGCTGAGTAATTAGATCAATCTAATCTTCTGAATTTTACTGCTTGTTTTATTATGACCTATAATCAGTTGAAATTATAACAGGAAGTCTAAAAGTCTTATACAAAGGCAACATGCTGCAAAGGAAAGAACATTTCCTAACTCTCAGTAGCTGGATGATTCAAGGCAAGTTACTTAACTACTTTGCACCTCAGTTTCCAAATCTATTAATATAAAATAGGAAGACCACTGTCCCACAATTACCAAGGTATACTGTTTAGAAATGCCCAAGAACTAGAAAAAAGAGGGATTCCTCAAGGGATATGAGAAAATTACCTGAGCAACATCTAAAAGGAAAGGTCTCTGACACACACTCTGGCCTCAGTACCCCCAAGAACTCAGTGAAGGTCATGCCCATGCAACCTGTCACCTTTGCTGGAGGAAGCCTGAGGTAAGTCCAGATTCCTCCTCCTCCCTCACTCCCTAAGTCCAACATCAAGTCCTAACTTATTCATTCATATTCCACAAATATTGAATGCCTACTGAAAGCTAGACACTGTTCTCTCTAAAAATGTCTCAAACATGTCCCCACCTCTGCATCTCAAATACAGCTCCTAGTTCAGGTCTCTTGACTGAAGTATCAACACTCTCCTAACTGGTCTTCTCCTTTTTCCCTCTCTCTCCAATCCATCCATCTCATTACATCCAGAGAGATCTTTCAAAAATGCCAACCTATCCATCATGCCTAAAAGTCTCTGGCAGCTTCCCACCACCAAGGATAAAGTTCCAAACTTCTTATCACAGCATAAAGACCAGCCAAGTCCAGCTCTTGCACATTTAGATGTCCTATTTCTTCTCTTGCCACGCCGGGTCTGGCATTTTACACTTCAACAACAACATACAGCTGTTCTAACATTTGATTATTCTATTTTCATGTCATTGTTCAGGCTCTTTTCAATGCTCAGATAGTCCTTCTCTTGTTCACTTCACCTCCTTCTCCAAAATGTCTTCCTTGACCTTCTCCCCTTCAGACTAGATTAGGTGTTCCTTCTGGTTATTATTCCCTTAACTAGTTTTTCTTATATTCCTTATCAAATTACATTTCCAGTTTTCTCAAATATTGCTGGGCATGGTGCCTCACACCTGTAATCCCAGTACTTTGGGAGGTAGAGGAAGGAGAATTGCTTGAGCCCAGGAATTTAAGACCAATCTGGGCAACATAGCAAGACCTCATCTCTACCAAAAATTAAAAAAAAAAATAGCCAGGCACAGCAGTGCGCATCTGTATTCCCAGCTACTTGGGAAGTTGAAGTGGGAGGATCACTTGAACCCAGGAGATCGAGGCTGCAGTGAGCTATGATCATCACACCACTGCATTCCAGCCTGGGCAACAGAGTGTAAGACCCTGTCTCAAAAAAAAAAAAAAAAAAAAATTCACCCCCCAATTTGTTAGGTCTAGTATCAGTCCAGTGATGGCCCCCTACGTTGTGGTTCTCTGTGTTCTTATATGTCCCACATGGGAGTTTCTGCTTGGGCTCTCACTGCCCAAACCTATTTTTTTTTTTCAGTCTTTCTCCCTTTCTAATCCCTCTCTAATCACCAAGCCTTGTGGCTGATAAGACCCCTTGGCCTGGGTCTATCCAAGATAGACCCATCAGCTAACTACCATTTCCCTACTGATTCAACTTCCACTGCAGAAAAAGCTGCATGGACTTCAGATTCAGAGACAGACTCAAATCCTAATTTTGTCATTTCAAACTATAAATTCAGGCAAGTTACTTCCACTCACTGAGCTTTAGCTATCTCTTATATAAAACGGGATAATAATCACTTTGCAGAGTTGAGATGATAATGCTAATAATAAAATCCAGTATTATTACTTATGTGTCAAGTTACTTTTTGTTTGTTTGTTTGTTTGTTTGAGACACAGTCTCGCTCTGTTGCCAGGGTGGAGTACAGTGATGTGGTCTTGGCTCACTGCAACCTCTGCCTCCTGGGTCCAACCAATTCTCCTGCGTTAGCCTCCCAAGTAGCTGGGACTACAGGTGCATGTCACCACGCCCAGCTAATTTTTGTATTTTTAGTAGAGACGGGGTTTCACCATGTTGGCCAGGATGGTCTTGATTTCTTGACCTTGTGATCCGCCCGCCTCAGCCTCCCAAAGTGCTGGGATTACAGGTGTGAGCCACCACGCCCAGCCCCATGTATCAAGTATTTATGCTAAGCGCTTCACATTAATCCCATCTAATCCTCACAACCCTTTCATGAGGTAGGTCCTACCATTACCTTTATTGTATAGATGAGAAACCAACTAGAGAAGCTAATTTACTTGCCTGGGTAATTGTGATAGACAATGGGCTCACTAACCCAATGATCATTCCCAACACCCTTTGCCCTTACCAAATGCTTTCACTACTGAGTCTGGAAAAGCTAAATACTCACTTTCCCAGCTTTCCTAGCACTTAGGAATAGCCACGTGGCCCAGTTCTGACCAATGAGATGTACACAGAAGTCTGCTGGGGATATTTGGGTCTTTGCTTTCCTAGGAGAAGAACAGACATTACTCGTGTTCCTCTATAACCCTTTTTTCCTACCTCCATCAGAGACATAATGACTAGAGCTACAGCAGCCATCTTAGAGCAGGAGGAAAAGGCCAAAGAATCATAGAGATATTGGTCTTGTACTCACTGACCTAATAAATCAATGTCACCTGCCACTGACCTTCAGACTTCTTTTTATGTAAGAAAAATATACCTCCTATTTACCTATTTATTTAAGCTCCTGTTTTGTTTTGTTTTTTTCTCTCTCTCTCTAACTCTATCTCTATCTTTCCTTTCTTTCTCTTTTTGAGATGGGGTCTTGCTGTGGTGCCCTGGCTAGAGTGCAGTGGCATGATCATGGCTCACTGCAGCCTTGACCTCTTGGGCTCAAGCAATCCTCCTGCCTTAGCCTCCTGAGTAGCTGGGACCACAGGTGTGCGCCACCTAATTTAAAAATTTTTTTTTGGAGAGCCAGGGTCTCTCTATGTTGCCCAGGCTGGTCTCCAACTCCTGGGCTCAAATGATCCTCTTGCCTCAGCCTCCCAAAGTGCTGGGATTACAGGCATGAGGCACCGCACCTGGCCTAAGCTACTGTTAATCAAGTCTTCCAGTAGCATATTCTGGCATTTATAACTGATGCATAGTGAGTGATAAAACAGCGGAGCTGAGATTCAAACACAGACAATTCTTAACTACTAAGCTACATGAAAAAAAAAATCTGGCACTGGATTTACTAGGGAATGGGTACTCAAATGATGAAAATAACTATAATAATATGAATCACTCGGCCTACCTTCTTAAGGCTCCAAGCTCCTCTGGAAACTCAGGATGGTTAGTAACCTAAATTACAACAGAACTACTTAGGATCAGGTCCCCTCTTTGGACACTGTGCCCAGCCCTCTTGTCTGCATTTCAATTCAGAGCTCCCAGCTGGGGATCCACACTAAGGCGGGAAGAGGGTAGGAAGGTTTGGAGTCAGGTCTTGACTCTTTGCCCATCCCCACCTATCTTATGGTACCACGAAGATTTCAGGCCTCCTGCCATGCAGGCATAAGGCAACAGAGTCCAATGAACTCAGCATAAACTTACAAATTGTGACAGCACTTGTGGTAACAGTGAAGGCCAAAGCTTCTCCTTGGTAGACAGAGACCTTTGGAGGTAACAAGAAGTATGGTTTTGTAGCTTAAACAAGACCAAGGACTACTGATTTTTCTGCATCTTCTCCTGCTGACAGCAGTAATAGCAAAAATCTGATTTAGACACTTAAATTCAAGTACCTTCCCCATCAGCTGAGCAATTTTCAAGTAATCACACTTTTGACCTTACTCAACATGAGTCCTTTTAAAGCCAATTTTAGGGGCCAATTATTTAGTTTTCCTAAAATGTGCAAGGGAAAAGAAAATTGTTGGCTATCCTGCTGGAAACTGGCTTGCATCCCTGTGTCCAGGGTTTAGGACCACCCAATCTGTCTTGAGAAGGTGCCAGCAGCCCCTCCTGTCATAGCTGACACATGTGTGACATTTGACACATAACCTGCTTCTAAAGCTGTTTTGAACTTGAAGGAATTATGACATTCATGATGGCAAGATTCCTAGACAAGCTCACAAAATTGGGAGAGAAGAGGAAGACTATGGAACATTTACTAAATGGGAGATAGGTCCATTAGAATCATCCAGAGAGCTTGTAAAAACACCGATTTTGCTGGGAACCACCTCTAGGGTTTCTGATTCTGTAAGTCTGAAGCTGAAGCCCAAGAATTAGCATTTCTAGTAGGTTTGTAGGCCCAGGGGTTACATTTAGAAAATCACTGCTATAAAGTATAAATCAATTATTAGTCACAGAGACTTTGGAAACTGACAATTGGGCACCTCCAGATGCTGGAAAAGTTTCTCCATCCGTAAGAAAAGGTTCACTGTATCAGGATATTCACCTAGCTTATGGCCTTTTTTCCCTCCCAAAAACAAAACGACCCCCCTTCTCCACTCCCCTCCCCCCAAATCTAAACAGCAATAGTGACAGGTTTCAACTGGTTTCTTTTTATGGACCAGACAGACCCTGAATGCTCAGAACATAGGGAAATGCCTGTGGGTTTTCACAAGGCAAAGCTGTCTCTTAAAAAAGATGCTTTGAGTTCAGAAGAGGAATTCTCCTAGAAGTTCCAGACAATATACCCTGAAAGAAAGGACAAGTCTACAGTGGAGGTTCTCTAATCTCCCAAAGTATGCATATACTACTACTAGCTGCTACTAAGAAAAAAACTCTTAGACCAGCTTTTTCCACAACATACCTGTGCTTATTACCATAGTAAGAACCAGGAATGAATAGGTGCAAGGATGGAGACGAGTGTGTGCATGTGTGATATATATTAGGGGTTGGGAAGACAAACATAAACTAGATAATTCTGAGAACCCCTTCATGGCAGCTTAGGAGCTATCTAAATGGGTTACAGGTTGAGTTGAGATACTGATTCCTTAAGCTCTTAGGCTGTCTGGGAAGAAGGTGAGGCATAAGAGCTCCTGGGCAGCTTTGTCTATCTATCCAGAGTTCCCTATAAATAATGTAATTTTCTGTGTGAAAGCACTGGCTTAGAGCTAAATGTGAATTACTGTTTAGAGAAGACCCTCGGGACAAAAAGCCTATTCCAAACTCTCAGGTCAATTTGCCAGAGAGATTTATGGACCTCTGAAAAGGCTTCGTTATTAGAGGTTTGATCATTCAGTCCTTTATTCACTCAACTAACCAATATTAATTGAGAGTTCACTTTGTGTTAGGCACTTTGTGTTAGCACTGAGAACACAATGACTGCCTGCAATAGCAATGGGTATTACTAAAGATATAAACAATTATAAGACAGTCTACAGTCATATGCTGCATAATGACAGCATATATGAAGGTGATCCCATAAGATTATAATACTGCATTTTTACTGTACCTTTTCTATGTTTAGATACACAAACAACCATTGTGTTACAATTGCCTACATTATTCAGTGCAGTAACATGCTGTACAGATTTGTAGCCTAGGCTATACCACATAGCCAAGGTGTGTAAGTAGGCTGTACCATCTACGTCTGTGTAAGTACACTCCATTATATTTGCACAACAACAAAACTGCCTAATTGTTGCATTTCTCAAAATGTATCCCCCTTGTTAAATAGTCCATGAGTGTAAGTTAACTATGTAGCTTAGTGGTTAAGAGCATGAAACATCCGAACTTAGGCTTGATTCTGGCTTCTCTACTTCCTGGCTCTGTGACAGAAACAAGTCCTCTCATCTTTCTTGATTTGTGTCTACACCTATTAAAACTTGGATAATACAGATTAAGTAAGAGAAACCTTGCAGCACAGCTGCCACCACTGCCACCACCTTGAGTCAGGAGAACCAAGCCCAGGCTGGGGTGTTGGAAGTCTGGGGATTCCAGCCTCAGTCACTATGGACAGTTTTTTCTTCATCTGTAGCTCTCTGGCCACACCCACTCCTTTACATTCAAGGTAGAGGAAGAAGATAATATGAAGCATGTGCTGGCATTAATTATGCTCTGCTTCACCAAGGGAGCTAACAATGAGTGTAATGTGATAGAAGGTGTAACCTGGAACTGTGACCACCAGGAGATTACAGTCCCTCTGGCAAACCTCAAGTTATCCTGTCAACCCAAGTTACAATACGCAATGATGTTTCTGAGGAAGAGGAGGGAGCTGAGTTGTGCCCTGTCCTTCCTGCCAAAAAGCAGTGGGGATAAGCCCTAACCCTCACTGTTTAGCTAGCTGCCTGCTACATGTGCCATATACCATCTTCATGGACAAGACTGAAGAATTCTGAATGTCTCTTCTCTGATGAAAAGGAGAGTCTGGGGTGAGGGGGTGAGTGGGAGGCACTTGGGCCAGTGCTAGAAGAGAAGGAGGCCTGTTCTCCATAGGACCCTGGTGTTCTGGTCCTATACCATGTCTAGGGCTTACCTTTTCTCTAGGGGTGGGAAGCACTCTGAACTTCTATCCTGACCCTCTCTCTCCATCTACCTATGAAGATTGGAGGTCAGTATCCAAAGCTCAGGACTACACATTTTTAACCAGTTTACATTTTTGGATGAAAGTTGAAATAAAATGGTGTGGAATGTTTTGCAAAAAAAAAATAATAATAATAAGTAAAATAATGACATAATTCTCAAACTGGGTACAGGAACTCCTATGGTTACTCAACACTATGCTGCAGGTTACAAAAAAAAAAGTACTGAATAAATAGGCGCACCTTCCTGGGGTGTTAATTTTACCAGACGGTAAATAATTTGAAGTGTTTGTTTTATAGAAAACAAGTATGACTACATAATGGTGCCTTAAGGCAAAATCCTTATGAATTCTGAAGATAAGACATAGACTTCAAATACATTTTAACCTTGGAGTGGCTGCTGTGGGCTATTCACTCCTGCATCAATCCAGAGATGAATTCATTCTCCTCTGATAGCAGGTACACTTTGGTAGAAAAGTTTCCAAAACACGGTGTATGGCCCATAAGGGCCCTCAGCAAACAGCAACCATTACTGTTATTCATAGATAGCTGTTATAATAAACCCATCCACTAGAGGAACAAAATGGGTGGGGAAAGGGGTCCTCTCTACCCAGACACCATTTTTTTCCCAAGCTCTGGACCTATCTGGTTCCTGACCAGAATCTCTGTGATTCCATGGGAAGTAGAACTCTGGGAAGCTGGCCAATTCTGACCCTAAATGCCAAGGAGTTCTCTTCGAAAAAGAGATCAGCACTAGTAAAGTTACTAATCTCAACAGCCTCCTGGGGACCCAGCCCGCAAGCAGTTAACCCTCAAGATAAGAAAAGTCAGTACAATGATCAATGCGGCTCTACCCATGACTAGATCTGTCACATTTAAAAGGTTCTTCCAGATCAATTATCTCCTTAAAGTCTCACGAATAAGTGACAGATAGGGTAGATACTATTATTCCTACCTTTATAGGAGAGGAAACTGAGGCCATTGGAAGTAAAGGAACTTATTAAAGTTTTTAGAGGCAGAGCCAGGAGTCAGACTCGGGTCTTCAGACTTCAAGAACAGGCTCTCCCCACTACATTACGCAACAGAAACCATTCCAATGAGAATCTATGCAGCACAGCCAAAAGCTCTTCCAGTCCTGTGTCAACATCCCACTGATTTTCAGCTGTATTCGAGGCCACAAAAATTATATCACCATTGATTAAGGACCATACATAACTAATAGAAAGCTAAATTAAATTGCATGAGCTTAATTAGCAGGGAAAGGGAAGTCACTCACTGGTGGTAGCTATGGCTATACCTGACCTTTCATAGGATACTTATGGACAGGCTGGCTTTCATGGTCTATTGAGCTTGCCCAAGAATGTCAGAAGCTCCAGAGAAAGAAGCCCTGGACTGTCACTGTAGGAGAGGGCGCTGAGTAAGGGTACTGAGCTCACCTCATCTTAATCTGTTTCTGAACCCTTCATTAACACCAGGGATTCCAAGAAGGAACACAGAAAAATTGCATTTACAAGAAAATGCAAAAGAAATAGACTAAGGGAAGGAGTCAGCCAGCTGATTTATAATAAAAGAGATCTAACAAAAATTTAAAGATTAATACCCAGATTGTTAGAGCTAACGGAAACTACTAAACAACTCACATAAGCCCCTCATAGCCTAGATGGGAAAGTGAAGGCAAGGGAAATGGGTGGAACTTGTCAAGTGTCTCCTAGTTGTTAGTAGCAGAATCAGAATTACAACTTAGTAACTCCTCTCCTCTCATGCTTCAAGATTCACGCTTGCCTTCTCAGAAGGCTTTCCTGACACCAACCTCTTGATAGGGATAGGGGGCAGAGAAATTCTTAGCAGAAAAGAGCAGGCCCCTGGCGAAACCCCACCCTCAAGCCAAAAAGCCTGAAACCGCGGCCCAAAGTGAGAACTTATATCTCTGTTTTCCTGCTCAAATGTTGCCTTTTCCTAAACCACCCATGGTCCCACCCCATCCTGTGCCTATAAAAACTCCAGATTCAGCTGGTAGACGGGACTATGGCTGGACATTGGAGAGAAGTGGCTTGACTTCAGAGGTACAGCTTGACAGCAAAACTTCGAAGAATCTGGCTGGAGACAGCTGGACTTCAGGGGAAGATTACCTACCCAACCCGTCCCCTTTTCAGCCCCTCTTCCCACTGAGAGCCACTTTCATCGGCAATAAAATCTCCTGCATTTACCACCCTTCAATTCGTTTAGGCTACCTCATTTTTCCTGGATGCCAGACAAGAGCTTGGGAGCCACGAGTGTGGATACAAAAAGGCTGGCACACTGGCCCTTTGCACTCGCTGGTGGAAGGCAGCCTCACACAAAAAGGCAAAGAGCCCACTGGGCTGTTAACACTTAAGCTGTTCATGGACAGCAGAGCTAAAAGAGCACTGTAACACGCCCTCTGGGGCTTCAGTAGTCACAGGCACCCCCACCTGGACACTGCCTTGGGGCCCGCACAGAGTTCACTGATGCCAGAGCCCAAAAGTGGCCGGCTGGATCCTGTACTCACTTGCCTACTGCTCCCTTCCACAAAGGGTTGAGCATGGCGAGCTGAGTAAGCAGAGTTTGTTCCTGCCAGCGCCCAAAAGCACTTGCTCTAGTTCCTGCACTGGTTCGCTCACACGCTCTGTCCCACAAGGGGTAGACAAGGGTGGACTGAGTAAATGAGGCACCCCTGTCGCAAGTCCAGCAAAGGGGTCAAGAAAATATCCTGATTCGCTCTGACAGTGTTGTGGCCCTCCTCTATATACACCATGCTTCCACAGCAATTTGTACATTTATTTATTATGTTAGGCTTTTGGAATACAGTGGCACATCCCTCTGAGATAGTATTTGTCTCAGTGTATTCTGTCTTCTTATACTTCTGTTTTTCCATTTCTTACAGATCTGTGCTGGTTAAGATGGAGAGTCTATGGAGGTACCATAAACAAAGAACACACAATCACTGTGTGTATGAGTCTTTATAAAACTGGTAATCTTGCAATTTAAAGAACAGAGTATATAACAAAATTGGAAGGTCAGAATTCATCCAGTCCAGTCATTTAGGCCCCCTCCTATGGCAGTAGAATCCTTCTCACCTGGATGCCTAATCTATAAAATAGGCAGGAGCAGATCTCTACTGGAGGGGAAGAGAGCACCTATGTGGCTTACTGCTTTCTCTTTTAACAGCTCCTAGGCATCCTGAGGTGCAATCTCCCAATTTTCTGAATAAGGAAACAGCTAAAATAAAGGAACTTTTTACTTCTAGGCTCTCCCTTCATTCAGCATGAACAAAGAAAAAAGTAGGGCCTTTAGAGCCAGGCAAACTGTAAGGGAATCTTCTATGACCTTGGAAAAGTCATTTGACCTCTCTGCATCAGTTTTTTAACTGATCAATTTTTTAACATCTATCTTCTAGGGATGTCATGAGGATTAAATGAAATAAAATATATAAAGCATGGATGCTTCAAAGATTGGCTTACCATAGAAAAGATGTGATCACCAGCACCCCTGGAGGGTGGCAAGGCAGGTTTAAAATACCTTGATGCAAAACCTTAAATAAAATCTCTCCAGACATAAGCAGCCACCTAAATGTTAATTCAAAACTCTCAGCATGGTAATGAGTAAAGATTTTTCCCCCTACCAGGGCAGAAGACAGGTAAGAAAGTGAGCTATAGGACAATTTTCCACCATTTTATAGAAATTTACCAATGACTGAATATACTGCTATGTCTTGAGCTAATTGTGAGAACCCATCACTGTGAACAGATACATGGAAAGCATGTCTCTCACTGTCATGCAGGGTGATGACCATTCTTTATTTGCAAAGAATACTGTGATATAGCAAGACTTTAGCCAGAAAAAGAAAAAAAAAATCCTTACTCGATACTTTCTTTTATGCAATGCTAACAAACTACATGACACTGACAGTTTTTCATTGTTATTGTTTTAAGGATACCTACATTGGGAGCTCTTTTGCTATTCTGCCTTTGTCCATAGGAATCCTCCACATAAACAACTACTGAGCCAGCAGAAACTATCTGAAGTAACTATTTTGGAATTCCAGAGTCTAATCAGAACACTTGCAGTATGCAGAGGGAGAGTTTAATGAAGAGGCTGGTAAAATTTTCAGAGAATTTCAGCCTTTTGCCCAGTGGCTACCATCCTCCAAGTCCCTGGTGCAGATTGCTGGAGCTAGATGGGCAGTAAGGACCTTGGCCTCCAAATATGGGGGTTATGTGTTCTGATTGTTAGTTTTGATCACTGAGAGGCCAGCACAGAGGCTGACAGCCATGGTTTCAACCTCTACTGGCCAAAGCAGATTCCAAGGCATTTACAAGAACAGATGAATGAATAAATAAATATTGTATGATTCTACTTATATGAAATATCTAGAATAGGCAAATTCATAGAAACAGAAAGAGCCAAGTACAATGGCTCATTCCTATAATCCTAGTGACTTGGGAGGCTGAGGTGAAATGATTGCCCAAAGCCAGAAGTTTGAGATCAGCCTAGGTAACAGAGAGAGATCCCTTCTTTAATTTTTTTTTTTTAAATTAGCCAGGCACAGTGATGTACACCTGTAGTTCCAGTTACTTGGGAGGCTGAGACTGGAGGATCCCTTGAGCCAAGGGACTTCAAGGCTGTAGTGAGCTATGATCGCACCACTGCACTCCAACCTGTGGGACAGAGTGAAACTCCATCTCGTTTAAAAAAAAAAAAGAAACAGGAAGAAATTTAGGGGTTACCAGGGCTAGAGGCAGGGCAAAAGATGAGTAAAAGAAGAGTTATTGTTTAATGGTTACAGAATTTCTGTTGATGAAAAAGTTCTGGAAATAGTGGGGATATTTAAACAACATTGTGAATGTACCTAATGCCACTCAATTATACACTTAAAAATGGTTAAAATTGGCCAGGTGCAGTGGCTCATGCCTGTAATCTCAGCACTTTGGGAGGCCGAAGTAAGAGGATCAACTTGAGCCCAAGAGCTGGAGGCTGCAGTGAGCTATGATTGTGCTACGGTACTCTAGCCTGGGTGACAAAAAAAAAAAAAAAAAAAAAAAAAAAGAAAAGAAAAGAAAGAAAAGAAAAAAAAGGCTAAAATGGTAAATTTTGTATTACATATACTTTAGCATAATAAACTTTTCATAAGTATACCCATATTTCACATAAGCTGGCTTTTATAAGCTATATGACCTTGAGAAACTTACTTAACTTAGCTGAACCTTATTCCCTCATATGTAAAATAATAATAGCTCTCCCTTGAAGGATTATCATAAAAATTGGGGACTACGTTTGTAAAGTGCTTGGCACTCCACTGACAGTAATTAGTGGTAGTTATTACTATAATAACAGCAACAATAATATAATTTGTATAAACTAATAATAATTTAATTCAACATATATTTAATGAACTAACTGCCTGCTCTGTTGTGGGCACAAGAAGTACATAATTTCTGCCCTCAAGGAGCTCACAGTCTAGAAAAACATACAAATAAACAACTTTTTGTAGAGAACAGGAAGCCAAGGAGAATTTAGGAGCAGAAAAATAATAACCCAACAACAGCAATACTTCTTTGTTTGGGAGAAAGAGTTATTCTTCTTTACAGAGGTGGGAAATCATTTTGTAACCCAGGAAAGTAAATCAGTCACAAGCAAGGGTGTGTAGCTCAGTGGTAGAGTGGGTGCTTCGCATGTAAATCAGTCACAAGCAAACACATAGTTTAATGTGCATGATTCTTGCCCTGACAAGGTTTAATCCATCTGCTTTTAGCATCACACACAGTATCTGAGACAGATACAAAATCACTGCTTATATGGACTACAAAACCCAGAGAGGACTTGCCTGACACTTCAGTGGAGTGGAAAGAGCTTGGATTTCTGACTCTTTCCTCATCTGTAAAATAAGTGTTCTAATAGAAATTTCTTTCTTTCTTTTTTTTGATATGGAGTCTCGTTGCACTGTCGCCCAGGCTGGAGTGCAATGGTGCGATCTCGGCTCACTGCAACCTCCGCCTCCCGGATTGAAGTGATTCTCCTGCCTCAGACTCCCGAGTAGCTGGGATTACAGGTGCCTGCTACCACGCCCGGCTAATTTTTTGTACTTTTAGTAGAGATGGGGTTTCACTATGTTGGCCAGGCTGGTCTCAAACTCCTGACCTCATGATCCGCCCGCCTTGGCCTCCCAAAGTGATGGGATTACAGGCGTGAGCCACTGCACCCAGCCTCTAATAGAAATTTCTACCTCACAGTGCTTGTTGTAAGGATTAAATGAGATCACAAATCGTAACTTTAAGTTGTAAAGTATTGTGCTTCTTATGTATTATTATATGCGGTTTTGTGAGCCTTTGTTCTCACATGCTTCAGAGAAAATTTGTCCTGGAAAGTCAAACTTTGTTTTTGTTTTGTTTTGTTTTTATAGACGGGGTCTTGCTCTGTCACCCAGGCTGGAGTGCAGTGGCGTAATCATGGCTCACTGCAGCCTCAACCTCCTGGGCTCAAGCAACCCTCCCACCTCAGCCTCCTGAGTAGCTGGGACAACAGGCATGTGCCACCATGTCCAGCCAATTTTTAAATTTTTTTTTGTAGAAATGAGGTCTCACCCATCCTGGCTAACACAGTGAAACCCCGTCTCTACTGAAAATACAAAAAAATTAGCCGGGCGTGGTGGCATGCGCCTATAGTCTCAGCTACTCGGGAGGCTGAGGCAGGAGAATGGCGTGAACCTGGGAGGCGGAGCTTGCAGTGAGCCGAGATTGCACCACTGCACTCCAGCCTGGGCGACAGAGCAAGACTCTGAGTCAAAAAAAGAAAAAAAAAAGGAAAAAGAAAAAAAAAAGAAATGAGGTCACACTATGTTGCACAGGCTGGTCACATTTTGTTTTTAAAAGTCAAATGTCCTGAGCAAAGCAGCTGCCACTCAAAATGAGCTAGCCTAAGGCTGACTACATAGGTAATATAAGAGGTTTGAAGACAACTCTTCATTGCTAAATAGCTCAAAGGAATTGTCAAATTTCAACTATCATTGTTCTAAAAAAGAATAATTGCTGTAAACCAAGTAGGCAAGGAAAGAGGGTCTCTTGTTTTCTCTGAGGGTCTCTGCTCAGTCTCCATAAGACTCAAAAACAGAAAAGTCTCCCTGTTCCATCTGGTCTATCCAGAGGGGTTGACCAGTCACAACAGATAATCCAAATGAATTTTTTTTTTTTTTTTTTTTTTTGAGACGGAGTCTCTGTTGCCCAGGCTGGAGTGCAGTGGCACAATCTTGACTCACTGCAAGCTCCGCCTCCCGGGTTCACACCATTCTCCTGCCTCACCCTCCTGAGTAACTGGGAGTACAGGCGCCCACCACCATGCCTGGCTAATTTTTTGTATTTTTAGTAGAGACGGGGTTTCACCGTGGTAACCAGGATGGTCTCGATCTCCCGACCTCGTGATCCGCCCACCTCGGCCTCCCAAAGTGCTGGGATTACAGGCGTGAGCCACCGCACCCGGCCTCCAAATGAAATTTTTATTCACCTACAAAGCAGAAAAAAATCTCTCCCGCACTGGCTACCTGTCCCAGACTCTCCTTGCCATATCAGAGGGCTACTCATTAGCAAGGATAGACAAATCACAGGAGTCTTTTCCTCAAACCCATCTCATACTTCTCTGCTGTAACCTCCTTCATTCATTAGAGTCTCATCTCCTTCCCTTTATTTCTTTCTTCTCCCCCCTTTCTTCCTTCAAAATTTACTGAGAGCCAACTCTGTACCAGTCACTGTGCTAGGTACTGGGGATATAATGATGATGAATAATAAACAAAGGCTACTAATGCTTTTTTTTTTTTTTTTTTTTTTGAGACAAAGTCTCACTCTATTGCCCAGGCTGGAGTATAGTGGCACAATCTCAGCTCACTGCAACCTCTGCTTCCTGAGTTCAAGCGATTCTCCTGCCTCAGCCTCCCCAGTAGCTAGGACTACAGGAATGTGCCACCATGCCTGGCTAATTTTTGTATTTTTAGTAGAGACGGGGTTTCACCATGTTGGCCAGGCTGGTCTCGAACTCCTGACTTCAGGTAATCCACCCACCTCGGCCTTCCAAAGTGCTGGGATTACAGGCGTGAGCCACTGTGCCCAGCCCCTCAAAGCACTTTTGAAGTAAGCAGACACTATTATCCCTACTTTATAGAAGAAACTCAGAGAGGTGGGAAATGACCGAAGATAAGAGAGTTACCTTGTTTAAAGAAATCTAACTAAGTGTGTTGGAAATTAAAAAGCAGCTATAAGGTGAGCAGAAAGAGAACTAGATTGGCTGCCAGAGGTCTGGGTTCTACTTCCAGGTTTGACATCTATCTGTCCATCCATTTGTTGAAAAACTAGTCAATATTCATGGCATGCAGGGGCCTAGCTGGGTATTAGAGATACAGGAGTAAATCAGATACTGAATTCATTGTCAATCTTTTTTTTTTAAGACAAGGTCTCCACTCTTGTCACCCAGGCTGGGGTGCAATGGTACAAGCATGGCTCACTGAAGCCTTGACTTCCTGGGCTCAAGTGACCCTCCCAACTCAGCCTCCAGAGTAGCTGGAACTACAGGCAGGTGCCACCACACCCAGCTAATTTTTACATTTTTTTATAGAGATGAGGTCTCGCCATGTTGCTCAGGCTGGTCTCAAACTCCTGGCCTCAAGAGATCCTCCCCCATCAGCCTCTTAAAGTGCTGGGATTACAGGTATGAGCCACGGCACATGGCCCACTGTGAATCTTAAGTGCTTTCCTTAGGCACTTATTAGACCTCAGGTTTCTCATCTAAGAACAGGGTTGGATTTGATGGTCTCTAATCATCTTATAATTCTAAATAAAAACATAATACCAGCCACCAGATGGACTGAGAATATAGATAAATAGGATGAGCAGGAGATGGGCTGGAGATACCTGAATGGTAAGGTCATAAAAACTTTCTATTGCAAGCTAAGAAGTTTGGACTTTATCCAAAGGACAGTGAAGAGTCATTGAAGGGTTTTAAGCATTGGAGTGATGTCAAATTTTCAAGAGAGAAAAACGATTATGGCTATGTTATGTAAAGAACAGACTGGGGACAGGGGTATATGAAAGGAGTTAGGAAGTCCAGTTAAGAGGCAACTTAATCCCAGAAAGAGTAATAATGACCTGAATGATAACAGTGGAAAGATAGGGAAGAAAAGTCTAATCTAAGAAAGGTAAAGGAGGTTTTTTAAAAATAAAAAGAACATTTCATATCCATTATGATGGCTATTATTTAAAGAGAGAGAGAGAGAGAAAACAAACATTGGCGAAGCTGTGCAGAAACTGAAACTTTTATAAACCACAAGGGAGTATGTAAAATGCTGCAGCCACTAGGAAAACAGTATGGCAGTTCCTCAAAAAATTAAAAATAGAATTACTGTATGACCCAGCAATTCCACTTCTGGATATATACCCAAAAGAATTGAAAGCAAGGTCTTCAAGAGATATTTGTACATCCATGTTCATAGCAGCATTATTTACAATAGACCAAAAGCAGAAGCAACCCAAGTGTCCACATACCACTGCATGCGGCATATACATAAAACAGAATATTATTATTCAGCCTAAAAAGGAAGGAAATCCTGACACACGGATGAAACCTGAGGTCATTAGGCTGAGTGAAATAAGCCAGTCACACAAGGACAAATACTGTATGATTTCATTTATATGAGCATCTAGACTAGTCAAATTCATAAAGATAATAAGTAGGTTGGTGATTGCCAGGAGCTGGGGGGGAGGGTGAAATGAAGAGTTATTGTTTAATGGATATTGAGTGTCAGTTTTGCAAGACGAAAGGAGTTCTGTGAATCAATAGTGACGACAGTTGCAAAACAATATGAATGTACTTAATGCCACTAAATAGTACACACAAAAATGGTTAAGATGGCTGAGAGCGGTGGCTCATACCTGTAGTCCCAGCACTTTGTGAGGCCAAGGCAAGTGGTTCACCTGAGGTCAGGAGCTCCAGACCAGCCTGGCCAACACGGTGAAACCCCGTCTCTACCAAAAATACAAAAAGTAGCCAGGCATAGTGGTACGTGCCAGCTAAGAAGGCTGAGGCAGGAGAATTGCTTGAACCTGGGAGGCGGAGGTTGCAGTGAGCCAAGATCGCACCACTGCAATCTCTGGGCTATAGAGAGAGACTCCAAGTCAGAAGAAAAGAGAAGAGAAGAGAGGAGAGGAGAAGAGAAGAGAAGAGAGGAGAGGAGAAGAGAAGAGAAAAGAGAAGAGAAGAGGTTAAGATAGCAAATTTTAAAAAAATTATTTATTTATTTTTTGAGAGACAGTCTCACTCTGTTGCCCAGGCTGGAGTGCGGTGGCATGATCTT
The DNA here is from genome assembly GCF_000001405.40 of Homo sapiens. Classification (NCBI taxonomy): domain Eukaryota; kingdom Metazoa; phylum Chordata; class Mammalia; order Primates; family Hominidae; genus Homo; species Homo sapiens. The sequence continues at coordinate 73,463,038 of NC_000011.10, forward strand.
GGCTCACTGCAACCTCCACCTCCCAGGTTCCAGCGATTCTCATGCCTCAGCCTCCAAAGTAGCTGGGATTACAGGTGTGCGCCACCACATCTGGTTATTTTTTGTATTTTTAGTAGAGACGGGGTTTTGCTTTGTTGCCCAGGCTGGTCTGGAACTCTTGGTCAAGTGATCCACCTGCATCAGTCCCCCAAAGTGCTGTCATTATAGGTGTGAGCCACCGCGCCCAGCCAAGATAGTACATGTGTTTTACTGCAATCTTTTTTAAAAAGGCAGGACTTAATAACTGGCTTTAGAAGGCAAAAGAGGCAAGAGTATCAAGGATGATGTTTTCTGATTTTAGGAATAGGCAGATAGTGGTATTAATCACAAAATGATAAAAAATGGGTTACAGGGGAATGATAAGATAATGAGCTCAGTTTTAGACATAATAAGTCTGAGCAAAGCATGAGACATTCATGGAGGAGATGTTCAGGAGACGGCTGGATAAACTAGTCTGAAGCTCAGAAGAATGGTTTGCCACAGCCCTAGAGTTTATGAATCATCAGCCTATAGACAGCAGCTGAGGCTAAGGGAGAAACGGAGCCCTTGTGAAACATCAACTTTTAATGGATGAGCAGGGGAAGAAAATTCTGAAAGGAGACAAATTCAGGAACAGCTGGAGAAGAAGAAAGGGAAAACAAACAAAAATAAACAATTATGGTCAATGAAAATTATGGAGGCAATGAAAGCTTGCTTCAAGAAAGGGGTCAGGTGTCAAATGATATAGAAGAGTCAAATTAGGATAAAGGCTAAAAAGGGTCCACAAGGAGATTATATTCATGAGAACAGTTAATAAGAATTCTCTTTAGATGCTCTTCTTCAACCATAGGTGAAAAAGTAATTAAGTGACCTTGGAGTTCTCTCCTGAGGAGAGGAGATCAGTTTGAACATCAAAGGGGGAGTTGTGAGAACAGTTTCAGAAATTAAAATCCATTTTCCAGGCTCATCTGAGATCCTAATCACTGTACCGTCCAAGACATAGCCATGTATGCTAGAGCCCTAAAAGCACCTACTTTGTAACTGGGGTTAGTTTGGCCTCTGCTATACAGTGTGACCTTAGAGAAGCTTAATTTCATCTGGAAAATAAAAACTATCTTCCAGAATTGTTATTAAAAAAAAAAAAAACACATACGAAGGGAAAAATCCCACAAAAGTTCTTTGCAAAGAATAAACAAAGTACAAATGTCAGTTAATCAAAACCTCCAACAGGTGATCCTTACAAAGTTTTAAGCAAAAACAGCAATCTGGGGGTGGGGGGGAAAACAAACACTGGTTTAAAAAAAAAAAAAAAGATGGTAGTCTTTGAACAGATTAATTTCCTAGCCTTCTAACCTTGAGAGTTGTATCTTTTGTTACTGTATTTGTAGCATTTAGACCTATGTTTTCTACTGGCTGAAGCCAGGATATTCATTAAAGGTCAACACAGGAGGAGTCAGAAAGAGCTCTTGAACTGGAGTGGGCTAGCAGAGGAATGTGAAGTGGCCACAACGGAATGAAGAGAAGGGAGAACACTTGTTATTCTGTGGTAGAGAGACAATGAATACACAGACCCAGATGGGGAGACATGGGTTCCAGACTCAACCCCAACACTTTCTTCAAAACACTTCTTATACTCCATCTTTTCACCTATAAAATGATGGATTCATTTAAGGGCTTCATCTGTTCTCCCGTTTTAGAATTATTTTCTAATTGTGTTTTGGAAACTTCATCACAAGTCAGTGGCTAGCCCTGTTACATTTATTACTCTCAGCTGTCGTGTGAGGAAGGCATTCCTAACCCTGTTTTATCATTTTTTTTTTTTAAAACAAATGATAGATTGAGGCCCAGAAAGCTTGATAACTTATCTGATGTCATATAGCTCTTAAGTGGCAGAATAGGGTCTGTAATCTAAGTCACTAACTGTATGTCCCATGCTCTTTTCCCTGTAGGTGTATACTCATTGCTATGCATTACAACAACCATTAATTGAGTGTCCACTATGAGCCAGGCACGACACGAGAAGCTTTATAAACATTTTCACCGACTACAAACCAACCATCTGTATAGGTCATTATTCCATTTTACAGTCAAGGAAACTGAGATGCAGAAAGATTACTCAACCAAAGTTCCATAGCTAATTAGTGACAGAGACCAGATTTCAGCAGAGATCTGACACACTCCAGAACACATACTAGATAGACCCCTGGGTGATGCTTGGACACTGACACAATCAGAACATTTTAGAAAAGAAAAGATGAGAAGAATGTTGAGGTCTTGACTACACTCCAAAATTCTAACAGAAAAACCTTTATGAAGCTTTTGGAAAAAGAAATGCCCTGGTCTATAAACAGCCCACTGTCATGGTGAATCTAGGTAAAGGGTATTCAAGTGTTCACTGCACTCATTATCTGTCCTAGTCAGCTTGAGCTGTCATAACAAAATACCAGACTGGGTGGCTTAAACAACAGACATTTATTTCTCATAGCTCTGGAGGGTAGAAGTCCAAGATTAGGGTGCCAGCATGGTCATGCTGTGTTGTTACACAGCAGAAAGAGCTCTGGTGTCTCTTCTTCTAAGGGAACTAATTCCATCATGAAGGTTCAATCCTCATGACCTCATCTAAACCTACAACGGTTCAATCTCCAATTACCATCCCATTGGGGATTAAGGGTTTCAACATACAGATTTTGGAGGGACACAAACATTCAGTTCATAGTATATAGTCTATGCTTAAACATTTGAAAGTATATGGCATATTACATTCTCTAAATTCACTCTGCCAAAATATATAAGGAACTAGTTATAACCACATTATAGATTGCTGCAAGTGTAAAAATAGGTATTTTCTGTAAAATACTGAGCTCAGGTTTTGTCACACAGTAAGTACTCGGTAAAGGGGCTTTAAAAGGGAGAGAGAGAGAGAGAGAGAGAAAGAACACTGTCAATTGGCTAGAAGACAGCTGCTTACTGGAATACTGCACCACAAAACTATATTTTATTTCCCATCTTCAGACTTCAAGAGAATTTCAAACCAGGAGTGTTTCCAACTCCTCTGTTCCCTGCAGCCACCATCCCATTTCCTCTGAAGCAGATGACAGTACAATGGACTTGACCCCCTGTACTTTTGCCCTCCTGAGGCTACCCCAAAATGCTGGCCAGGAACAGGATTCTAGCTCCTCAAAGGGAAGCTTTCCTAGCCCTAGAAATGGAAAAGACAATCCTCATCTTTAGTTTATCATGGGGAAGAGAGAAAGCAGCACATATTTTAAGACAGATTAGCTTACTGTAACAGAAAGCACATATACTTTGAAACCACAAAGAACTGAGTTCAAATATTTTCTCATCCCTTAGAAGCTATATACATTAGTCAAGTCACATGACCTGAATTAAACTACCATAGTTTTTTTATCTATAAAAACTATAGCATTTATGATTAATGAAATTATAATTAATATATAGTACCTAGTATGTTCTTACCAAATGATAATAATTTTAACATAACCATATAAATGCTTACTGTAATGCAATATATTTGGCATTTGTTTATAAATTATCTTTACTTAGATCTTCCATCTCCAGTAATACAGAAGAAAAATAACCTGAAAATCTGCCTACTGCATAATACCTAGAAAAGCTGGTTATGAAGTATAACAAACATTGTATTACGTAGAGTTGAGATTTTAAGAAAGAAAAAGAAATCCCTATTACTCAAAAAATGAAGAGGAAACTAAAAATCAGGAAGTCTATGTAGTAAGCTGATATTGGGATGCTTTGGGGAGATTTTTTAGTCTAGGCACTCAAAGGGCTTGCTTTTTACAGCCACCAGGGGTAGGAGATAGGCTGTGGGCCCTGGAACAGCCAAGAGCTGCAACTCAAATTCCCCTACATAAAGTTGGGACCTTGGAGGAGTCATAGTGTCAGTTAAAAAAAGAAAAAAAAAATCCAAAAGTACAGAGATTCAACAGCCAAGGTTGGGTTAAAAAATAAAAGTCTCCCTACAAATTTGAAACTTTGGCCTGTATGAAGTCTGAATTTATACTACTTATGTGGAGTTTATACTATCTGTGTGGTCCTAGAATCTACAGCAGGGAATTAACTTAAAACAGTTCCAGGCTCATAATATTCCTTGGTGATTAATAGAGACAAAAAAAGATCCTCCTTTCCTCTAGAGGAGTACAAATTATCTTGTTTGATTCTCACAACTGTCCTATGAAATGGATAATATTTTGTCCCATTCCCAGAATTATCTAGTATGAAATAGATAATATTATCCCAGTTCATCACAGAAATTAAGTCTGGGGAGGTTAGGGCAAGTTGTCCAAAGTCACTCAGCTATTCTCTGACAGAGCTGGGATTTGAACCTGGTTGTTGTCCAGTCAGTCAAAACACATTACCGAGTCCTACTATGTGCCAAGCAGAGATAAAGTCTGTTCCCTTTCCAATTTTGGAAATTTGGAAAATTTGACAAAGTCAATTCCCCTTCCAGATTTACAATGTTTAAATCTTGATGCAAATCAATAGATAAATGCAACTGTTCTCTTCCTTCTCTAGTTTAGCAACTTAGTAAGAACGAAGGCAGCCAGGATCAAAGCAAATAGGAAACCAAAGCCCCACAGGGTTCCCTTGGGCTCCGTCTGCCAAAGCAGTTCAGTTCCCTCTGGCAGAGGAACTTAAGTTGCTGGAACACTCTGAACTGGAAAGGGGAAAAGCAACAAGCTCCATGAGCTAGTAGGGTATAGGGTACTGCCCCATGAGTCCTGGTTACTGGAAATTAATTTTGTTAGAATAAATATACAAATACAAATTCAAACAGAAAATATTTACTGTTAATTTAAGTAATAAGGACAATGAAACTGTTGTGATAAACACAAACATGGGAAATAGAAAGTTAGTGATAACAGTTACAGTTATATCAGGCTGAAACTCCAATATATTTCTGAATGTTAATTTGGTTGCATAGCATTGAGAAAATCCTGATTTAAAAACATAAGCAGATATAAATGGTAGCATTTTTTAAAAAAATTAACAGGCATTCTTAGAAGCTTAACACACTGATCATCTAACACGTATTCATGTTTTATAAAAATAGTTCTCAATATTTTAAAATAATCAAATCAAATGTTTGCAGACTCTCTAAAACACTCTCCTGGTATTATTGTAGAACAAAGTTGGGAAACAACCACACAACAGGTTCTCTGAGATCTTTCCGCTGGACCTCAGACATATCTTCTGCATGTTCCCAAACTTTCCCAAGACTTTTGGAGGTATACGTTAGGAGGAGGAGCAAGTTATTTGGTAATATCCTTAACCACCATTTCTCAAAATGAGAGCCATTCTCACACTACTCACCCGTGTAGGCCATGTTCTTAGGGTTGCCATAAGGAGCCCCAGGCTGCACGGGGCTGTAAACAGGGTTCATTGTGGAAGACTGAGGATCCTACAGAGAAAACAAAGAAAACAGCACTGATATTGATTGTTCATTCTTCCTGACATCAGCTTCTCCTCCATAATCTTCAGTTTTCCCTGAAAGGAAAGCATCAGGGTGTAGTGGAAAGAAGACTAAACAAAAAAGCCAATTTGCTTGTAGTTGGCCCTATGTTAAATACTTTCCCCATTTGACAGATGAAGATAGTAAGGAGCAAGGAAGTAATATAACTTGCCTAATGTCAACCTAGGCATTTTGGCTCTCAGCTCAGTGTTAGTCCCACTATCCCACAGACAGCTCTGGCACTAGAGTACTATGTGGCATTGGCCATGTCACTTCCCCTGTCTGGACTTCAATGTCCTGATATAAAATGAATTAGTTTAAGATCTCTGAGGTCCTTTCTAATTCCAATGTTGTTAGTCTAAGAGTTGGAAAAGGATAAGCTTTCTACGGTTCACTAGAGGAGCTTGGTGTCTGGTGACGAGCAAACAGACTGCTGGAAGGAAAAGCAGTGTCTCATCCGCCCCTTACACCTGCAGAGGACAAGATACCAGTTACCAGCAGCTTTAAAAACAGAAAAGGGAATTTGTTGCCACTGATAATTTTAATGCAAACAAGGAAATATGGCTAGGATTTCTCTCCAAATTTATTCAAGGGAAAGAAATAAACTTGGAAATTTGTGTGCAATAAGTATCACCTGCACAAGTGCTCTGTTAATTATCTTAATGAAGCACATTCTCCATTCTGATTAATGGAAAATCTGTCATTAAGCTCTATTAGCCAGCCAATTTGTCCCACCTTGTTTAGGGAGCCTTTCCTTACTATATAGCCTGACACATTTGAAAATGTGTCTCCAAATATATTATTTACACATCATAAAAATCAAACAATTCCTTCCTAACTAGGTTCACAAGATAGATGAGCAATTTTTTAGGTCATTAACTTCTCTTGTATCACTTCAAAATAGGAAACAAGTCAAATGTTGAAGGCAGGCAGTGAACAGCTGGCATGATGACAACTGCTCTGTGATTAGTCTGTCTAGGGTTCAAAAATGAGATGTGGAGAAAAGGTGGGCTAACAAGGAGAGGAAGCTGGGACCATCAGATAAGCAAAACGGAAAATGCCATTGGCCAATTTCAGAGGACAGAATGTCCTAAAACATACGTAATGTGTAGCCCTGGCAAACTACCCCAGGGCAACGAGCTAGATAAAATTACCATCAGCCAACAAACTGAAACTAGAACAACTTGAAGATGAAAGTTAAAGGAGTTATATATATATTTCAGTTAAACTTAAGGGAAAAAAATATTCTCACAGCCAGAGTTATCTAAAAATATACCCAAGTAACATACACTCTCTCTCTAAATAAAAGCACTCTCCTCGCAGAGTATTGAGACATTAATAATGAAAAGAGATCATAGATTTTTTGTTTTTGTTTTTGTTTTTTTTGAGACGGAGTCTCACTCTGTTGCCTAGCCTGGAGAGCAGTGGGGTGATCTTGGCTCACTGCAACCTCTGCCTCCTGGGTTCAAGCGATTCTCCAGCCTCAGCCTCCCGAGTAGCTGGGACTACAGGCACGTGCCACCATGCCTGGCTAATTTTTTGTATTTTTAGTAGACAGGGGTTTCACCGTGTTAGCCAGGATGGTCTCGAACTCCTGACCTCGTGATCCACCCACCTCAGCCTCCCAAAGTGCTGGGATTACAGTCGTGAGCCACCGCGCCTGGCCGATCATAGATGTTAAAATAAGTTGCAAACTGTCAAGTGACATGCAAATGTAAACAATGATGATGTGGCAATGTTGCTCATGTGACAACAACAACACAGAGACTACTTGTACTCCTTCCAGCTTTGGGTCTCTCTTCTACCCAACCAGTTCTCTGCGTGGTACATCAGGATGAGAAAGACTGATAAAGTGCTGCAGTGGTTTGAATGTTTCCCCCCAGAAAGCACGTGCTGGAAGCTTAATAACCATTTTAACAGTAATTAAGATGTGGGACTGTTAAAAGGTGATTAGGCCATGAGGGATCTGCCCTGATGAATGAGTTAATGCCATTATTACAGGAGTGGGTTTTATCATGGTGGGCGTGGGTTCCTCACAAAAGGATGCGTTTGGCCCCCTCTTGCTCTCTGTCACCCTCTTTTGCCCCTCTCTCTTCCACCATGGGATGACACAGCAAGAAGGCCCTTGACAGATGCTTGTACTCTGATATTGGACTTCCCAGCCTCCAAAACTATAAGCCAATACATTTCCATTCATTATAAATTACCCAGTCTGTGGTATTCTGCTATAGCAGCACAAAAAGGACTAAGACAAGTGCTAAGCAGTACAACTTACCTGTAAACATCTGAGCACTCTCCTACTGAGAAGACACTCTGTGTTGCTGATTGGACAAAGTACAAAATTGCTTTTTATAATCAAAGAAACTCATCAGCTTTGAAACTGGTCTCCTGCTGCTCCAAAATGAGGGCCACTGCCACAGGAGGAGATCATGCCTGGGGTAGATCATGCCTGGGGTAGCACTCCATGATAGCACTCCATCAATTCCAATCTCAATTAATGACTGACAGAAATGAGATCTGCCAGGGTTTCAAACTTTAGAATATGACAGCCACTTCTAGGGAGCTGCTCAAGGGTAGATGGGATTCCCAGCTTCTAAAGGAAGGTTGGCCTTTTATAACAAAATCTATACTGTAAATAGTTTCAGGGACAGGCTAAAAATGAGTAGGAAGATCATAAACTCTACAATCAGGCAGATTTAGGTTCAAATCCTGGATCTGCCACATACCATGATGGGATCACAGGGTAGTCCTTTAACTTCTGAGTCTCTGTTTCCTCTAACCTCAAAATGGGAAAAAAACAAAAAACATAATTTGTAAAAAAAAATTTTTTAATGACAGGTTCATTAAAGTATAATTTCCATATAGTAAAATTTTACCTCTTTTAGGTATATAGTTCTATGAGCCCCTGAAAAACGTATTCAGTTGTACAAACATCACCACAATCAAGATATAAAATATTTTCATTACCCCAAAAAGTTGTCATACATTTGTAGTTAATACCACCAGCCTTCTTCAAAAGCCTTATGAATAAAATCCAAACTCTTTCACAGAGTATACAAGATCCTTGATGCTCTATCTGGGATGGGGCTCAGAAATCTGTGTATTTATGTTCCTAAGGAGATTTTGTTGCCCAGTTTGAGGACCATGCCTTAGCCTTTCTTTCCCAAATGCCATTTCTCTCACATAGGCTGTCTAGAGGAATTGAGATACAGCAGAGAACAAGAACAACAAAAATTTCTGCTTACATGCTAGTTGGGAGGGGGAAGAAAGAGAGATTTTTTTTCAAGTGAAAGATATATCAGATGGCAATAAAAACTGTAAAGCAGGGGTTCCCAAGCCTGGGGCCATGGACCAGCACCAGTCCATTCCATGGCCTGCTAGGAACCAGGCAGCATAGCAGGAGGTGAGCAGCAGGCAAGCAAGCATTACCACCTGAGCTCACCTCCTGTCAGATCCGAGGAGGCGTTAAATTTTCATAGGAGTGTGAACCCTATTGTGAACTGCACATACGAAGGAATCTAGGTTGTGTGCTCCTTGTGAAAATCTAATGCCCCCCTCTCCCCGCCCCATCTCCACACATACCCCTGGTCCCTGGTGCCAAAAAGGTTGGGGACCGCTCCTGTAAAGAAATCCACTCAGGCTGCTTAGGGAGTGCTAAGGGCAGGTTGTTGCAATTTTAAATAAGATGATTCGAAAAAGTGTCATTGAGTGACATCTGAGCAAACACCTGAATAAGTTGAAGGAGCAAGCCATGGAGATCTCTGAGAAGAAACTGTCCAAGTAGAGGAAACAGCAAATACAAATGCCCCCAAAGTAGAAGCATTTTTGAGAAAGAGCTTAGAGGCCAGTTTAGCTGAAGTGGAGTAAATGAAGGGGAAGAATAGCAAGTAAGATCAGACAGGTAATGAAGGCCAAATCATGCAGGGCCTCATAGGCCACTATACAAACTTTGTTTTTATTCTAAATAAGATGGGAAGCCACTGGACTGTTTTACAAAGAAGAGTGAAATTATTTGTCTTCATTTTAAGAAGAGGTAGATTGTTGTGCTGAGATCAGACAGCAGGAAAGCAAGAAGAGTAGTAGGGCAATCGGGAGGTTTTAGAAACAGTTCAGATGAAAGATGATGGTGGTAGTAGCAGTGATGGTGGTGGTGGAAACTAGTCATGTTTTTTATATATTTTGAAGATCAAGCTGATAGGAATTGCTAATGGATTTAATATAAGGTATGAGAGGAAGAAAGACATCAAGAATGATGCCAAGGCTTGAGAAACTGGAATAATAAAAATGCCATTTACTGGTGAGAACTATGAGAGGAGTAGGTTTTGGGTGAAGAACAGAAATCTGGATTTGGACTTAGATTGGAGATGCCTAAGAATTTTGCTCAGAACAATGTTTGATATACAATCAACACCCCATAGAAGGTTAGCCATTAGGACTACCACAAACATTACCTCTTTGGTGGTTCTGTGGAGGTTAAAAAAAAAGGAAAAAAAATAATAAATACTACCCCTACTACCAGCAGCTACCATTTACTGAACACCTACCATGTGACAGGTACTGTGCTAAGGACTTACTAAGTCCCTGTCAGTCTTATAATACTTGCAAACTAAGTATTATTTTTATTATATTACAGATAAGTAAACTTAAGTCCAAAAAAATGAAGTGACTAGCCCAAGATCTCATAACTAAGAAGTAAGGAAAAGCCAATTTCAAAGCCAGGTCTGTTTGATTTCAATGTCCAAGTTACTTTCACTGTACTAGATGAGGCTTCCAGGCTCTCTAGTCAGCTACCCCAGTACTAGGTTCGCCTCTGGAACAGTAGGCCTCAAACCCTTGTTCAACTCAAGAGCCTAAGTGCTCTGCTTGGACCCTAACAGATCACAACAGGGAGGCAGTTCATATCTACCACAGTACCTGGCACCTGCTGGGTCACTGCTGGGCACCATGGGCAGTTATAACTATATGATATGGCCTGATGTGCCTACCTCTCTGGTTGCAACTTCTACCACTATCTTTTTGTTTTCTTCACTTCAATCACAATGACTTCCTTGTTGTTCCCTGAAGACACCATGCATGCTTGTGCCTCTGGGTCTTTGCACTTGCTTTTTCCCCACACCTAGAATGCCCTTTTCCCCAGATATCCAAATGGCACAGCTCCTCACTTAATTCAGGTCTCTGTTCAAATGTCACCTTATCAGAAATGCCTTCCTTAACCAACTTATCTAAAATAGGTCCTCCACATGCTGTTATTCTCTGTTCTCTCATCCTTTCTTACTTTTTTTTTTTTTGAGATGGAGTCTCGCTCTGTTGCCCAGGCTGGAGTGCAGTGGCGCAATCTCGGCTCACTGCAACCTCTGCCTCCCAGGTTCAAGCAATCTGCCTCAGCTTCCCAAGTAGCTGGGATTACTGGCACCCACCACCACACCCAACTAATTTTTGTATTTTTAGTAGAGATGGGGTTTCACCATGTTGGCCAGGCTGGTCTCAAACTCCTGACCTCAAGTGATCCACCCACCTCGACCTCCCAAAGTGCTGAGATTACAGACATGGACCACCGTGCCCGGCTTACTCTTCTTATTGATATCTATTTTAGTCTGTTTTGTGATGCTATAACAGAATAGCTGAGACTAGGTAATTAATAATGAACAGAAATTTATTTCTCACAGTTCTGGAGCATGGGAAGTCCAAGATCAAGGGGACGGCATCTGGCAAGGGCCTTCTTGCTATATCATCCCATGGAAGGGCAAGAGAGAGAATCTATTCCTGAAAGCCTTTTAAAAAAATGATTTTTTTTTTTTAAAGATATGGGGTCTTACTGTGTTGTTCAGGCTGGACTGCAATGTCTATTCACAGGCACAGTTACGGCACACTACAGCTTCAAACTGCTGGGCTCAAGTGATCCTCCTGCCCTAGTCTCCCAAGTAGCTCCCTGAAAGCTGGCTCCTCAAAAGCCTGTTAAACAGACATTAAGCCCACCCCTGAGGACAGGGCCCCCAGAACCTAATTGCCTCTTAAAGGTCCCACCTCCCAATACTATTACATGGGCAATTAATTTTCAACATAAGTTTTATAGAGGACAAACATCCAAACCACTGTAACACCTATTACTGTCTGACATATTTTCTTGTTTATTCTTTCCCCCATTAGAGTAAGGTCCATGAGAATGAGATTCTGTTTATCTTGTATCCCCAGTGCACAGAATATTACCTGGCACAAAACAGGCACCAAATACATATTAGTTGAACAAACAATGAGCCATCTTTCATGCTTCTCCAAAATAAAACTGTGAAAAAAGCTTCAAGATGTTTGGCATTTCTTGGCATATCCCAGTCAACTTCTTGGCTCCCTATCTCTCCAGCAGCTACTTCCAATGCCCAGAGAAGCCTCTACTAGGAGCTCATCTTGGGCAAAATAGGCAATGGTAAGGCCCAGCAGTTGCATGACATGTGAGAGAGAAAAGAGAGGTGCTAAAGATTCCTCCTGGTGAAGCTGATTTTTCACTTCTAGATTCCTACCCACTGTTCTACAAATGGCTTCCTGCTACCCTCAAAACATCTCAACTATTTCTTTCAAAATAACGAAATATATGACCATTAAATGACAAGCAAAAAAGCCCAGAGATTAAAGTAATATTTACACAACAGGTTGCAGTGTTTAAACTTAGTGTTTTAGTTTGCAAACTACTACACTTTGCAAACTAAAATGGTAAAATTCTTTGAAAAATTTACCATTTGAAAAATGGTAAAAATGGTAAATTTTTCAAATAATTTTACCACTTACACAGTGCTTTAGACTTTACAATGAGATTTTAACCATTATCTCACTTGGTCCTTTGAAGTAAGCAATGCAAAGATTATTAATTTCATTTGACAGACCAAGAAACTAAAGCTTAAAGGTTTAATGCCTTCTGGGATAGATACTGTTGGGAAAGGAAAAAGATTGTGTTTGCCCAAAAGAGGATATGGTCTACCTAGGAAAGTTTAAAAGTTAAATAAAAATTAAAATGCCAAAAGTAATAGAAGGAGGTGGAACTTCTGGAACAAAGTGCTTACCAAACCCTTTCCCCCAAAAGCAAAAATAAAATGAGATGAAATGTTAAAAAAAAAACCATTTTGGGCCAAAGTATGAAATGTCTATTCAAGAAAAACTTCTGAACCACATTAAGAACAGTGAAAATCCATGGCATTTTACCCTGGGGCTGCCCTTATCCCAATCCCAAGCTCTGTAGGGGGCCTGCTACTAGGGCAGGCTAGACCAGGCTAAAAGGACTACTGCAACCAGAGTGGGCTGATTTAATTTGAAACTGAGCATAGAAAATCCAATGCCCAGAGTCATTGTCAAAAACAATAGTGAGGCAATTTGGGGAACAACAGCAAATAATCCAGGAAGGCCACTAATGCAGCTACTCTGAGGTCATACTAGTTGGTGCAGGCAACAGACCTGCAGATAAGCCAGAAATTTTAAAGGGAGGTCTGGGGAACACAACAACCATAGTGGGTCTTGATAAACTTTCATAGGATCCCTAGTGGTCTGTAAAGAAGGTCTTCTGTATCTGCTGATCCTGGGTGAATTTAAGGCCTTGGACATAACAAAACTAAAAGTTAGAGCATAACTGTAAATTGCCTGAATTTTGAATGCATTCCCCAAACCACATACAGATCCACTGGTAAAGGGTGGAAGCCTTCCTGGCCTGCGTTTAATCAGAACTCCTGATCAAACATTGGATGGCCACTAATCTATGCCAACCCAGGGGTGACCTTTAGGAAGCCAAGTTTAAAAATTAAAATAGTAATTAAAAAAATATGGCCAGAGACATCAGAAATCACACTGCAAAGGAGACAGACTCTACAGAAGAGTCTAAGCAAGTCACTAAACAAAAAATCCCAGCAACAACAACCTCCTGATGGTGGGGTGGGGGTGGGGTGGGTGGGTGGAATCCGAATCAAGAATTGCTACAATATATTATCTAAAATATGTAGTTTTCAGCAATACTGACAAAATCATGAAACACGCAAAGAAACAATAAAGTATGTCCCATTTGTGGGGGAAAAACAGGTAACAATAAATTTTGTTCTTGCAGGAGTCTAGATATTGGAATCAGCAGATAAATATTTCAAAGCAGCTATTACAAATGTTAAAAAAAAACTAAAGAAAACCACACTTAAAGAATTAAAGTATGATAATAACTTATCAAATAGAGAATATCAATAAAAAATATAAAAATTGAAAGAGTCAAATGGAAATCGTATTCTGAAATGAATCATTCAAGAGAGGCTCAGAAGCAAACGTGAGCTGGCAGAAGAAAGAATCACTGAACTTGAAGACAGAGCAATAGAAGTTATACAATCTGAAAAACAAAAAGAAAACAATGAAGAAAAATAAACTGTGAGAAACTAGCAAGCAAACCAAAATACAAGCATGAGAGTCCCAGAAAGAGGAGAGAAAGAAAATTAGGTGGGAAAAATGGGAATACTATGCCATTAAAAAAATAAAACAAAAAACAAAATCATGTTCTCTGCAGCAACATGGATGCAGCTGGAGGTCATTATCCTAAGCAAATTAACCCAGGAACACAAAACTAAATACCACAGATTCTCACTTATAAGTGGGAGATAAACATTGAGTACACATAGACACAATGATGAGAACAATAGACACTAGGACTTACTTGGGCAGGGAGGGTTGAAGGAGGGTGAAAGTCAAAAAAAAGTCAGGTACTATGCTCGCTACCTGGGTGATGAAATCATTTGTACACCAAATCCCAGTGACACGCAATTTACCCACGTAACAAATCTGCATATGTTACCCCTAAACCTAAAATAAAAGTCAAGGGGGAAGAAAAAGAAATTATACCACAAATTGAAAAAAAAAGAAGATATAATGTCCAAAAACTTCCCAAATTTGATTAAGACAACAACAACAACACATATTAAACTACACATCCAAGAAATACAATCAACTTCAAGTTGGATAAACACAAAAAGATCCATAACCGGACACAATATAGTAAAACTTCTAAAAGTCAAAGAGAAAATTTCAAAAGTGGCAAGAGAAAACAACTTATCTGATAAAAGGGAATAACAATAAGATTAACAGCTGACCGGAGGCCAGAAGACAGGAGGTTGGTATATTCAATGTGCTGAAAAAACAAACAAAAAACCTGTCAACCAAGAATTCTAAATCCAGCAAAACTATCCTTTGAAACTGAAGTCAAAATAAACACATTCCCAGATAAATAATTGAGACAATTCATTGCTAGCAACCTGCCTTTCAAAAAATACTAAAGAAATACTAAATATTTATGACTGAAAGGAAGTGATACTAGACAGTAATTCAAGTCCACACACAAAAATAAAGAGCACCAGGAAAGCTGATATGTAGATAGATAGATAGATAGATAGATAGATAGATAGATAGATAGATAGATAAAACAAGGTATAAATATTTTTCGTGTTAACTGGCTTAAAAGACAATTGCATAAAACAACTATAAAACTGAATTGTTGGCCTTATGATATATAAAGATACCATTTACATAAAAACAAGAGTCCAAAGTAAGGAAGTATGGGAATGCTGCCATATTGGAGCAACATTTCTACATTTTACTGAATTACATTAGTTTGCATCTGAACTAGACTGAAATAAATGCAATAAGTTATAATAAATTAAGATGCATATTTAATCCCCAAAGCAACCAGTGAGAAAATAAATTTTAAAATGTTAAATATCGACAATATCAATAAAAAGGAACAAACTACTGATACATGTCACAACATGAATTAACCTTGAAAATATTATGCTAAGTGGAAGAAGCCAGGGCAAAAGAACACATATTGCATGATTCCATTTATATGAAATGTTCAGAAAAGACAAATCTGTACAGGCAAACAGTAGATTTTTGATCATCTGGGACTCAGAGCAGGAATGGCGATTGACTGCAGATAGAAGCAAGAGATTTCTTTGGTGTGGAAAAAAAGTCTAAAATGATTTTTGGTGGTTACAAAATTCTGTAAATTCACAAAAAAACACTGTACACTTAAAATGAGTACATTTATCATATCTAAATTATACCTCAATAAAGCTACTAAAAATACAAATTGTTGATTCAATAGTTACAAATTTTTAATAAGCTAAAAGAGATTAAGTCATTTACTTCAGCACACTCATTTTATATAAACTGATACTTGCTGTGCCAGGCCATGCATAAAGTGTTACAGATTCAGGGGTAACAAGGCACAATTTCTGTCCCTGGGGTATTTATATGAGGGAAACAGCCTTGGAATTAACAGCAATATAGTACTGTTGTTATACTGAAAGCTAGAATTTAAAGAAAAAAACAACTAAAGTGGGGTGATGGGGGAGCAGGTGGGCAGTGCTGTGACTGCCACTAGATGGCAACATGCTCAGTTAAAGGATTCTATTTCCCAACTTTCCCAGGAATAGTTAGGTGTGGCTATCTGATTAGTTTTGCTCATGAGATGTAACCGAAATACTCTGTAGAACTTCTGAGAAGGCTGCTTAAAGGGAACTCTGTTACCTGGGGAAGGTGCCCTTTCCTCTCCCCTTACTGATTCCTGCTATCTAGAATTAGGACATGATGATTATAGCTCAGCAGGCTTCTTTTCCATGAAGTGACCTTGAGAATGGAGGTCTTAAACTGAGAAAGGTAGAAACAACCTTGATTTCATGGAACAATCATTTCAGCTCTGCTATACATACCTCTGTGCTTCTTTTACATGAGAAAATAAAACTATATTTTAAAACCACTATTATTTTTTATTACTGTTATATGTAGCTGAACCTAATCCTATTTAATTGGGAGGATAATACAGGTTTCAAAAAAAATATGTCATTTGATCTATGTTTTAAAGGATGACAGGAATTCTACAGAGAGAGGAGGAAAGGCCATTTGTGAAATTACACCGTGAGAGGACAAGAAAACATTCAGAAAATATCAAGTAATTTGGGAAGGTTTGAGCATGCAATCTGAGGGAAAACACAGCAGGGATTTTATTCCTGTCCCCATTTCTCAACTGAGTCCACTTAGCTCTTAGAAAAGATCTCAGAAAGCCAGACTGTGCATGGCTACAGGTAATTTTATGATCCCACAGCTCTCTACACTTCTATGTTATAAATACTTCTTGCAACTGTAATTTGCTTGCCCAATTATTTTCTTCTTGCTACATTTTAAGCACCATGAGATCAACAAATTACCTCTTTTATTTACTCTGAATTCCTGGAAAAGGGCCTGATATTAAAGCAAGGTGCTCAATAAACATTTGTTGACTAGATGAATGAATGGATGGATGGATGAATAAAAACAGTTTACTGGAATTCAACAGCTTAATTTCCCTTTAGAAAGTATTTCTTCTTACCAAACAACTTTAAGAAAACTC